>NC_000011.10:42181212-42484242 GCF_000001405.40 Homo sapiens | reverse complement strand
TTTAATCCATCTTGAGTTAATTTTTGCATAATGTGTAAGGAAAGGGTCCAGTTTCAGTTTTCTGTATATGGCTAGCCAGTTTTCCCAACAACATTTATGGAATAGGGAATCCTTTCCCCATTGCTTGTTCTTGTCAGGTTTGTTAAAGATCAGATGGTTGTAGATGTCTGGCATTATTTCTCAGGCCTCTATTGTGTTCCATTGGTCTATATATCTGTTTTGGTACCAGTACCATGCTGTTTTGGTTACCATAGCCTTGTAGTGTTGTTTGAAGTCAGGTAGCATGATGTCTCCAGCTTTGTTCTTTTTGCTTAGGATTGTCTTGGCTATCTGGGCTTTTTGTTGGTTCCCTATGAAATTTAAAGTAGTTTTTTTCTAATTCTGTGAAGAAAGTCAATGGTAGCTTGATGGTATTAGCACTGAATCTATAAATTACTTTGGGCAGTATGGCCATTTTCACAATATTGATTCTTTCTATCCATGAGCATGGAATGTTTTTCCATTTGTTTGCCTCCTCTCTTATTTCCTTGAGCAGTGGTTTATAAAATAAACGGTATTCAAATAGAAAGAGAGGAAGATAAATTGTCTCTGTTTGCAGATGACATGATTGTATATTTAGAAAACCCCATCGTCTCAGCCTCAAATCTCCTTAAGCTGATAAGCAACTTCAGCAAAGTCTGAGTATACAAAATCAATGTGCAAAAATCACAAGCATTCCTATCCACCAATTATAGAGAGAGAGCCAAATCATGAATGAACTCCCATTCACAATGGCTACAAAGAGAATAAAATACCTAGGAATACAACTTAGAAAGGATGTGAAGGACCTCTTCAAAAGATTACTCTTTATGCCTTCTGTACATCGTCTCTGTTTTTAAAAAATCAGAAATTGGCTTTGCACACTGAAGCCACACTGATGACTTCAATTACCAGGCTCACATGTATTTTGGAATCATGACACTAATGGAATGGTGGACATTCTTAGGGATTATTTGGAAGAAATGAGTACTAACACCAATATTCACAAGTTGACTTAAGGTTTATGTATTCAACTGTAGGAAATGTAGCTGTGCCCTGGGAAAACTGGATCATTACTAAGGTAAAAAAAGTAGGAAGTACCAAGAGGCCCACTGCTTGAAACTGATGCTAGTCAAGTGATTAGAAATAGAGTTTCTAGGACAGTACATTCACTAAAGGCTGATTCACCTGCCCCAGGAGGGTGCCACCCACAATATCCTCAATATTTTCACCTCCCTCTGAGTCATAGTCTGATGAGGTTAGGACAGATTAGGCTAGGAATCAAGAAGACTAAAGTTCTAGTCCCAAACCTGTAGTTACAAATAATAACATCATAGACTGTCATTCCTTCCCATCACTTCCTTTCCCCCAAGTTTCAGCCTTCACATTTGGAAAAAGGAAGCAATTAGTCTAGAGTAGCAGTGAACTCCAGCCTCTTTGGGTCCGTGGTTACAGGAAGAAATCTTTGTAGCCATATGTGATTTCAGATGCTTAAGGTTTTGCCATTGGGTGAGTAGAAAAATAGCAGTGTCTTTAATAGATATAGGGCAGTCAGTAAGAAGAATGAGTTTCAGGATTAGAGTGGCCCATTTGATAGAGAAAATGATGACTAACAGGGAAAAAGTCCTTTGGTTTTTATGTCTATTCAGTCATTTACTACCATTTATTAGCATTGCAATTTGCTTGAACCATTATTTTCCCAACTGTTACATGAATATTCAACTATTTTTGTTATAATGATTAGATTGAAAAAGAACCATCAGAAATACAGCTGCTCTATTCCAGGCAGTTGGAAAATAGGTTAGCAGAGTCCGATAGCATAGAGGTAAAGGAATAAGATGAATAAGTACCCATTAGAGTGAGCACTTAGTAGATCAATGGCAGCTGCCAAATACAGTTTTTTTAATGCCTCAGAATTTTAGTTGACTTTTAAATTATCTTTATCAATAACATAAGATATAGCATAATATTCCAGGAATATTAAGTATGATGCACTCATTTACTAGATTATCTTTTTTAAAACAAGTATTTTTTTCTTTAGCTCTTTTAGATTTATAGAAAAATTGATCAGAAAGCACAGGTAGTTCTAATATAACCCCTCCCCAATATTGCCTACTATTAACATGTTGCATTATATAGTTTTAATCAGGTAATGTAATTTGGATCTTAAGAAAATAAGTAGTGAGGCTGGGCGTGGTGGCTCATGCCTGTAATCCCAGCACTTTGG
The DNA here is from genome assembly GCF_000001405.40 of Homo sapiens. Taxonomy (NCBI): domain Eukaryota; kingdom Metazoa; phylum Chordata; class Mammalia; order Primates; family Hominidae; genus Homo; species Homo sapiens. The sequence continues at coordinate 42,481,997 of NC_000011.10, read as the reverse complement.
GAGGCCGAGGCGGGCAGATCAAAAGGTGAGGAGATCAAGACCACTCTGGCCAACATGATGAAACCCCATCTCTACTAAAAATACAAAAAAATCAGCCAGGTGTGGTGGCGGGCCCCTGTAGTCCCAGCTACTTGGGAGGCTGAGGTGGGAGAATGGCGTGAACCCAGGAGGTGGAGCTTGCAGTGAGCCAAGATCATGCCACTGCACTCAAGTCTGGGTGACAGAGCAAGACTCCATCTCATAAAAAAAAAAAAAAAGAAAGTAGTGAATGGATATAAAGATACTTAAGGGACAAGAATAGACTGCAATCAGATCAAAGAAGAAATGGGAACCAAATAGAAAAACAGGCAAAACAAGTTTTCTCTTGGTAGTGGTGTTTGTATTGGCTTTTTTCTTCCTTTTTTATCCTGGTTTTGGGTAATGGGATTTGTGAGTCTGTTTAAAACTAAAGAGAAATAGCCAGGGCATAGGGCTAAGGCAAAGATGAAAGAGAAAACAAAAAAAATGAGAATAAACATTAAAGAGATGAGAGTAGTGATGCAGATGTTATGGGAGAAGGATGTTTTTGGAAATAAAAGTACTTGGAAACTGTCCTCTGAAATTCTAGAGGGGTAGCAGAAATAGAGTGAAAATGAAGTCATTTAGTTGGAGAGAGAAGGTGAATTGAAGGTTGTATTAGTCCATTTTCATACTTCTATGAAGAAATACCTGAGACTGGGTAATTTATAAAGAAAAAGAGGTTGAATGGACTCACAGTTTCACATGGCTGGAGAGCTCTCACAATCATGGCAGAAGGTGAAGGAGAAGCAAAGTCATGTCTTGCATGGTGGCAGGCAAGAGAGTATGTGCAGGGGAACTGCCTTTTATCAAACCATCCAATCTTGTGAGACTTATTCACTATCATGAGAACAGCACAGGAAAAACCCACCCCTATGAATCAATTACCTCCCACTGGGTCCCTTCCATGACACATGGGGATTATGGGAGCTACAATTCAAGATGAGATTTGGGTGAGGACACAGCCAAACCATATCATGCCAACCCTGGCCCCTCCCAAATCTTATGTCCTCACATTTTAAAGCCAAGCATGTCTTCCCAACAGTCCCCCAAAGTCTCAACTCATTTCAGCATTAACTCAAAGGTCCACAGTCCAAAGTCTCATCTGAGGCAAGTAAAATCTCTTCTGCCTATGAGCCTGTAAAATTAAAAGCAAGTTAGTTACTTCCAAGATACAATGGGGATACAGGCATTGGGTAAATACAACCATTCTACATGGTAGAAGTTGGCCAAAACAAAGGGGCTACAGGCCCCATGCAAGTCCAAAATTCAGCAGAGGAGTCAAACCTTAAAGCTCCAAAATAATCTCCTTTGACTTTGTGTCTCAAATCCAGGACAAGCTGATGTGCACAGTGGGTTCCCACAGTCTTGGGCAACTCCACCTTTGTGGCTTTGTAGGGTACAGTCTCCCCACTGGCTGCTTTCACAGGCTGGAGTTGAGCATCTGTGGCTTTTCCAGGTGCAATGTGCAAGTTATCAGTGGATCCACCATTCTGGGATCTGGAGGACAGTGGCCCTCTTCTCACAGCTCCACTAGGCAGTGCCCCAGTGGGGACACAGTGTGGGGCCTCCAACTCCACATATCCCTTCCACACTGCCCTAGCAGAGGTTCTCCATGAGGGCTCTGTTTCTGCAGCACACTGCTGCCTGACATCCAGGCATTTCCATACATCCTCTGAAATCTAGGCAGAGGTGCCCACACCTCAATTCCTGACTTCTGTGCACCTGCAGACCCAACACCATGTGGAAGCCACCAAGGCTTGGAGATTTCACCTTTGAAGCAATGTCCTGAGCTGTACATTGGACCCTTTGGCCATGGCTGGGATGCAGGGCATCAAGTCTAGAGACTGTACAAAGCAGCAAGGTCCTGGGTCTGGCCCACAAAACCATTTTTTCCTTCTAGGCCTCCTGGCTTGTGATGGGAGGGGTTGCTGTGAAAACCTCTGGCTTGCCCTGGAGACATTTTCCTCATTGTCTTGCTGATTAACATTTCTCTCCTTGTTACTTATGAAAATTTCTACAGCCAGCTTGAATTTCTCCTCAGAAAATGGGTTTTTCTTTTCTATTTCATGATCAAGCAGCAAGTTCTCCAAACTTTTATGCTCTGCTTTCCTTTTAAATGTAAGTTCCAATGGCAAACCGTATCTTTGTGAATACATATAACTGAAGGGTTTTAATAGCACCCAAGTCACATCTTGAGCACTTTGCTACGTAGACATTTCTTCCACCAGATACCTTAAATTGTCTCTCACAAGTTGAAAGTTCCACAAATCTCTAGGGCAGGGGCAAAATGCTGCCAGTCTCTTCATATCAGAAGAGTGACCTTTAATCCAGTTCCCAACAAGTTCCTCATCTTCGGAAACTACCTCAGCCTGGACTTCACTGTCCATCACTATCAGCATTTTGGTCAAAATTGTCATTCAGCAACTCTCCAGGAATTTTCAAAATTTCCCAGACCTTCCTGTCTTCTGAGCCCTCCAAATCTCTAGGAAGTTGCAAACTTTCCCACATTTTCCTGTCTTATCTTGAGCCCTCAAACTGTCCAACCTATGTTACCCAATTCCAAAGTCACTTCCACATTTTTGAGTATCATTATAGCAGTACCCTACTTTACTGGTACCAATTTACTATATTAGTCCATTTTCATACTGCTATGAAGAAATACTCAGGACTGAGTAATTTATAAAGAAAAAGAGGTTTAATGGACTCACAGTTCCACATGACTGGGGAGGCCTCACAATCATGGCAGAAGGTGAAGGAGGGGCAAAGGCACATCTTACACGGCAGCAGGCAAGAGAGTGTGTGCAGGAGAACTGCCCTTTATAAAACCATCAGATCTTGTGAAACACATTCACTATCAGGAGAACAGCATGAAAAAAACCCACCCCTATGATTCAATTACCTCCCACTCGTTCCCTCCCATGACATGTGGGGATTATGGGACCTACAATTCAAGATGAGATTAGAGTGCATACACAGTCAAATCATATCAAAGGTGTTTAACTCTGTGGGTCTTATTTTTTGGGTGCAGTGTGACTAAGAATGTGAGGCTGAGGAAGGTAGGTGTGGTTAGAAAGAGGCCCTGAGGACAAGGGCCAGTGGAAGGAAATATGGAGATTGCACTGTTGTATTCAAAGGGAGGAGGTGAGAGGTTCTGGTATACCAGAAAATGGGAGCCTCCCTTCTGAGCTCTGTATGCAGATAGGACAGTGTATGCCATTAAGTGTGTGGGTCTTCTGGAAAGAAATAGTTTGGGCTTTGTTCGTTCTCTTCCTAAGTGGTCTGGTGGAAAGCCTACTTAGAAGGGGCTACCAATTTCTTCTAACGTAAGGGATGACAAATGGCGATGCTGGTTCTTAGGGGCTGAAGAACCTCGACTTCTTCATTCAGGGTTAGCAAGGATCTTCAGGATTGAGGTCTTTGCAGGTCTCCAAGCCTGATGCTTTCAGTATGTGTAGTTTGTATCACTCACAGGCTGAGAACATGGGAAAGGGAACCAGGCTTAGGGAGGCTTTCTTTGTATGTTGTTTACCCTTGTCACACAAGTAGGTTCTTATTGTTGTTCATTCCCTGAGGGTTCAGTTCATTATCTCAGGCATTACAAGTTGTTTTGTTTTTAGTCCCTTTACATTTTATCACCTGGACAGCCTGTCTTGAAGTTGTTCCAGACTCCAGAGGGTTTTGGACATATTAAATTTTCTCATCAATTTTTTTCCCTCCCCTTCCCTTCCCTTTCTCGCTTTGTTGCCCCGGCTAGAGTGCAGTAGCGTGAGCTCAGCTTACTGCAATCTCCACCTCCCAGGTTCAGGTGATTCTCCTGCCTCAGCCTCCCAAGTAGCTGGGATTACAGGTGCCCGCCACCATGCCTGGCTAATTTTTGTATTTTGGTAGAGATGGGGTTTCACCATGTTGGCCAGGCTGGTCTTGAACTCCTGACCTGAAGTGATCTGCCTGCCTCAGCCTCCCAAAGTGCTGGGATTATAGGTGTGAGCCACCATGCCCAGCCTCTTTCATCCATTTTCTTACCATGTCGCTGACTTCTGGTTCTCTGTGTCTATGATTACTTCCCTTTTGTTCTTCTCTCTCCATTTTCCTTTCCCTCCTCCTTAGAACATTGTTCTGGAATCTCTCATTTGGTGAATAGAGAGAGGAGTGAAGAAATGTGTCTTTATTGACTTATTAGTCTGTGACATTTTTCAAAGCTGGTGTAAGGTAGGAGAATGTGTTGATGATAATCATGGATATTTTTATTGACTACATATTATATTTGAGGTACATCATCTATTAATTCCTACAATAGCAACGCATCTTGATACTGTAAAGTAATACTATTTTTGTTTCTATTTCACATATTAGGTAACCTTGATGCAAAGAAATAAAATAAATTTTTCAAGGTCACACTTTTTTGTTTGTAAGTGATGGTACCCACCTCAAATCGGTCTAAGTAATTGGGTGTGTATTGGCTCACATTATTGAAATGTCTCTTAGTGGTCCTGTCTGCAGTCCAAGGTGGATGCTGAGGCTTAAATAATGTAATAAAAAGTTTATTTTCCATCCATATCCTGGTCTGTTTCCCTCTGTGTTGGCTTTATTTTAAAGAGGACTCCTCTATTATATTGTCTGCCATAGCAAGTTTAGCTCTAGGATTATATTACAGTTTCAGCATGCAATTAGGAGTAAAGAAAAGGCACTTCCATCTATGTAGCTTCAGACAAGTTGTTGGGATGGGCTCTAATTGGCTAGACTTTGATCATGTGCCCATCCATGATCCAATCACTGTGGCATAAGTAGTGCAATGCTGAGGCTGCTGTGTTAGGCCTTAGATATACACCTACCTTGAAGTCCAGCACTGTGGAAAAGTCATTACACATAAACCATAAAGAATGTGTCTCCCTCACTCCCCCCTCCAGGACCATTTACAGAGAGAAGAATTGAAGGCGGGAATGCATATGGACAGTGAAAAAATAATACATTTCAACATCCTCTACTCCCAGCCAGTTGGTGTGAAATCCAGGATTTGGACACAGATAATCTGTCCCTTCATCCAGTACTATTCTGAGAAAGACTTGTGGTAGCAGAGTCACAGAATTTACCTCATTTAACATTCATCATTACACCTGGGGGTGAAAATTATTAACCCCATGTTATAGGTAAGGAACTCAAGTATGCAAGTAAAGCAGGCTTGCCTAAGTTTACAGTGTTTGTAAGTGACCAAGCCAGAAACTAAACTTAATGACTATTTGATTTTATTTTTGGATTCCTTTCACCCAATCATGGATGTCGGAATGAGCATCATCTGAATGGTTTTGAATGTCAGCAGGAGACAGAGGATGTGGTCTATATTAATCAATTTTACTCTTTTAAAACAACCATTGTATCTAAGTCCTTACCAAATATTTATTTTCATTGCATGTGGTCTACTGGTCAGTTTCAGCAGTTCTGCTTTTGATTGGGGGTGGAATTCAGGTCTATTCTACCTGTTGCATTCTCAAGCCCAGGCTAGAGTAGTAGAAGCTATCCAGTGGAAGCTCTTCTCACAGTCTTGAGATTCCTTTCTGGAATGTCAGAAGAAAAGACCAATTTTGCAAGCACATTTCAAGTTTCTGCTCATATCCTGTCCACTAACATTTCACTGGTTGAAGTAAGATATGTGGCCAAGTTCTACAGCAAAGGGCTAGAGAAGTACACTCTACCCACAGTGGGAGGAGGGAGGTGAATAGTTTCTGTGCAGTGGCTCGTGTCTGTAATCCCAGCACTTTGGGAGGCCGAGGCGGGTGAATCACCTGAGGTCAGGAGTTCCAGACCAGCCTGGCCAACATGGTGAAACCCTGTCTCTACTAAAAATACAAAAATTAGCTGGGTGTGGTGGTGCATGCCCATAATCCCAGCTATTCAGGATGCTGAGGCAGGAGAATTGCTTGAACCTGGGAGGTGGAGGTTGAGGTGAGCAGAGATTGTGCCACTGCACTCCAGCCTGGGCAACAGAGTGAGACTCCGTCTCAAAAAGAAAAAAGAAAAAAAAGTTTCTGAATAAGTCAAAGTGTCATGAGGTATATTGAAGAACCTAGATTGAGGGTTTCAATTCACACTTGTATTATTTGTTATTTTTTTAAAAACACAACTTATAGGAGGAAGCATTATCAACCAATAGGCCTAGAAACATAGAGGTAATAAGTCAAACTTAAGGAGGTGTTGGTAGTGGGATTGACAACATATTAATGGTAAACCCAGGAAATAGTACTATTTGTAACAGTCATTGAAACTTGGCTGAAATATCTTTACATATTATTGTCTGGCATGAATATAATCATCACAATGCTTTCTTGCGTATATTAGGAGGGCAATCCATTAGCTTTGGAGCAATATTGTAAGCTAAAATTGAAAGAGACAGGCAACTCTGGAGTGAAAAATGGCTGTGACCATTTTGACAGCTAGAAAGTTAAATGCAACTGTTTGTTGAGGTGGAAAATAATATCCATAAAAGTCTTTTTATGCCAGCATCAGTTCAGGACATTGGAGCTTCATAGATAAATTGTTTTACTGGTTTTATTCATGACTGATAGTTTGAATTCATTCTATTCTAAATTCTCTCTACTCACAAAGAACTACAACCTGATTTTTATACCAGCAATACTTCTCCATCATACCTCAACTCCAAGGCAAGTGAGTAAGGGGTGATTTCTGCTATTATTTGTGTTTAAGAAAAGGTAATATTGTTTCTATAACTGAAACTGCAGACTCCATTATTAGGAGAAAAAAGGGTCATACTTTCAGGTGGAATTGAAGTTGGTGAGTTGGTTTGATTTTTGCAAGTGAGAGATGTTGAATACATTCAATTCTTTGTTCAGTAAGAGGAAACATTTTCATATACCTAGTATGGTTATATGTACTGGAGAGGAGAAAAAGCAGACAAAATAGAAGGTATGGTTTCTACCCAGAGTGTAGAGAAATTATAACTGAAAGGAAAGAAATCTGCAGTATGAATCAGCAATCCTGGATTTTACTGTTAACTAGTATTTGGACTTTGAAGGAACAATAAAATCTTCCTAGGATATAACTTTCTTATCTTAAAAATAAGACAGTTTACATTTACTCCGGTGGCAGCTCTGATTCAAATATTATAGAATGCTAAGCAGTTTGCTATTAATTGGAAAGGTAAAAAAAAAAAAAAAAAAAAAAAGTGAACACTTCATGCATTTAACAATTAGGTGTAGAGTGCCTAGTATTAGTGACAGGTTTTGTTCTCAGTGCTGGGAATGGAGTTGTAAAGGAGGAAAAGCTCCTGAACATAGACAGCTTACATTCTGGTGGAAAGACAGTCAATAAGCAAATAAACAAATAATTATATCGTTTAATTTCAAGTATTAATCAATGCAGAAAAATAAAGCAGACTATGGGAAAAGAGAGTGACTGGCTAGGATAATTATTTTTAGATACAGTAATCCAAAAAGTTCTTTTTTTTTTTTTTTGAGATGGAGTCTCACTGTGTCGCCCAGGCTGGAGTGCAGTGGCGTGATCTCGGCTCACTGCAAGCTCTGCCTCCAGGGTCCATGCCATTCTCCTGCCTCAGCCTCCCGAGTAGCTGGGACTACAGGTGCCTGCCACCATGCCCAGCTAATTTTTTTTTTTTTTTGGTATTTTTAGTAGAGATGGGTTTCACCATGTTAGCCAGGATGGTCTCGATCTCCTGAACTCATGATCTGCCCACCTCAGCCTCCCAAAGTGCTGGGATTACAGGCATGAGCCATTCTGCCTGGCCCCAAAAAGTTCTATCTGAGATAACATTGGGGATCTGAGTTAAATTATTGGGTTAATTTTACAATGATTTGGGGAAAATTATCCCTCTAGGAAACACAATGCAACTGAGGTGGGAGGGTGTTTGTGTGTTTAAAGAAGAGTCAAAACAATAGCTAAATGGTATTACAAAATCTGTATGTTATTAAATAAAATAGTATAAACTGTATTCTGTGGTATAACATAAAAATGTGTTGAATTAATCAGAGAAGGAGGTAAGCTAAATAATTCTAGGATCTGGTTTTATGTCACTTTTGTTCTCTCATTAATCACCAAATTCCAGATATTTTAACTTCTGAACCTCTTGTATTCTTTCTTTATTTCCATTCCAATATTGGTTCTTGGAGTCAAGTGGACAGTTTCAGAGACCATTGATTTGGAGCTATCCTTTATCAAAAAGTAAATCTGATTATATAATTCCACTTGTAAATATATATTTTGATATATATACACACATGTACATATAATGTAAATATATGTCAAATATTATATTAAATATTCTCTTAATATAATTAAGATATTATTAGTATATTAATTAATAAGATAATATTTAATATATAGAAATAAACAATGTATATGCTATCTATAATATATAATATTATATATTTTATATATATATACACTAAACATATATATATATATATATGTATACTTAGATTCTTCCCTATAGGCTTCAGAAGAAAAGAGAATTCAAACTGTCTTAGTATAGAAGGACTGCTGTGATTTGACTGTACTCACTTCATCAGCCTGTTCTACCTCCAGGCTTCCCTCCTTATCCTAATTCTACACCCACACCCAACTACTGGCTATTTGCCAGAATGTCATGCTCCCTCATATCTTCATCTATGCCCTCTGTACTTCTGTCTCGCTTCGTTCATGCGTTTTAGGAATGCATTAGGGTGTGCCTCTGCCAGAGTTTATTTCTTCAACTCACATTCTGTTTCTGTGACGCTTAAGAAGTTGCAGTGTACCTGTCTCTTTGATTGCCTTTGTGCTCCACTAGACTGAGTTCCCTGAGAATTTGGACTATGTTATTAATCTCTGTATTTCTGGTATTTTACTCTATGCCCTGTATGCGTTCAGTACATGTTTTGAGAAATGCTGAATATAGTACTTAATATATGGATTATTTAATTTTTAAGAGCCTGACTGTATCTTTAAAGCAGTTGATTATGTTGTCCTATTTGTTTCTCACCCCTGTTTTCTACTTTCCGTATCAAACTTCATGTTTACACAAAATCCAGGTGACAATTAAAAACACATATGTCATGCTAAAAGAAGAAAACACACATACCATGTGAAAGACTAGTCTTTTCCAAGGACATACTGAAAAAATAAATATTTTTAAATTTAAACTCTATACATGAATATCCCTTTAGTGGTCATCATAATTGCATTAGCAATTCTCAACCCATTTGCCTCCAATAATAATGAAATGTTTGCTTTTGCATTTTTTATTTGTGGTAGACTCTTATAAAATGTGTCAGGATTATTTTTCTCACTAAAATAAGCAGCCTTAGATTAAGTTAGAATAAGAAAAATCTGGCTGGGTCCATGGTTTATCCCTGTACTCCCAGTGCTTTGGAAAGCTCAGGCGGATGATCGCTGTAGCCCAAGAGTTCCAGGTTGCAATGAGCTGTGATCACACCACTGCACTCCAGCCTGGGTGACAGACTAAGACCCTGTTTCAATAAATAGATGGATAGATAGATAGATAGATAGATAGATAATAGGTAGAGAGATAGATAAATCTGGTCATTTACTGTATTTACTGTTAGCCTTTTTAGATTTATTTCCCACTTCTTTGATCACTGAGTATTGTCTTTTTTTTTTTTTCCTTTTCCAAAACATGAAAAAGAAGGGAATTAAACGACAGTTTGTAAGTCTTTTCTACTGCTCTTCACAACTGGCCAGGTCAGCATGATCTCCATTTTATCTTTGAGAAAAATGAAGTTCAAAGAAATTAAGTGATTTGTATGAGCAGATATTGAAGAAAGAGGTAGGACTGAACCCAAGTCTGATAGACAGTAAAATAATATTCTTTTTTCTTCTACCATATCCCCTTATGAAGGTATGATCTAAGTAAAAGGTCTATAGGTACTGATGAACAGTACCACATAAAAGTGAACAGACACACACACACACACACACAATTAACTTCATTTTCTCAATAGCAGAAATAGCTTATTTAGAAAGTCTGTAAAATGATTAAGCAGGCTTTGTGGTATTAGACTGTAGGCAAAGGTACTGAGAATGACTCCTTGAGCACCACTAATTCTACCGACTTTGTGTGAACTAATATTCACAACAAAAGCCACATCTAGAAGCATGGTGTAAGCAACACAGGAAGAGTAAAATTAATAACTGATTTTGAAATGACCTTTCCCAATTCATTATTCATAATAAGGACAGCATATGGCTATCCTTGTTCCTGGCTCATTCACAGTGGTCAGTGTCTATCATCATTGCCAATAACTCAGTTCTTGGGTATGAGGTTGTTGAATATCCTGATAGCTAACATTCATTGAGCTCTTACAATGTTGCCGGCAGGGTTTTATGTTCTTGATTTATATATATTATCATACTTCAAATTCAGTGTATTCCTTTAAGATAGGTGCTTTTATTATAGCCATTTTCTAAAAAAAATTACTAAGGGCAAAAAAATTTAACTAACTTCTCCCAGGTTGTACCTGCTGGAATATCGCAGAGCAAGAATTGAATCCAGGCTCTCTGACTATGAAGCCTGTTCTCTCACTTGTCCATTTTTTGTTGGGGTTCTTGCAAATGCATTTAGCCTGGAGTCAGAAAACCTAACTTTAGTCCTAGATTTGGACCAACAAGATGTGTGAGTTCAGGCAAGTCACTTTCCCTTTCTGAACCCGTTTATCATTTGTTAAGGGAAATGAATGATGAGAAGAATGACTTCTAAAATATCTTGCAACTGACAAATTAAATGATTAAAATGTCAGAAACAGGAGCTCAGTAACTCACAGTAGGACATAATAATTTTCCAAGGTCATCCTGGCAAGATGATCCTGGCATAGACGTCAGTATTCACTACACCACAATAGTTTTCAAATTAATTTTTATTTTTACTTAATATTTAACCTGTGCTCCTTACTATCATTTTCCATAGAATTTCATCAGTTTCTGATCATATTTTATTAACTCCAATTAAGATGCACAGCATAGAGTGTGAAGGTGCATATATGGGAACCACAGGACAGGAAGTTTGAAATGAGATCTGTTCTTGTAAAGTAAGCATTCTGTTCCACATTTTGCCAATGAAGAAACCACATCTTTAAAAGCACAGAGGATGGATAATTTGACCACTTACATTGATTGCCCAGGGCCTGGACTTGCCATGTTCTAGGAATAAGTGTGCTTATTTTTTTGGAGCTCTAGATTCAGCAGCATCTTCCTTTGTGCCTTGTGGCTAAAGGTGATTATTATCTTATAATCTATTGTAAACCCAAGATGATCACAATGGCCTAGAAGGTAGTGGGGTAAAATATTTTTTTTAAATATCAGAATCCTTAGATGCAGCTCCAGTTTCTTCAACATTATGTTTTCTCAACTCTGCTGAGGTACTGTATTTGCCAGCTATGTAAGTTTTCTGCTTCCAATATGGACCAAAATTAATGAAAATGAAAAAGGCATGTCTGAATCTGTGGATGCAGATACTAATTTCTCCAGTAACAGAGTTCACCTGATCCTGTTTTTAGATGAACTAAAATATCAGAATCTTTATCTTATTTCTCTTCCTGTTCCTTCCCACCATCTTAACAATAAGGTCAATAAGCATTGCTTGTATGAACCCTAGTATTTTACTAGTCTTTGTGGTGTTCCTCTATAGATATTCATTAATTTTTCACCATAAAACTGAAAGCTAAATATTATATTTCCCATTTTGCAAATGAGGAAACTGATTCTGAGATAGATTAAGAAATTTATATAAGAACACATAGCTAGCCAGCTGATGAAAAAGAGACCAAATTCCTTACGATTGATAAGCATATGATGTTGTTATGATGCTACATTATCTAGAAACTGAAAATTCCTCTTATCAGCATAATAATATTACTCTTTTAGATGCATCTTTCTTCATAGGCAAACCCTTCAATTGTGTGTCTGTAATACATTTTATACATTTTTATTGAGTGATTGTCAACTATCATAATGTACATATATATTATATCTAATACAGCTCAAGAAACATTTTATAAAGTGAACACATATATGTAGCTAACATTCACATCAATATATTGAAAATGGCCGGCATCCTTTACAGCCATTACCCTTCCCAGATGTAATCTTAATTCTCACTTCTATCGTCAAAGTTTAGCATTACCGATTTTTCAAACTTCAAATACATGGAAACATACAGTGTGCACTCTTTTGTGCCTGACATCTTCATTTCTTTGCTTAGATTGAAATTCCCTTCTGGTTTCATATCCCACCTGCTTGACGAACTCTCTTTAATATTTTTTTGGTAGTACAGGTGTGTCAGGCGTCCCTAAGTTCATCCTTGGTTCAATGATTTGCTAGATAGACTCACAGAACTCAGAAAAGCTATCATACTCATGGTTATTTATTACAGTAGAAGGATGTAGATTACATCAGTAAAGATAAAAGATATGTAACACAGAGTCTAGGAGAGAGGAGGTGAAAACTTCCAGTTGTCCTCTCCCAGTGCAGTCTCTCGCAGTGGACAGTGCTTAATTTTCCCAGCAATGAGGTCACCCCTTCAGAGGGTACTTTCCTGACTGCCGTTTTAAAAATGGATAGCTTTTTATTTCTCCACCTAATCACACATTCCTCATTTCACTTTTCTTCATAGAAAATGTTACCATCTGATATGATAAATTTATTTATCTAAAGCAGCCTGACTGCAATATGCAATCCTGGGTTTTGTTTTTTTTCACAAGCATCCAAAGTGACTGACAATGCCTGGCGCATTCAAAAAATATTTGTTGAATGAGTTAATAAATGATTCCTTATTGCTTATGCATCAGATAGTTGTGAAAATACCTGCCTTAGAAATCTCATGTTTATTTTTCCTGAATGCTAAATGAAATATTATCTGTGTTGTACATATTTGTCATTTAAAAAAATGCTCTTACTATATTTGGGAAAATCTTTGATTTATGAGTCTCAGTGGTATAAAAAGAGCTACTTACTGGTCTTGAAAACAAAAGAATCAAATATTCATTTTGCCAGCCCCCTTAGTAACCACCATTCTGATTTGGTTGGGACCAAGGTGTTCTTTGAATTGTGGGACCTTTAGTGCTAAAATAGGTGCATCCCCACTAAAACTGAGACAGTTAATCATTATAATAGAAGTTAGGCATAAGCATGTGACCTATGTTTAGCCAATCGTATGTTACCTCCTTAAAATCTGACTGTGTGGTTAGTTATGTGAAGAAGTCAGTGACTTTCTTTCAGCCACAACAGGAATATTTGAGGTCCAGGGGCTGTGTTTGTCCTAGCACTGGTATCTGGGTATCTGGTGTCCAGCGAAAGTGGTGTTCCGACCAAATGTAACTGATTTCTCATTTTACTTAAAGTAAGCCATGCAGCTACCTAATACTCTTCCAAAAACCTTCATTTTATTTTTGTTAAATTAGTAATGGAGTGTTTCTGTTGCTTATAGGCAAGAACACTCTGATACACTCTTGATGGACTCCAAACAATTTTGAGAAAGTTGTAAAAAATGTAAAAGCATTGATGATCATTTTTATTAGTGCAGAGCAGAGCTTAGCTGACCATCTAGATAGCCAGTGGAAAACACCTGCAAATAAAAAAGGGTTTTGCTGAAGTGGATATTGCATGTGATTTAAGGAGTCCAATTACAGCAAGTTTCAGACTGTGCTAGAAAATTACTTTATATTCTAGTTGTTAAACCTGTTGTGTTCAATTCAAATATGTTTCCATGGCATAAAAGGTAGAGATTAGTTTAGTTTCCTTAAAATATGAAAGAAGTAGTAGCTGACCATGTATGAGCCAGTTTAGAAGAAAATCAAATATATTTTAAATGGCAAGGGAGCCAGAAGCATAATCATTAGGACTGGCTAATATTAGGCATCTCCATCTGTAGGGGGAACAGGTTTCCTTTAGAATTTTCTTCAGATCGGGAGTTCTTCCTGCTATGCAATTTTTCTTCCTGCTATGCAATTTTTACTTTTTCTGCTTTGTCATAAGGAAAGACTTGAGGAACATTTTAGGGGGGAAATTTTAAAGGGTATGTTTATAGTTAGTTTTCGATATATAATAAACCACATAAATTCATGATATACAGCAAAAAAAAGTGTTTATTGCACTTGTATATGTGTTCATTGTGGATTAAAAGGTGGTCATGTTCTGCTGATCTTGGCTGATCCATGCTTGGATTACTCAAGTAACCCAATTTTGCTCCACATGTCTCTCATCCTCCAACAGGTATTCCAGTGATTGGTTTTTTTTTTTTTTTTTTTTTTTTTTTTTGAGATGGAATCTCGCTCTGTTGCCCAGGCTGGAGTGCAGTGGCGCAGTCTCGGCTCACCGCAACCTCCGCCTCCTGGGTTCAAGAAATTATTCTTCCTCAGCCTCCCAAGTAGCTGGGATTACAGGCACACACTGCCACGCCTGGCTAATTTTTTGTATTTTAGTAGAGATGGGGTTTCACCATGTTGCCCAGTCTGGTTGTGAATTCCTGAGCTCTGGTAACCTGCCCACTTCGGCCTCCCAAAGTGCTAGGATTACAGACATGAGCCCCCGTGCCCAGCCCAGGATATTCTTATAGTGATGATAGAAATGTAGGAGAACAAACAGACATAGCTGTGTCTTCTTGAAGCCCCAGTTTGAAACTGACACCTAGTCAATTTCTCATCATTATCTAGATTTCAGCAAATCACATCCCTAAGCTCCAAATCAAGAGGCAACCCGGGTCATCCTGTGCACAGTGGGGAGGCACTGAACAGCTACATGGCAAAGGGCATAGGTCCAGGAAGGAATGAAGAGTTTGGGTCATCATTGTCATCCACCATAATGTGTGTTATATCATCTTGGGTGTATGAAACTTGATTATGCTGGACAGTGAGTTAAACAGGTGAAGGTAAATGTTATCACATTGCCTAATATTTCCAAGGCTATATCAACCTGCCTCTCTTACATATGTTCTCTTGAATTCTTTGTCTTGAAGTTACTGAAGCCGTAACCAGCCAGACTGTCAGGTCCTGAACCACACTCTGTCATCCTTACATGTTTATTTCTCCTTGTTTGCTTCCTTCCTTTCTTCCATCTGGCCATCACATAAAATACTGATTCAATGCTCTGTGTAAACCATCTTGTTAGCGACTGGGGACAAAGCGGTGCAAAAAGATCAACATGATCCCTCCCTCACAAGCCTTAAATTCCAGTGATAAAGACAGGCACTAATAAGTAATACATATAATTAAATTTTAATTGGAATTCCTTCCATGTTTTTTCTTACTCACTTCACTCTAGTTTCTGATCACTGTACTATATCTTCAACACAATAAGTATAGTCTCTGCCAGGCTTGTACACTTGCTGTTTCTGTTTGGAATGCTCTTCCTCCAGGTTTCTGTATGCATCATCCCTAAATGCCTCAAGCCTCTGCTCTAAAGTCATGGAGGTCTTCCCTGAACACCTGTCTAAGGTAACAGACTTTCAGTCTCTTACATCCCCTAATCCCTGCTTTAGTGGTTTCTTTATAGAGATTTTATGTGTATGCACGCATGTTTGTGTTTGTTTGCTTATCATATTTCTCTACTACCCTGCCCAGAAGATAAACTCTATGAGAGCAGAGACTTAAGCTGCTCCATGCACTAATGTTTTGTGTACTTATGATGGTGAGTATCATGTAGTAGTTGTCAGTGCTTTTTAATGTCATATGCTCATATGACATTATTAGTAAACAATGAAACAATTCATTCCTATTTTTATCCATATTCAGTGTCCATGGATACTGAATCTGTGTGGTGCCTACCATAATGATTCGATTTCCTTAAGGTTTCATGGATGTATAAGAACTAGATGAGAAGTGATTTCCCAGATTAGTTGCAGGGTCTTGGCTCCCACATCCAACTTTAATAGCTATAGATGTCAGAACATGGTGACAGATCTGTATTAAGTCATTGATTTAGCTATGCTAAAACTTTATCCTTTGGTTTCATTTTGAACCAAACCTCCTGCTAACACAGGATAGGCAAAAAGCTTTGTGTAGATTCTTCAGGCTTCCAAACACTTAACAGTGAGCCGGGCACTCCGCTAAGTACTTAACTGAAGTAATTTAATCTTCACAACAGCTGTGTAAATTATGTACTACCATGAGTCTACTTATAGATGAATAAATGAAAGTGCAGAGGGTTAACCAGTTTGTTTAGAGTCAAAGAGCTCTTAGATGGTGCAGTTGGTGTTCAAGTACAGACAAGAAACCCTGCCAGAGCCAGCATTCTAACCAAGATGTTAGCTGCCCTCTTTATGTCCATAAAAAAGAAATCCAAGCTACTTTAACATGGTTAAAGCTGATTGCATGTGTGGAATGAAGACAAAACAATCAAACAAAAAACAGTCCATTGACAAATGGTTAGTTCTGCTTACCGAGTCATGATCTCTATATGTGTTATCTTAGTTAGTACTCACAACAATCCTGTAAGGTTGGTGCAATTATGACTTGAAAGAATATGAAACTAAGAGGCAAAATAATCTAACCACCTGACCAAATGCAATCAGAAAAAGCAAGGGTACTGGGATTCACATTCAGGGAGCTGGGCTCCCTGTCTTATTCTTACACACTCCTGCTGCTTCTGTTGTCCTGCCCATCATGGAGGGAGGAAGTAGATAGTATCAGGGTCATTCAAACTGGGTCCCAAGGGAAAAAACATCAAAGCAGAAGGACAGGGGATGCTCTGAACAAGCATATTATTTAGAGTCAGGCAGACCTTGGCTCTCACTGTGATTCTGTTACTAATTTTGTCGACTTAATAATTTAATTTTTCTGGGCTTCAACTGCACAAGTTATAAAATAGAGATAATAATTTCTACCTAGCAGTATTTTTGAGAAGATTATACAAGACACTTAAAAAGATCACATGAGTTAAAATAGTTTGTGAAATATATAAAAAAATGCATGTTTTGGTTCTGCTTTTACCACTATTGTGAGGTTTAATATATTGTCAAGTCCACAAATTATATGTAGGTATCTACACTTCTTTACCCTGAATAGTTTTTTGGGCAAACCATGCTTTGCTTTGCTTTTCAATATTAATCTGTCTATGATACTCACTAAATATGCTGCTAATAATCTCAGTTTAGTTTCGATAATGCCTCAACCTCTAGGTTTTACACTATTTTATACTCTTTGTAGAACTTCCATCTTCTGGTTCATGTTAATGTTTGCTATTCTCTATTTATCATCTAGAGGCAAGAGATGGGCAAATGCAGGTGTCTAGAGATAAAAAATTAAGAGCATTTTAAAATAAGGGCAGTCTGAGTCAGTCACCTGGGAGAGAGAGCTTGGGTTGAGGTCCAAAGACAGCCTTGAAAATGGTGCTAGGCTGATAGAATAGAAAGTCATGAAGTATGGGAGCTACAGAAGCAGGAGGATGAGCAGCAGGATGCAAGATGGTCCTAAAGAGGTACCAGAGTTCTAGACAATGAAGGATGAAAGCAACATCCAGGGCAGACACAGTCCTCTGTTTGGTAGTGTCTAGTTTCAGGATAGAAGGATTATGTTTAGGACGGCTTTAAATGAACTTTGTGGGGCTTGACTGGTTCCTGCTAGCAGCTCTAGGAGGAACATTTGAATTTTAAGAGAAAGCAAGCCTCAACGTAAAGCAATGACTTGTGAGGGTTTCATTTCAGCAACAGGAAGCACATGTCACTGGAGGTCACTGGAGTTCAGCCTTCCCAAGAGTCCTGAGATTCCACCCATGAGTGGTCGGCTGTTCTGCCTGTAGGTGCCAACTCTTAGAATTGCAGAGGCTCTCTAAATTTCCAAGTAAACATTGAGTGTGCCTGGATGCTCAAGCAGAAAATTGAAATACCTTTGGGTCCAGTTAGAGACCTTCCTAGCTTTCAGCTGCCTTACTTTTGCTGAAACAAACTCAGGATCTTAGAGAATTTGCCCATCTGCTCAGCATATTCAGGCTAAAGACCTTTGCATCTGATTCCTAATGAGCTGAACTCATCCTCCCAAATCAATTGGAATGCGAGAGGTGAGTGCCTCCTGAAATGTGACTGGCTTCCTCACTTTTACGATGTTCATTAGAAGGTTCTATAAGTCACTGGGGCATCCAAATTTGTTTTTAATGATGAACTCCAATAACAAACCTAAAAGAGTGGGTGGTAAGGGAATGGAATGAAACCATGGGATTCCTGCCTGCCATTTCCACATAGTCCATCATTTACAGGGTACTTAAAGAGGAAGGATCTGTGTAAAAACAAAATGGAAAGTGTGAGGCTGGTGGGTATAGTGTGCATTTGAGACTATATATGCAGAAGTGAAAAAGATTGGGTTTGCATCCACGTGCATAATTTATGCGACCCTGGGCAAGCACTTAACTTTCTTTCTTTGATTCTGTTTCTTTAGGTGTAAAATGGGAATTATAACATCATAACATTTTTGAAATGATTGATTGCTCTAAATGTATGTGGAGTGGTTGTCACATTTTATGGTACTTAATATGTGCTTAATGTATGTCACTGATTATTGCTATTCCTGACTTTTGAGTTTTTCTAACTTTTTTATTTTCCAAGTTTACCTTAATTCATTTACTTGATTCTCTCTCTTCTCCCCTTCCACCTTCCCCTCCCTCCCATACATTATATCAAAAAGAGACTGAATCTTTCTCCATCACGAGATACATTTCAGTACTGTGGCACAAATCAGCATATTTTAGCATACGTATAAATGTTAACTAATTCCTCAATCTGATTAAAACTCGTGTTTTGGGACTATATCTTAGGACAGGAAGTCTGACCTACATCTGAGAAATGTGAATCGTGGCTTTCAGCAGTGGAAGGAATTTTTGTATGAATCATGCCAGGGAACAGATTCTTCATCACCCGAACTGCACGACTGAATGATGGTACACCTTCTTTTGTCTAGGCATGTTTTTCTCTGGGAAATTTAGGCAAAGAGAAAAAGATTTCACATATTTTTTTCTTCCTTTTCAATAACGACTATATTTTCTAGTTACCGTTATTTTAGCTCTGCCCTTTAGTTAACATGAGATTAAACTGTCAAGAAGTTGAAGGTCACTTTAACATTTTCCTAGATGGCACAAAAGACTTGAAAAAATATCTGCCCATCCTTTCTTCTCTTTGGTGAGTCACTGTAATACTCTTAAGGGAGAGTGTTGGTCTTTGAAGTCAGGGAGAACTAGGTACTAGTCTTACCACTTAGAAGTCATGAAGCCTTGAGCAAATTGTATAACCTTTTATGTCTAGGGCTCTCACCTGTAAACACAGAATAGTAATACTTATGTCTGAGTGTTGAGCTGAGGAGGGCCTGACACAGAGTAATTAAATAATTCTCAGCTTCCCTTGAGCCCAAATATTTGCATATTCTAAAAGCTCCACAGGTGGTTCTGTTATTCACCCAAGATAAAGAACCTGTATATTGGATGTAAGTATTAATAACATTAATTCCTTTCTGCTTTACTTCCATTTAGGCTAAAAAGAATCAAATTTATATTTCTCACTAAAGGATCATTTATTCATATAAAATCTTTATATAAAATCTTTATTTCAAAATTAGAACATGCCTTAATGGTCACATGTTCACCATCTATATGTGTGATTTACTTTTAAAACTTTCTCGACAAGTGATTATTCAACTTTTTCTTTAAACAATTTTAGTGATTGAAAATCTACTGTGCTATTATAATTATTCATATTTTTCTCTATTTTATAATTTGGTCAGAACTCCCTTCTTAGCAACTCAGAAAAAGTTGAATCTCACTTTTGCGGGTTAACTTTTATATATTTGAAGATGGCTGTAAGGCCCCTTTGAGTCATTTCTTGTTCACGGTTAGTAACCCAAAAATAATTTCCAAACTGGCTGACCATCAGACCTCTGAGAAACCTATAAAACATAGAGTTTTCTGTTTCTTTTGACTCAGAATCATCACAGTGGATCCCTGGAGTCAGCACTTTCAAACAAGTTCTTCAGATGATTCTGTGAATATTGGAATCTTTGCTTACCACGGTTTCTCAACAGGAGGAATTTTGCACTGCAAGGTGCATTTGGCAATGTTTGAAGACATTTTTGGTTGGGACAACTGGGAAAGGGGAGCTACTGGTATCTAGTGAGTAGAAGCCAAGGATGCTGCTAAATATTCAATAATGCATGGCTATCATAACAAAAAATTATCTAGTCCTGAGTGTCAGTGGTGCTAAGGTTGACAAACTCTTACTCTATTCTGTCCTACATAGCTTTGAGTCTCCTTACCATCATGATTGACTTCTTACCCACTGTATAGATGTCTCTTAAATGTAACTCAGAGAAAGGACTGAACACAATAAAGACCTGACATCTTTAAAAGAGGAAGTGAAGAAGCATTGTATCTTATTACAGGATAATTCATTAATAGAATTTCAGGTGTTCTTGGGGGACAACATTGGGAACTGAGATTCCTCTAGGTGCCATTAAATATCATATGATTTCAGTTCAGCATACATGTTCATAATCCTAGGATGTCCATGGGCACTAGAAGAGCTTATTGAAACATCTTGGTACAAAGCTTTCTCTCTTCTTTTTTGTTTGTTTCTTTGTTTTTGGCTGTCCCTGGAAAAATATGTGAAAGGATTTTTCACACTTGAGTGTGAGGATTTTCTTGATCTAAGTAACTTGCAATCATACCCTGTTGTAAATAAATCTTTTGTAATTTAGAGACCTTTTTTTCTCCCTTTGCAAAAGTTGAGACTCTGGAGACTATTGTTTCTTAATGGACTTATAAAAAATTAATTTAAAAACAAAAGTTGAGCAATTTTTCTTGTTTCAGCCTATATCTATCTTCCTCTTGAAACACTGAAACTCATTGTGAGATTTAGTGGGGGAGGTTCAGGTAATCACTTACTTAAGAGAAAGGTAAACTATAGGATTGAGAGATTAAATGTGTATGTGTGTGTGTATATACATAAAACAATGGTCAAACTATGTATGAAATAGAGCCATGACCTACAGTCTGTCACATTTAGCCCAGAAAATTAACCTGTCATCTAGAGTAACCAGCCCAGAAAGCTGGTCAGACTTGCAGAAAGTTAGAGAACTATATCTAGCAACACATGCAGGAAACCAAAGTACCGCCATAACAATTGGTCTAAAATGATCAGGACTTGATTAATAACTAACAGGTTCTCTAACTTTGTTATCACTGCTGACTTAGGACCAACCAGAAAAAAAAATATATATAGATAGATACACTTCCAATGAATCATGTAGAATGCCCTGGTTCTAGTTAGTCTGCCTACAGCTTCCCCATACTAACAGCCTCCAATGAGAGCATATATGAAGTCTTCCCTTTTTCTGCAACACTTTCCCACTCCTCTGCCTGGCTTTGAGTATCTTCAAAACACAAGTAATGATGGTTAACTCCCTTGATATAGCAAGCTCTGGATGAAAAGCTGTTGGTTGTTCTCAGTTGGTTGGTCTTCATTTTTTATTTATATTTAATATTATATACAATATATTCTGCTGAATGAGCACCCATCATTTTATTTAATCCTCATACAAGGTTAGAGGAAACAAACATTCAACACTGCTAAAGGATGAAGAAATGGAGCCTTAACCATAGTTAAAAGAAAATTACCTAAAGTCCTGTCAATAGAGTCAGTAGCTCTGCTGAGATTTGAACACAGAACATATGACCTCCTCCTTTTCCTTTTTTTTTTTATTATTATACTTTAAGTTTTAGGGTACATGTGCACAATGTGCAGCTTAGTTACATATGTATACATGTGACATGCTGGTGCGCTGCACCCACTAACTCGTCATCTAGCATTAGGTATATCTCCCAATGCTATCCCTCCCCCCTCCCCCCACCCCACAACAGTCCCCAGAGTGTGATGTTCCCCTTCCTGTGTCCATGTGATCTCATTGTTCAATTCCCACCTATGAGTGAGAATATGCGGTGTTTGGTTTTTTGTTCTTGCGATAGTTTACTGAGAATGATGTTTTCCAATTTCATCCATGTCCCTACAAAGGACATGAACTCATCATTTTTTATGGCTGCATAGTATTCCATGGTGTATATGTGCCACATTTTCTTAATCCAGTCTATCATTGTTGGACATTTGGGTTGGTTCCAAGTCTTTGCTATTGTGAATAATGCCGCAATAAACATACGTGTGCATGTGTCTTTATAGCAGGCATGATTTATAGTCCTTTGGGTATATACCCCGTAATGGGATGGCTGGGTCAAATGGTATTTCTAGTTCTAGATCCCTGAGGAATCGCCACACTGACTTCCACAATGGTTGAACTAGTTTACAGTCCCACCAACAGTGTAAAAGTATTCCTATTTCTCCACATCCTCTCCAGCACCTGTTGTTTCCTGACTTTTTAATGATTGCCATTCTAACTGGTGTGAGATGGTATCTCATTGTGGTTTTGATTTGCATTTCTCTGATGGCCAGTGAGGATGAGCATTTTTTCATGTGTTTTTTGGCTGCATAAATGTCTTCTTTTGAGAAGTGTCTGTCCATGTCCTTCGCCCACTTTTTGATGGGGTTGTTTGATTTTTTCTTGTAAATTTGTTTGAGTTCATTGTAGATTCTGGATATTAGCCCTTTGTCAGATGAGTAGGTTGTGAAAATTTTCTCCCATTTTATAGGTTGCCTGTTCACTCTGATGGTAGTTTCTTTTGCTGTGCAGAAGCTCTTTAGTTTAATTAGATCCCATTTGTCAATTTTATCTTTTGTTGCCATTGTTTTTGGTGTTTTAGACATGAAGTCCTTGCCCATGCCTATGTCCTGAATGGTAATGCCTAGGTTTTCTTCTAGGGTTTTTATGGTTTTAGGTCTGACGTTTAAGTCTTTAATCCATCTTGAATTGATTTTTGTATAAGGTGTAAGGAAGGGATCCAGTTTCAGCTTTCTACATATGGCTAGTCAGTTTTCCCAGCACCATTTATTAAATAGGGAATCCTTTCCCCATTGCTTGTTTTTCTCAGGTTTGTCAAACATCAGATAGTTGTAGATATGCGATGTTATTTCTGACGGCTCTGTTCTGTTCCATTGATCTCTACCTCTGTTTTGGTACCAGTACCATGCTGTTTTGCTTACTGTAGCCTTGTAGTATAGTTTGAAGTCAGGTAGTGTGATGCCTCCAGCTTTGTTCTTTTGGCTTAGGATTGACTTGGCGATGCGGGCTCTTTTTTGCTTCCATATGAACTTTAAAGTAGTTTTTTCCAATTCTGTGAAGAAAGTCATTGGTAGCTTGATGGGGATGGCATTGAATCTGTAAATTACCTTGAGCAGTATGGCCATTTTCATGATATTGATTCTTCCTACCCATGAGCATGGAATGTTCTTCCATTTGTTCGTATCCTCTTTTATTTCCTTGAGCAGTGGTTTGTAGTTCTCCTTGAAGAGGTCTTTCACGTCCCTTGTAAGTTGGATTCCTAGGTATTTTATTCTCTTTGAAGCAATTGTGAATGGGATTCACTCATGATTTGGCTCTCTGTTTGTCTGTTATTGGTGTATAAGAATGCTTGTGATTTTTGTACATTGATTTTGTATCCTGAGACTTTGCTGAAGTTGGTGATCAGCTTAAGGAGATTTTCGACTGAGACAATGGGGTTTTCTAGATATACAATCATGTCATCTGCAAACAGGGACAATTTGACTTCCTCTTTTCCTAATTGAATACCCTTTATTGCCTTCTCCTGCCTAATTGCCCTGGCCAGAACTTCCAACACTATGTTGAATAGGAGTGGTGAGAGAGGGCATCCCTGTCTTGTGCCAGTTTTCAAAGGGAATGCTTCCAGTTTTTGCCCATTCAGTATGATATTGGCTGTGGGTTTGTCATAGAGAGCTCTTATTATTTTGAGATACGTCCCATCAATACCTAATTTATTGAGAGTTTTTAGCATGAAGCATTGTTGAATTTTGTCAAATGCCTTTTCTGCATCTATGGAGATAATCATGTGGTTTTTGTCTTTGGCTCTGTTTATATGCTGGATTACATTTATTGATTTGCGTATATTGAACCAGCCTTGCATCCCAGGGATGAAGCCCACTTGATCATGGTGGATAAGCTTTTTGATGTGCTGCTGGATTTGGTTTGCCAGTATTTTATTGAGGATTTTTGCATGAATGTTCACCAGGGATATTGGTCTAAAATTCTCTTTTTTTGTTGTGTCTCTGCCCCGCTTTGGTATCAGGATGATGCTGGCCTCATAAAATGAGTTAGGGAAGATTCCCTTTTTTTCTATTGATTCTAATAGTTTCAGAAGGAATGGTACCAGTTCCTCCTTGTACCTCTGGTAGAATTCGGCTGTGAATCCATGTGGTCCTGGACTCTTTTTGGTTGGTAAGCTATTGATTATTGCCACAATTTCAGCTCCTGTTATTGGTCTATTCAGAGATTCAACTTCTTCCTGGTTTAGTCTTGGGAGAGTGTATGTGTCGATACCCAGGAATTGAACTCAGCTCTGCACCAAGCAAACCTAATAGACATCTATGGAACTCTCCACCCCAAATCAACAGAATATACATTTTTTTCAGCATCACACCACACCTATTCCAAAATTGACCACGTAGTTGGAAGTAAAGCTCTCCTCAGCAAATGTAAAAGAACAGAAATTATAACAAACTATCTCTCAGACCACAGTGAAATCAAACTAGAACTCAGGATTAAGAATCTCACTCAAAACTGCTCAACTACATGGAAACTGAACAACCTGCTCCTGAATGACTGCTGGCTACATACTGAAATGAAGGCAGAAATAAAGATGTTCTTTGAAACCAACGAGAACAAAGACACAACATACCAGAATCTCTGGGACACATTCAAAGCAGTGTGTAGAGGGAAATTTATAGCACTAAATGTCCACAAGAGAAAGCAGGAAAGATCCAAAATTGACACCCTAACATCACAATTAAAAGAACTAGAAAAGCAAGAGCAAACACTCAAAAGCTAGCAGAAGGCAAGCAATAACTAAAATCAGAGCAGAACTGAAGGAAATAGAGACACAAAAAACCCTTCAAAAAATTAATGAATCCAGGAGCTGGTTTTTTGAAAGGATCAACAAAATTGATAGACTGCTAGCAAGACTAATAAAGAAAAAAAGAGAGAAGAATCAAATAGACGCAATAAAAAATGATAAAGGGGATATCACCACCGATCCCACAGAAATACAAACTACCATCAGAGAATACTACAAACACCTCTACGCAAATAAACTAGAAAATCTAGAAGAAATTGATAAATTCCTCCTTTTCCTTAATACCTGTCTCACATACTTGATTCCCTAGCTTCTAACTTCTGGTTTTGCATTATTTTTGTGGCTTCATAATTACTCCTCCAATTTCCTCAATTTCTCCTCCTTCACAATTACTACTCCAATTTCCTTAATTGGTAATGAGCTTAGCTTCTTTGCCTCAACCCAGTTTCCACTATGCTATGGCCATGACACAGCCCAAGCTTGCTCTGAAACTTGAGTAACAACCATTTCACTTCAGCTAGTTCCTGAGGACACTGGGAGAGGTGTGTGTTCTTTATAGGTCTGCCTTCTTCTCAGGGGAAAGATGGAACCTCTTATATCTACAAATCCACACTCTGGGGCATCATATTTACTCTTTGCTTTCTTGAAGTCATCTGGAAAAAGGCGGCTTGTTCAGTGAAACTATTACCTTGCTGCCTGAAGTATGGTATAAGCTATGTAGAGCACACGTTTCACAGCTTCACTTCCATCACTCTCCACCCACAACCGTTTTGTTGAGCTTTTTTTTTTCCTTTCACATTAAAATTCCTAAATGAAGTGTGCAATTGAGAAGCTTGATATGGGACAGAGAGAAAATGAGTGGAAGTGAATGTCAGAGAGGAAGGGTAAAGATATTGGCAGGCAGGAAGCAGTGAGAGTGAATCAAAGTGGAAGTCAAAATTAAGAAGTGTTCTGGAATGTCAATGAAACAGGTAATGGGGCCAACAAAAATAATGGAAAAAGATTTTAAAAGAGTGACTCCAAGCTGTGGCTCTTGAGAGGAAATTTCCTTTTTATGCTTTATAATGATATGGAAATGGATATGTTTAGCGAGACTCATGCTGGGGAAAAGAAGCAAAATGAGGAACTTTCTGAAAGATCACAAATCCTTCAGTTAGAATCAGCACCAAGGTGCTCTTCAAAGTCATTACAATGCAGCCATCTTGCCCTTTAAGATTTTTTTTTTTTTCAGTGCTGATGGCTAAACTTGACCTTTCATGTAAGCATCTGTGAAACGGCCAGGACTCTGCTGTTGTTGACTAAAGGAATGACAAAGATGAGATTCAAAAAATAGATGTACCTTTAATCATTTTGCATTTTACAAGCTCACACAATAAAAGCTGTGATCAGTCTTCAGAGAAAGCACACCTTGGAAAGATGGACTGCATTAAGGAGTAAATATCACTGGTTTTATGGGACTCCAACTCTTGCTACAACCTAGTTCTAGAATCAGCCTCAAAGACAAGACTTTGCAAAATACCTACTAGTAGTGTCTGCAAAAGAAAGTCATATACTCTAATAAAATTCAGATGCTGTGGGGGAATATTTTTTAATTCCAGTTCAACAGAATTGAGACAGAAAGGCAGTTTTATAGCATTTAAAAGAGAAGTTCAAAGACATAGTGACTGCCCTGCTATTGAAGGTTTGCCCTCTCTGTTTTGACCCTAGCTCCAACTCTCTTACCATTTAATGATTGGGAATGTCAAGTCTTCCTTCCATATAGAAAGGTCATAAAGTTGAGATCTCATCCTGAAGAACATGTTGAGACCAGCAAATGATTTGAATAATACAAATAACTATCTTGGGAAATGACATAAAGAAAAAAAATCAACTTAGAAATAATTTCAGCCTAGAAATAATGGCAAGTATCACATTCTATTTAGTATTAATAATAACTCCTATGTATTTAACACTCACTGCAGCCCAGATACAAGGCCAAACACCTTATATTCATTATTTAAATTGATATCTCTGTGTGTTTATCTAGTTAATCATTTAGAATCATTTGTCTACTGTTTTGAAATCTCATGTCATGAGCAAGGACTAGAAAGCTTGCTGGTATGAGCAAGAAAATTATATAACTAGGAGTACAGTGAAAAGTGTCTTAGTCTGTTTTGTGCTGCTGTAATAGAATATCACAGTCTGGGTAATTTATAAAGAAATAAATTTATTCTCTCACAATTCTTGAGGCTTAGAAGTCAAATATCAAGGCACTAGAATATGATGAGGACCTTCTCACTGCATTCTCATGTGGCAGAAGGCAGACACACAAGAGAGAGTGAACTCACTCCTGCGAGCTCTTTTTATAGCTTATTAATCCCTTCATGAAGACGGAGCTCTCATGACCTAAACACCTTTCATGAAGTCACAACTCTCAACATTGTTGCATTGGAGCTAGTTTCCAATATGTTACCTGGCGCAGTGGCTCACACCTGTAATCCCAGCACTTGGGGAGGCCGAGGCAGGCAGATCACCTGAGGTCAGGAGTTCGAGACCAGCCTGGTCAACATGGAGAAACCCTATCTCTACTAAAAATACAAAAATTAGCTAGGCGTGGTGGCACATGTCTGTAATCCCAGCGACTTGGGAGGTTGCGGTTGAGGCAGGAGAATCACTTGCACCCCAGAGGCGGAGGTTGCAGTGAGCTGAGATTGTGCCACTGCACCACAGCCTGGGTGACAGAGAGACTGTGTCTCAAAAATAGAAAAAAAAGTTTCAGAACGTGAATTTGGGGGGGATACATTCTGATGATAGCAAAAAGAACATATTTGAAACCTGAAGATTTGAGTTCTAAGCAGTTGGAACTCTTCTTCTAATTACATTCTACTAGTTTACTTCAGAGAAGTAAGGAGAAAAATCATATGAACATGCACATGTAAAAATGCTTTGGTAACTTGAAAGGCTAAAGATAGATAAGAGTAAATATTAAAAATTAGCCATTAATTTAATTGGCTTATTACTGACTTGCTCTTTTCCCTTTGCATATTGAGAATTGAGAGTTGTCTGGCAACAACCATGACTGTTGATTTGTTATTTTCTTCTTGAATTTCTATCAGTTTTTGATTGATATATTTTGGAGCTATATCATTAATGCTTAATAATTCCTGGTTGTTGTATTCTTTTTTGTTTTTTTTTTTTTTGAGACAAAGTCTCACTCTGTTGCCCAGGCTGGAGTGCACTGGTGCCATCTCAGCTCACTGCAAGCTTCGCCTCCCAGATTCACGCCATTCTCCTACCTCAGCCTCCCAAGTAGCTGGGACTACAGGCACCCGCCACCACGCCTGGCTAATTTTTTGTATTTTTAGTAGAGATGGGGTTTCACCATTTTCGCCAGGATGGTCTTGATCTTCTGACCTCGTGATCCACCCGCCTCAGCCTCCCAAAGTGCTGGGATTACAGGCATGAGCCACCACGCCTGGCCCTGTATTCTTGTGTTTTCTGATTAATTCTGTTTCTGGGCAGCTCCACTCATTACACAAATTTTTACCTCTGTTATGGCTCTATGTGTTTGTTTTTATTTTGAAGAAAAAGAAAACTAGTGCTATTTTAAGTAAAAGTAGATAATTGGAAGACTAAAAGGCAACTCACAGAATCAAAGGAGAAGCTCTAAATGACCACGTTTAGGAAAGCTTAGAATAAAAGTGTCGAAGATTTAAGTGTCAGAAGTTGCAGGGTACCAACATCAGGAAATATGAGTACCAAATAATTTTCATCTTTGTGTCACTCTTCTCATGATTTAAATTCTAAAGGGAAAGGATTTTATTGCCCTAGATACGTAAAATGTCCACTTGTTAGCCAAAGAAAGCAGAGGAGTCCTTGGTTGACAGTTCCAGAATACTTCATGCAAATAAAAAATGGTACATTCTTACAAGAAAATTGGTTTGCTGTTAACTGGAGAAACAGAAATGGATATTGAAGAGGCCCAAATCAACAGAAATCTAGAGCTAATAAACATAACTTACTTACCCAAAATGATAATTTCATTATGTAAATCATGTCAAATTTCAAACATCCTAGCTTTTGTCATCAAAAATAACAGGAAATTGTATGAAGGAAGGATTTTTAAAGATTCCTCATGAACACCTATTTTCATTTTAAAATATTTTATTTTATTTTTAGCTTGTGTATAAGTTGTAGACACTGTGGTAGATTAAAGATCAATACTAATTATTAGCTATTTCTCCCATTGAGAGAGAGTATTATTTCCCTCTCCTTGAATCAGGGCTGGCCTTAAAAACTTCTTTGACCAGCCAGTTGGTGCAGTGGCTCACGCCTGTAATCCCAGCACTTGGGGAGGCCGAGGCAGGCAGATCACGAGGTCAGAAGATGGAGACCATCCTGGCTAGCATGGTGAAACCCTGTCTCCACTAAAAATACAAAAAATTAGCCAGGCGTGGTGGCAGGCCCCTGTAGTCCCAGCTACTTGGGAGGCCGAGGCAGGAGAATGACGTGAACCTGGGAGGCGGAGCTTGCAGTGAGTCTAGATAGCACCACTGCACTCCAGCCTGGGTGACGGAGCGAGACTCCATCTCAAAAAATAAAATAAAATAAAATAAAACCCTTGTTTGACCGTTTGACCAAAGGGCATTCTGGAACTTCTGAGCCTAGATCATGAGAAATCTTGCAGCCTCCACCAATCTTGCAGAATATCTTCTACTGGGGCTTCTATGAAATTTCATCTATACTGAGGGCTCCATATTTCAAGAAGCTCAAACTACACTAATGAGCTCTGAAGGATAAGTCGCCATGTGGATTTGGAAGTACAAGTTGAATAGCACTGAGTTGCCAGACGTGTTCATGAAGAGGCCTTCATGGAAGTAAACCCTCCATTTCCAGTTGCCTTCACTGGTGCCACATGGCTTAAAGACAAACTACTCAGCTAAGCTCTTTCCAAAACTCCTACCCAAAAAATCATGAGTGAAAATAATGTTTTGTTTTTCTAAGCCTCTAAATTTTGGGATAGTTTATCATGCAACAAAAAATAAACAAAATAGCACCAAAGATTTAAGAAAAATATTTGTTTGAGAAAAAATCTAAATTGTTAATATTCAACTCCTAAACTTTTTTTAAATAAAGGTAAGATTAAATCTAGAAGAGCTCTTAGAACAATAGTGTAATTTAAAAAAATCTCATTTGATAACTTTGGGTCTTTGAAGGAAATTCCCTAAGATTATCCAGTGACACAGAGAAATGATCAGTTGATGGCCTATGGTCAATTAGATAATTGATTAATGGAGAGATTTTACATCCACATGAGTAGAACAATGGAAAGAAGCTGGAGAAAAAGTAAAAAAAAACAAAAAAAACCCCAAACTCAAACCAATCCAAACCTAGAACAATCCAATACTCTCAATACTGAAAGGCATTTTCTTCTCTTTTCTAATGATGAATTTCCTCAGAGAGGTGAAACATATATGTTGCCTCTTAGATCTTATTAATGAAGTCTACTTGGCATTTGAATAAAGATTCTCCTATGGAACTATAGCTATCTATGTGTTTACATTTGGCATGACAATATAGTTAAAAGTTAAAATTTCATTTTATTAGAAAGTAAGGAATTACCACAACCCTCCAAATAGAATAACAACAAATGCATTTGTCTAAACTGCAGAAAACACAGGGTCTATAAATATTCTCTTTATTAGGCCTTTCAAATGGAATATCTTGAAGAAAACAAACAGTAATTGTAAGATTGTAAAGAGAAATTACCATTTTGCTTGAAAGAAATGGCAGTTAACCATGATGACAATGTGATTTATACTAATTGAGATTAAGTCAGACAAAATGGCAACATTAGTAATCATTTGAAGTGCTGTATTACTCATTATACTGTGCTTTGTAAACATCTCTCTTGAAATTGAAAAGTAATTAGTAGCATTTTAGTCATTTAATTCAGTCTAATTAGGATTTTCAAAAAATCTACAGACCTGCTGTTGAAAGCCTTTCTTATTTTGAATTGAGAAAACACATTTCTTTTTTAAAAAATCAACTACTAGTGCTCTTTCTTTCTTGATCTCAAGTCTCCACACAAAGAGGAAAATGGTATAATTAGAAGCAATAGGTAGGAATTTACTTGAATTAGGCTAAATTTAAAAATTCACCCATCGTAATTCAAGGAAGATGCATTTTAATCTTATTTTTTTTGGTGCGAAAATGGAAAGCCTGTTTTGTTAGTTGCTAAAAAGAATGAAACACTGATATTTTTACTGATCTAGCCTACCCACATCTTCAGAATATGTCTCCAACGAAAACAAAAAAGCTTTAGCTAGCGTTGTTATTTGGATGGCATTTTGGAATACAGAAAATTAAGTTTATCACCAGAACTTTATGACTGGTGATAACATTTGCTCTTATGTACTTGATGAAAGAAGAGACTCAAAACAAGAGAGACTGCCCTTTACCAAATGCTGTAGCAGGATTGCACCCTTTCAGGCTGAATTTTCTTTTGCATTTGCATGGTAATGTAATGATGAAGGTGTTAGGAATATACAAATTACTACCAACACGGTGGCTTAAAACAACAAAAATTTGTTATCTGAAAATTCTAGTGGTCAGAAATTCTATGTGAGTTTTACTGGGCTAAAATCAAAGTGTAGACATGACTGTTTTTTTTATGAAGACTGTAGTGAAGAATCTGTTTACTTGTCTTTTGTGGCCTGCAGAGGTTACTTGCAGTCCTTGGCTCCTGGCTTCTTTCTTTCTTCAAAGCCATCAATTTCATCACCCTGAGCTCTACTTTCCTTGTCATATGCACTTTTCTGACTGTCACTCTCCCCATTCCTCTTCTTGAGCTTGCCTAAATACTCCAGGATAGTCTCTCCCATTTTAAGTTGATCAGTAATCTTCATTCCATCAGCAACCTTAATTTCCTCTTGCCATATATCATAACATATTTATAGGTTTCAGGTATTCAGATGTGGATATCTTTGGGGGCGATTATACTGCCTACCACAGTAGGACATGAGAATTATTACAAGTAATGACATAGGAAAAGCAGGAACTTCTAGTTCCTGCTCATACTAAATCTATGCCTGTATATCTCAGAGTTTTCCAAGAATGCTGCATATATCCTTTAAAACAATGGCAAATGAGAAACAATGAACAATTTTAACAGATGTACTTGGGCCTTCAAACCAGTACTGCAATAGAGTGGGCTGAGTCATGGGGAAACATCCCCTTTTCCTTGGTTAACTAGTCTTAAGTAGCTTCAGATGAAAGCATTCTTCTGTGTAATCAATTACCTATCACATAACCTATATCTAAACATGCAGTTAGTATTTCCACACTCATCTATTCATTCATTTATTCCACAAATACTCATTGAGCACCTGTTATGTGTCAGGCATTGCTCTACATTCTGGAGATTTGTCAGTAAATAAAATAGACAAAATAAATCTTGTTCTCAGAAGCTTATAATCTAGTGTCTGCATGGGGATGGCAGAAGAAACACAATAAAACAAATAGATCATTTAAATATAAAATTGGTTGGATGGGGGCAAATGCTGTGGAGATAAAAGAAGCAGGAAGCAGGGATGAAAACTGCAGAAAGAGGGTATAAATTTTAATGATGTACTCAGGAAAGTCCTCACTGAGAAGCTGACTTGTGACCAAAGTCCATAAGGAAGTGCTGGTTTTGTGGGTATATAGGGAAAGAGTCTGGCAGAGAGAAGAGCAAATACAAGGGCTCTGATGATAGCTCTTGCATCATATGTTTAATAAAGAAATCAGTATTGATTGAGTAGCATGAGCTAGAGGAAGACTTACAGAAGATGAAGAAAAAAGGTGTTTAGATCATGTCAGGCACTGTAAAGACTTTAGCTTTTAGTCTAAGTGAAATAGGAATCAGAAGGTAGAGGAGTGAAGACATCATCTGTCTGTCCTAGGCTTCAAAAAGATCATTGTGGTTGGTATGTTGGGAAAAGGCTGTGGGATATGAGAACAAAAGTGGGGAGATGAGCTAGAGAGATCATGGAGGCTTCACAAGTGTGAAGGCAGCCTTGTGAGCTGTAGGTCTAAGTTGGAGCTTTACATAGTTCTTCATCCACCTGTAAAAGGAGCCAGCCAAATCAATGCCCTGGAATCTGATCAATTTTGATCAGTATTTTTCCTCCCTGAGACTTGATTAAAAGAGGAGAGGGACACGTGGGGAAGGAAGACTAACACAAAGCAAATTCCCATGGCAAGTTTCTAGAATTTATTTGGATGCATTTCCAGTGCAACCTCCCTGCCCTCAGTTGCATCCCTGCAGGGCCAAACCTGCAGATGTACCTGCCCATGAATGTGCAAGATTAATTGACATCTTTACACATGAGAAAAAGGTCTGGGAGGTCAAGGAAGGACAGAACTTTAAAAATCCAAAGCTTTGCATTCTTATTCTGGTGTATTCACTTATTTTTTTGTAAAATTTTTGGCAAACCCTATCTTTCACCATATGGAATCTTATATTTTTCAATTATAGTTGCAACAACACCTGTAATCTCTAGTGCTTTTCTAAAACCTTGACTCCTCCATCAAGAGGTGATGTCTATTTTACCTCTTCTTATAGGTAGGTGGTCTTGTGACTTGCTGCAACCCACAGAATGTGGCTGAAGTTGAAACCAGCCCAGTTATCCCACAAAACTGATGTTTATGGTTTTTTTGAATAAACATAGAAATTGACTCTCTCAGTCTTGAAACTTGAGAAAGTTACACAGTTTATCTTTTTCCTTTCTCAGAAAACCAACCATCAGTCTTCCCAGATAGTATCAAGGAAGTGAAACTTACCAGATCATGGCATCTAGACAATGGGATGCCAGAGTCCTCACCCATCATGACTGCTTAAATAAGCACCAGCTTTCTGTTGGTGAACTCCTCTTCCCTACCTCTCCCTAATTCCTGTTTCCCCGCACATGGTTACATTTCTTCCCTGCTTTAGAAACCCCTAATTGTAGTCAGTTAGGGAAGTGAATTTGAGACTGATCTCCCATATCCTCAACAGCAGCACCTGATTAAAGCCTTCTTCCCTGGCAATACTTGTTGTCTCAGTGATTGGCTTTCTGTGGAGTGAACAGCAGGACTTAGACCAAACCTCTGGCATTTTGGTAATAAAATGATGCTGTGCAACTTTCAAGGATAGATCACAAAAAATGATGCAACTTCTACATGGATCCCTGAAACTCTGGACTGCATGTGAGAAGCCCCACTCTCCTGAGGCTGCCCTGCTGTGGAGGAAGCCAGGTCACACAGAGGGGGCACATGGAGGCAATCCAGCCTACAGACCTGCTCAGGTCCTAGCTGACAGCCAACATCACCCTCTAGCCATGCTGATGAACATGCCTCCAGATGATTCTTCCCTCTGAGTCATTCCTTGCCTTTGAGTCTTCCCAAATGAGGCTCTAGAAAATGTGGAGCACAGACAAGATTTTCTTTCTATACCCTATCCAAAATTCCAATACTAACAATCTGTGAACTTAATAAAATGGTTGCTTTACATCACCACATTTCTGGGTGTTCAATGCAAAAATAGTAGCTGGCATATTCAGTTTTCTCATATGTAAAATAAGGATAATTTTACTTACCTGTTGTCCAATAAAGTCTCTATAAGTATGCTAAATTGCATTACACAGTAAAGTTTTTTTAAAAAGTCAAATTTAGGCCAAGCGCGGTGGCTCATACCTGTAATCCCAGCACTTTGGGAGGCTGAGGCAGGTGGATCACAAGGTCAGGAGATCTAGACTATCCTGGCTAACATCGTGAAACCCCGTCTCTACTAAAAGTACAAAAAATTAGCCAGGCATGGTTGTAGGTGCCTGTAGTCCCAGCTACTTGGGAGGCTGAGGCAGGAGAATGGTGTGAACCTGGAAGGCGGAACTTGCAGTGAGCCAAGATTGCACAACTGCACTGCAGCCTGGGCAACAGAGCAAGACTCCGTCTCAAAAAAAAGGCAAATTTAAGGCTTGTTCTGTGCTCATGAAGAATATCTTTGAAACACTTTAAAGGATTTTGCATGTATAGTTGTCCCTCAGTATGTATGAAGAATTGGTTCCAGGTGTCCACTGAGGTTACTGAAGTTTGCAGATGCTCAAGTCCCTTGTATGAAATAATACTACAGCTGGTCCTCTGTATCTCTGGGTTCTGCATTTGTGCATAGAAATGGGTGACTCTATTAACGATTTTAATCCTCACCACAATTCTGTGAGGTGAGTACTATTATTAAGCCTTCTTTACAAATGAATAAACTAAGACACACATTAATAAATAAGTGATTTTCTTGAGATCTTATACCTGGAAAGTGGGTGTGCTTAGATTTGAGCCCAGGCAATGTGGCCCCAGAATCTGCACTTTCAACATCTGGGAGGTCTAAGAGGATGAAAATGATTTGTTAGAATAGTAGATTGGGTTAAAGTTCTACCCATGGCCTTAGCATGTTGCCTGCTGTCACTGTGCATCTCAGGGCCTAGTTTCTACATTCTCTGAAATGCGAATATGATAATTTGAACCTCTGATCTTACTGGATTTTGATAGGAATCAAATGAAGCAAGCCAGTGAAACTTCTCTGAAGTTTGTATAATTAATGTGGGTGTTCCTTTCATCACCATTTGGGTAACTGGGCGTTTGCTATACCTGGAAACAAAATTTGGATCTTTGAAATTCAGCTTTCAATCTGGAACATATCCCTCCTGCTCTTCTGATCAATAAATCATGTCTTTTTGAAAATCCAGGATATCATAATTTCTGTTAGTTTTTTTTCACTAGCAATGGCTTTAGCAACATGCCCTCCTGGGGGTGGAGTGAAGAGATGGACCTCTTCTGATTCTCTCTTGCGGGTAGAGTGGGTCTGTTTCTCAGCTCTGGCTTTATGCTTTTAACACAAGTCAAGATACCCATTCAATACTTGGACGGTGAGATGGAGGCCTGGGCTACTCTGTCCTGCACACAGCAGAAGTTCTGATTGTTCTTACCTACTTTTTTTTTTTTGAGATGGAGTCTTGCTCTGTCACCCAGGCTGGAGTACAGTGGTGCGATCTTGGCTCCCTGCAAGCTCTACCTCCCAGGTTCATGCCATTCTCCTGCCTCAGCCTCCCAAGTAGCTGGGACTACAGGTGCCCGCCACCATGCCCGGCTAATTTTTTTGTATTTTTAGTAGAGACAGGGTTTCACCATATTAGCCAGGATGTTCTCTATCTCCTGACCTCATGATCCGCCTGCCTCAGCCTCCCAAAGTGCTGGGATTACAGGCGTGAGCCACTGCGCCTGGCATATTCTTACCTACTTCTTAAAGTTAGTCCTACACATGCTGCTTGGTTCCTGTATTTCTTTCCCTCTTGTTCTACAATGCTACATCTTTTATAGAGGTTTTTACATTGTTTATCGGTACTGAAAACATATCCAGTGTTCTTGTTTTAATCCTAAATACTCTTAGCACATTATAGGAGTGCCACCAGTTTTAACCATTCAGTGGAGGGCTAGGTATCTTTCCTGTTCCTTAAAACCTACCAGAGACCTGGGCGTGGTGGCGCACGCCTGTAATCCCAGCACTTTGGGAGGCCGAGGCATGTGGATCACTAGGTCAAGAGATCCAGACCATCCTGGCCAACATGGTGAAACCCTGTCTCTACTAAAAATACAAAAATTAGCTGGGTGTGGTGACATGCACCTGTAGTCCCAGCTTCTTGGGAGGCTGAGGAAGGAGAATCACTTGAACCCAGGAGGCAGAGGTTGCAATGAGCTGAGATTGCACCACTGCATTCCAGCCTGGCGACAGAGCAAGACTCCATCTCAAAGAAAAAAAAAAAAAAACCTACCAGAGAACTAGCCAGGGTGTCAACACATAGTCAGGATCCTCATGTGAGAGCATTGAACAACAGCCTTAGTAACTAGTAGTTCCTACAGGAGGGTGCACAGGATGGGTAATGCAATTTTCACTGCATTCTTTATTGTTTTGGTTTTAATAAGACTATGCTTGTTAGTTTTAATTAGATATCAATTTTGTTAACCTCCCTGTTGTAACAGGATAGCTAAAATGAATATATTCTATAAATGTTAACTTCTATGACTGTGCTATTCCCAAAATAAATTAAGGCTAATCTATTGACTTCAGTTAGTGAGTACTAGAAATGAGAGAAAGGACAGAGCGAGAGAGAGAGAATTAGAGGGAACTGTAGGTATGGAGAAGCGGAGGAGTATAAAGGCAATTTAACCCAGTTAAATTGGATTTTAAAGACCGCAAGGAGAGAGACTGGAGCCTTAGGGAGGCAAGGGATATAATCATTGCAACAGTGAAGAACGTAGACACTTTAGATGTAGCTCATATTGCCAGGAAGGAAAAGGGCTTGCAGGTGCTTCAGCAAAGGAGTAATGTGATTTGAATGGTACACATGGGGCATGCAAATGGAGTTTTGAGGTGGTTGAAGAAAAATAAGAGACTTCAGGGTAGTTGAGAAGGAAGGGAAGGAAGCAAACTGGTCTCCACAGAGGCATTAAGGGACACTATGGTCAATTGTCTCTTTCTTTTTTTCCTACGACTATCATCTAATAATCAACTGCAGTAAAAGTTATGAACCCACTCCCTCTGCCAATTATATTGGCAGCATGGAATAGAGGAAAAACAATGAGATTTACTGTCAAAAGGATATGTGTTGAAATTCTGCCCCATCCTTTAGTACATGCATGACATGAGTAAGGTATAAACTTCTTTGAATGTAGTTTTTTTCAACTGTGAAAAGAAGACAGTACTCTACAGTATTTGACATTATTGGGTGTGTTAAATAATGCATCATGTTGAAAGCTCACAAGACCCACAATATGGACCATGTGTACTCCTATGGCCATCAAATATT
The DNA here is from genome assembly GCF_000001405.40 of Homo sapiens. Classification (NCBI taxonomy): domain Eukaryota; kingdom Metazoa; phylum Chordata; class Mammalia; order Primates; family Hominidae; genus Homo; species Homo sapiens. The sequence continues at coordinate 42,444,117 of NC_000011.10, read as the reverse complement.
TGATTATGTCTACTTTTTATCTTATATTGTACCTGTACATCTGCATGTGCTACCAGAATATGCTCTTTAAGTTCTTCTGGACTGTCTTACACCATGAGATATTAGATTTCAGAAACTAGAGAATAAAGCAGGTGTTTCAACCTTGGCATTTTTGACATTTGGGGCTAGATAATTCTTTATTGTTGGGGGCCTGCCTGTGCACTGTAGGATGTTTAGCAGCATTCCTGGCCTCTATTCTCCAGATGTCACTGGTAAGTACTCTTCCAATTGTGACAACCAAATATGTCTCCAAGTGTTGCTTGGCGTCCCCGGGGGGAAAAATTGCTGCTGGTTGGAAACCAGTGGGATAAAGGAATATGTATTTTTATTATTGTTAATTTTGGGGGAGTTCCTACTTTGTGTCAGTCACTGCACCAGGCACTTCCCATATGTTAAATTATCTAATTCCTAAGTGGAAAATAGATACTATCATCCCTGTGTTAGAAATGACAAAACACAACTTGCGAAATTAAGCAACTCTCTGAAAGCTGCACAAACAGTGATTGGAGCCGTCATGATTTGTGCTTAGGTCTCCAGGACTCCAAATCTCCTCACAATGTTCCCTGCCTCTCTGTGTGTTATTCTACCCCAGCTTGAAAGAGCTGGACCTGGATGGACTGGTACTCTATTCCATTTACTTCAAGAGGACAGAGCTCTGGCTTTCAGTGTTCCTGAATCCATTTGAGTATTAAGCAGAATAATTTTGTTCACAATAGATGCTTTATAAACACTGAGGAAGAGGAAGAGGAGCCAAATCGGGATGTAGGTGTCTACTATTTTTTCTTCTCACCTTGTGTATGTATCACTGCACTATTCCATGTGGAATCTTAGTTATGAATCTCCTGAGGCTTTTCAGTGATCTGTTGGCTACTATTACTCTAATCACCTCTATCTTCTGTAAGAGTCAGAATTACCCATTTCCTGAAAGAATCCCCACATATCTGAACCAAAGAACATGGATCTGGCGATAGAAATAAGTAAAAAATCTTTTGTAGAACAACTCATGCGTCTATTTCTTAGGACTCACTCTGTTTTCAACCCCTCCCACCCGAGGGGAGATGGTCTGTCCATATTATCATTTAGCACTTACAGAGAAATTTTATGATTGAGCTGAGACATTTCTCAATATGGGGAATTGTGTAGTTAACATTTTCATAGTGATTTGCCATTAATAAAAGCATACTTCCTGTTTTAATTGACAACATTTATTTGAGAAACCGGCCGGGCGCGGTGGCTCACGCCTGTAATCCCAGCACTTTGGGAGGCCGAGGCGGGTGGATCATGAGGTCAGGAGATCGAGACCATCCTGGCTAACAAGGTGAAACCCCGTCTCTACTAAAAATACAAAAAATTAGCCGGGCGCGGTGGCGGGCGCCTGTAGTCCCAGCTACTGGGGAGGCTGAGGCAGGAGAATGGCGTGAACCCGGGAAGCGGAGCTTGCAGTGAGCCGAGATTGCGCCACTGCAGTCCGCAGTTCGGCCTGGGCGACAGAGCGAGACTCCGTCTCAAAAAAAAAAAAAAAGAGAAACCATAGAAGTTGTGATGGTTTGGATCCTAGCCTCTCCCCAAAGTCAACTAGACTTTTTACTTTCTACTACAAATATATCTTTTCTTTCTCCTATTGTTTCTCCTCTTCTTTCCCCACACTGTCCACTTAGAATATAGTAGCCATTGACAACTTAATATTGAAATAATAACCTAATGGGAACAAGAAAGAGGGGCTTGATTTGAAGCATCAGTGATCCTTACTATAAATGGGTAACTGGGTTACATGGCTGAAAGAGTGATTACCTTGTGCATCAATCACTTATTGGATTATTAGGCCAACATAAAACATATAGAAAAAATTATGATCAGTTCAGTTCAGTTAAACAGACAAAAACTGAGCGTTTACTGTGGATCAAGGATGCCACAATGCTAAAAAAAAAAAAAAAAAAAAAAGCCCAAAGACATATTTTCTGTCTTCTAGAAGCTTAAAATTTAATGGGAGAGAGATTTACAATATGTTAAAAACTAGCTAGTTCTTTGTGCTGCAATGAACACCATGTTCTAAAAAAAAAAAAAAAAAATTCTTGCACTCTGTAGTTTTGCTGCATAATAACAATCGCCATTTAGAAACACACCATTTTGTTTTAATTTTCATTTTTTGTTTCTGGGACAGGGTTTTACTATGTCACCTAGGCTGGAGTTCAGTGGCGTGACCATAGCTCAGGGCAGGTTTGATCTCTTGGGCTCACGCAGTCCTCCTGCCTCAGCCCCCTGAGGACCTGGAACTACAGGTGCATGCCGCCATGCTCAGCTAATTTTTTATTTTTAGTAGAGACCAGGGTCTTGCTATGTTGCCCAGGTTGGTCTCCAACTCCTTGCCTCAAGAAATCCCCCCACCCTGGCCTCCAAATGCACCGGGGTTACAGGTGTGAGCCACTGTGCCCAGCCAAAATGTACAATTTTAAAAATTAATGCTAGTCTCCCCACTGGGTTGCAAGCTTTCAAAGGACAGGATCCTCTCATTTTACCCTCTGCTGTTTCTCAAGAGCCTAAATTGCAGTGCTCAGTGAAAACGTGTTGAAGGAAAGAAAGTCTACCTAACAAACTGAATCCATGAATAGGAAAGGTCTATACAGAGTTTGAAATGTATATATGAGGAGCATCTAACCTGGCTTGGGGTGAGGTTGATGGGGAAAACTGGAGAAGCTTCCCAAAGATAGAGATAACTCATCTAAGCCTTGGCAACTGAATAAAACTCAATGATGCATTAAAATAAGTCACAATTACTTGCATGAGTGAACATTAAATCCTGAAGAATTGGGAACTTCAAATGGACTGGGAAGATTGGATAGCTCTACTACGCCTTCTGTTCAGTTGCAAGTTATTTAATATTTTTATATTATGTGCTTTAGGAATAAGCCAAGGCACTGTTTCCAATTCACCCTTAAGTCTCATCAATTCAGTAAGAGGCTGACATCACTGTGATCTTAACAAGGAGATTTGGGTATAGCAAGGTTAGGAGCTGCTCCTGGTTCACCCACAACTTTTCAGTCATCATGGCCAACACAGTGCTGAGATTGGGTCTGGAACAATATTAATGGTAACACTGTATTGTATTTCCTAATGTTGAGATCCTATAAAATAATCAAACAATATACTTTAAAAAATCTAAACTAGTATGATAAAACCTCACCATAATCTCACCTTCATAGTTAACTACTGATAATGGATTTCAATAGAGATTTTCAAAGTAATTATTTTTAGATATCTAACATATTATTTCAAATATTGTCATGTCCACGTATCATGTCATTGTGTTCTATCACCCCCATTTATTTTTCTTTGATTTTATTTATGTGTTTTTTATTGATTTTCAGAAGACTGTGCATGCTTCTAATAAAAATTTGGAACCAAAAGAAGTTTAAAAAGCCGAAAGTGACTAAGTGCTGCTATCCCATGCCCCAAAGGTAACAACAGGCAACATTTTGGTTTATATCTTTTAAAATTATTTTATAAACACATGTATCCCATTTTACTCTATTTCAAATATTGCTTCAATAAGAATATTTTCCTCAATTCTTATATATGTATATAAGCATATGTTTGAAATAGATTACTGAAATTGAAGTTGCTACTGCAAATAATATACCCCTGTAAATTTTGATATTGGGAAATTATCTTGAAAAATATTGTATCAAGTTGTGTTCTTACCAACTCTTTATATGAATGCCTTTTCCCCTTTCCAAATGGTCCCTCATTGTTGTTTTAACTTACATAGACTTTATTTTTCAATGAGGTTAAAGATCTTATATTTCTGTTGTATTCCATCTTCTACAAATCTATGGTTTTATAGATTTGATTTTTATAATTTTTCTTATCTTGTAGAAATGGTTTAATGCAATGCCTCTAATGATGCCTAACGTTTGTCTTTGATATAAATTGCAAAAAGCTTCCCACATTTTTTTATTTTGCTTTCACATTTTAATGGCCTATGGTTTTATTATTTTATGCAGAAACATTTAAATATTTTTATATAATCTAAGTAGTTTTCTATATAGTCTCTAGGCTTAATGTCACGCTAAGATTGTCCATATCTATCTTGAGATCATAAAGTAATCCTCTAGTATTTTATTCCAGTATTTTTAATGCTTTTTTTTTTTTTTGAAATCTCACATCTCAATGGACTTATTTGTGGTGTGGTAAATAATACAAATATCTGAATAATTTTTACTCAAATATTATGTTGTGTCTAAATGTAATCTACACTAACCCCATCTGTTGCTTTTTCACTTCATTATATTTTATTTCCAAACTTTAAAATTACTCTACTTTAACAGATTATTTTAAAAAGTGTTGTAGAAGTACTAGTTCATTGTGTTTCTCCCACAACATTTTTAGGGTATTTCCAAAAATTCTTTGTAGCACAGATATGAGAAGGCAGGTTTAATGAGGCAGATAGAATCAGGACATAAAGTTAAAAGTTGACTGATTTTCTTGAAATGATTCTTTAGATTGATAGGATAGGATACATTTGGCTGCAAACATTTGACTTACTCTCGTTTGATATTAATGGACTGCTTTAAGTTATGTGATGTAAGATATTCCTGTACGGTGTTTTATAGTAGATGCCTTACCTGCAGGTCACAGGTGAAAGGGGACAGCACAAACCAGCAGTTTGCCACTTGGTCTGAAGTTTGGCTTACATTGATTGAATATCAATGGGCTGTGCAAGAGTTGCATGACAGAGAACCACATTTCAGAATTATGTCACTGGCTGGAGTGATTGGCCAAGGTTTGGTTAGTAGGATGGCTTTGGTAGGATTCTTTGTATTGGACAAGGCAGAATTAGTGGACCCAGTAAGAGGTCAAGCCAGAGCAAAGTGGGCAGTCCAGATAGGTAAGCTCGGATTCAAAGTTGGATTCAAAGTACTTTAGACTGATTTCTGAAATAAGGCTGTGCTTTGGCAGGATTTATTTTGAAGTACCAGGGAAGTGTTTGCAAGCATTTTTTCTTAAAAAAAGTGTGGACTGTCTAAAAGGCACTGTTTGTTTTACAGAGAGTATACTTTCCAGATATGATTGTCAGAATATGGACCAGGGAACCACAGGGGAATTCCACCTGGAGCCCTGCCCCGTCCTTCTCCAGTTTGGAAACTGATGTGCTGGTTTTCCTTAACTTATGTTTAACACATATTTTGAGTGTCTGAACCAATGTCAGCTCCTTGCTCTACTCAATGGACTGACCCTTGAGTATTTTATATCTCTAAGCTCCCATTGAACCAATTTCAAGTGCATTTTATGCCCCTGATGGAACCAGTGGATTTAGATTGCTAGAGGCTCTTAAGAATCAGTGGCTTTATGAGCAGTGACTGCTTCATCTCAGCTATTGTTGAATGATTCTTGTTTGTGCTTCAAGTTTTGCAAACCACTGGAAGATCCCTCTGGGTTGAGAAGGGCTAGAGTAATATAAGATATCACTGACAATAGTAATAACTTTTTTTTTATCAAACACCTTGCTTCCAGAGAGCTCAAAGTGCTTTATGGATGTTATCTCATGAATCCTTCTGATACCCCTGAGAGGCCAGGAGCAAATACACTGCCATCCTAGAGTTTCTGGCAGAGAAAGTGAAAAAGAGGAAAGGTGGAACACACAGCAGTCTTTATTGAGGGATGAGTGTGGCTCCTAGGAGTCATATGTTATGTTTCAATAGGCAATGCAAAAGCTCTCTTCAGCAATATAATTTTATCAGTAATAATTATCATAGCTAATACTGACTGAATGTTTATCAAGGGCCAAGTACTTTTCATGCACTTTGCTTGTATTCACAAATTGAATCCTCTGAATACTTTGATGGGATTACCACCATTATTATTTCCATTTTACAGATGTGAAAAATTATATGAAGAGGAATTAAGTGACTTGTTCTTTGTTACAAAATTAGGAAGTTGCAAACAAATAATAAAACCAAAGTAGTTTATCTCTAAATCCCAGACTCTTAACTGCTTCATTATAGTGTGGAAATTGTGCTATATTAGGATCTGTGATAAATCTAATTGTTGATATGTTCCTTTGTGTTACATTATACCTTTACCTTTCAGACTTAAAGTGGGCTTAAGATAGTGGAATTTTCAGTAAATGCTGATGATACTTACTGCAAAAAGCATTCCTCCTGAAATGCTTAAGTAAAAGAGGCAGTAGCTATGATTGTGAGCACCTTCTCCATCAAGTGATGGTATTTGCAGATTTTCAAAGGCAGGTACGGATAGAAGAGGTAACTAAAATGTATTGCATGCTTGTTATGTTCTAAGCACAAAGCTATACACTACATGTAGATTTTCTCATTTAATATTGCCAGCAAGTCTTTGAGGTGTAGGTCGTAGTATCCTGATTTTGCTAATGAAGAAATGGTGACTTAGGCCACACGGGATAAGTAGCAGAGGTCAGACTAAGACCTGGGACTCCCTGACACTGAAACCTTTTCTCTTACGAATGCTGTATGTCTCAGAAGTGAAAAGTGTAGAAAGAAGAGAGCTCAGGTTGGAACCCTAGGTGAAGTCAGTGCTAAATTCTTGAGAAGGTAAAAGAAGAAGAGTGGGAAGGAGAGTGGTTGGGGAGGTAGAAAGAGAAATAACAAACAGCAGAGCTTTGGAGAGAGAGGAAAGAATTTCAGCATAGGTGTGGTTAATGATGCTAAATGGTAAGTTTAGGAGGCTAAGAACTAAGATGTGTCCTTTTGCCAGGTAAGTGGTAACTATTTCTTTAAAAAAAAACCCATAGAATGGTTGCAATAAGTCAGGTTGCAATGGATTTTATGCAGAACCAGAATGGAGGAAACAGGTTCAGCAATTCTAGAAAAAATACTAAAATAGATGGAACAATTATATGGATTAGATGTTGTTCTTTATACACATTGTTTCTGATTTTTGCAATAGTCCTTTGAGGCTCTATTATAATCACCATATTTCATTTTTTCAACATCTGGATTCAGTGGGTACATGTATATATTGAGGTGTATTGCATGATGCTGAAGTTTGGCGTATGAAAGAGCCTATCACTCAAGTACTGAGCATAATACTCAACAGTTTTTTTAATCCTTGCCCTTCTCCCTCCCTCCCACCTCTAGTAGCCTCCGCTGTCTATTGCTGGCATCTTTATGTCAACGTGTACCCAATGATTAGCTCCCACTTATAAGTGATAACATGAAATATTTATTTTTCCATTTTTGTGTTAATTCACTTAGGATAATGGCCTCCAGCTGCATCCATGTTGCTGCAAAGGACATGATTTTGTTTTTTAAAGTGGCTGCATAGTATTCCGTGGTGTATATGTACCACATTTTCTTTAACATATCCACCATATATGGCACCTAGGTTGATTCCATGTCTTAGCTATTCTGAATAATACTGTGATGAACATTTGAGTGCGTGTATCTTTTTGGTAGAATAATTTATTTTCTTTTGGATATATACTCCATAATGGGATTGCTGGGTAGAATGGTAGTTCTGTTTTGAGTTATTTAAGAAATCTCCAAATTGCTTTCCATATTGGCTAAACTAATTTACATTCTCATCCACAGTATATAAATATTCCCCTTTCTGTACAGCCTCACCAACATTTGTTGCTCTATGGCTTTTTGATATTAGACATTCTGACTGCTGTATCACCATATTTCTGATGAGGAAACAGAGAACCAAAAAGTGGAAGTTGTTAGTCTGAGATAAAGTAGTTACTATGGAGTAAAGCCAGGATTCAAATTTAGGTCTTAAAGTTTCCAAAGCCCACATCTTTTTTCATTTTCTCCCTCCAGAAAGCATAGACTATTCTTTGGTGCAGCCAGCCTATGCTATGCTACTTTACTGCTCGCTGATACTTACTACCCCTTTTTATAAGAAGATTATACTTCCCTCCCCATTGATTTCAGGTGTGTCCATATAATTTGCTTTGGTCAATTAATGTGAGTGAGATTGACATGTTACTGCTGAGTAATACCTTTAAGAGTCAAGTCATGGATCCCTGTGCTCTTTTTAGCCTCCGCCACAAGAGCAGCAATGTTCCAGATGAAGGCTGCTTAGTCAACTTGGCTTCCAGGGTAAAAACAATGGGAAGTAGAGTGCAGCCAGTCTGTGATGGACTCATAGATGAGAAGTAAACTATTGAGTTAATATTAGAAATATTTATATTTTGGGGTTATTTGTTACTACATGAAAATACACATTTTGGTGTTATTTCTTACTACAACTTTGTCTATCTTGACATTTATTCTCCATGATTAGAAAGAAGGGAAAGAGTGGAAGCCAGAGGTGAAGGCAATTATAATGCAATTGATGTACATCTGTCACCCAATCACTGTCAAATCAATGGGGCAAAATATCAAGGATTCAAACATAATATCTCAAGAAAAATATGTCCCTAGTTTGATAAAATACCCAACAACAGAAGAGTATAGCTGAGAATACCTGCAGGATAATTCCAGACTTTTTAAAAAATTATGACTTTGATGAGTAAGAGAGATACTCTCATCTCATATTAAATATGCTGTTGAAAGTGATTTATTCTGAAAAGAAATAGTCCCTAAGCAATCTCAGAAACTCAATAGCAAATGCATATTTAATGTGCCCATTTTTAAAACAGTATACTTGGCAGAAGAAGGCACCTGCAGCCTAGAATTTTGGAGGCTGAAGATAGGAAGAAACATTTCATCTTAATTATAAAGCAAAACAAATGAAACAACAACAAAAATAAAACACAAATTTGTGTGTGTGTGTAGAGGCTAGGTTTGTGAGATATTAACTTAAGCATTATGGAGGGAGGAGCCAAGATGGCCGAATAGGAACAGCTCCGGTCTACAGCTCCCAGCGTGAGCGACGCAGAAGACGATGATTTCTGCATTTCCATCTGAGGTACCGGGTTCATCTCACTAGGAAGTGCCAGACAGTGGGCGCAGGTCAGTGGGTGCACGCACCATGCGCGAGCCGAAGCAGGGCGAGGCATTGCCTCACTTGGGAAGTGCGAGGGGTCAGAGAGTTCCCTTTCCGAGTCAAAGAAAGGGGTGATGGACAGCACCTGGAAAATCGGGTCACTCCCACCCGAATACTGCGCTTTTCCGGGCTTGAAAAATGGCGCACCACGAGATTATATCCTGCACCTGGCTCGGAGGGTCCTACGCCCACGGAGTCTCGCTGATTGCTAGCACAGCAGGCTGAGATCAAACTGCAAGGTGGCAGCGAGGCTGGGGGAGGGGCGCCCGCCATTGCCCAGGCTTGCTTAGGTAAACAAAGCAGCCAGGAAGCTCCAACTGGGTGGAGCCCACCACAGCTCAAGGAGGCCTGCCTGCCTCTGTAGGCTCCACCTCTGGGGGCACGGCACAGACAAACAAAAAGACAGCAGTAACCTCTGCAGACTTAAATGTCCCTGTCTGACAGCTTTGAAGAGAGCAGTGGTTCTCCTAGCACGCAGCTGGAGATCTGAGAACGGGCAGACTGCCTCCTCAAGTGGGTCCCTGACCCCTGACCCCCGAGCAGCATAACTGGGAGGCACCCCCCAGCAGGGGCACACTGACATCTCACACAGCAGGGTATTCCAACAGACCTGCAGCTGAGGGTCCTGTCTGTTAGAAGGAAAACTAACAAACAGAAAGGACATCCACACCGAAAACCCATCTGTACATCACCATCATCAAGACCAAAAGTAGATAAAACCACAAAGATGGGGAAAAAACAGAACAGAAAAACTGGAAACTCTAAAACGCAGAGCGCCTCTCCTCCTCCAAAGGAAGGCAGTTCCTCACCAGCAACGGAAAAAAGCTGGTTGGAGAATGACTTTGATGAGCTGAGAGAAGAAGACTTCAGACGATCAAATTACTCTGAGCTACGGGAGGACATCCAAACCAAAGGCAAAGAAGTCGAAAACTTTGAAAAAAATTTAGAAGAATGTATAAACAGAATAATCAATACAGAGAAGTGCTTAAAGGAGCTGATGGAGCTGAAAACCAAGTCTCGAGAACTACGTGAAGAATGCAGAAGCCTCAGGAGCCAATGCGATCAGCTGGAAGAAAGGGTATCAGCGATGGAAGATGAAATGAATGAAATGAAGCGAGAAGGGAAGTTTAGAGAGAAAAGAATAAAAAGAAATGAGCAAAGCCTCCAAGAAATATGGGACTATGTGAAAAGACCAAATCTACGTCTGATTGGGGTACCTGAAAGTGATGGGGAGAATGGAACCAAGTTGGAAAACACTCTGCAGGATATTATCCAGGAGAACTTCCCCAATCTAGCAAGGCAGGCCAACGTTCAGATTCAGGAAATACAGAGAATGCCACAAAGATACTCCTCGAGAAGAGCAACTCCAAGACACATAATTGTCAGATTCACCAAAGTTGAAATGAAGGAAAAAATGTTAAGGGCAGCCAGAGAGAAAGGTCGGGTTACCCTCAAAGGGAAGCCCATCAGACTAACAGTGGATTTCTCGGCAGAAACCCTACAAGCCAGAAGAGAGTGGGGACCAATATTCAACATTCTTAAAGACAAGAATTTTCAACCCAGAATTTCATATCCAGCCAAACTAAGCTTTATAAGCGAAGGAGAAATAAAATCCTTTACAGACAAGCAAATGCTGAGAGATTTTGTCACCACCAGGCCTGCCCTAAAAGAGCTCCTGAAGGAAGCACTAAACATGGAAAGGAACAACCGGTACCAGCCGCTGCAAAATCATGCCAAAATGTAAAGACCATCCAGACTAGGAAGAAACTGCATCAACTAACGAGCAAAATAACCAGCTAACATCATAATGACAGGATCAAATTCACACATAACGATATTAACTTTAAACGTAAATGGACTAAGTGCTCCAATTAAAAGACACGGACTGGCAAATTGGATAAAGGGTCAAGACCCATCAGTGTGCTGTATTCAGGAAACCCATCTCACATGCAGAGACACACATAGGCTCAAAATAAAAGGATGGAGGAAGATCTACCAAGCAAATGGAAAACAAAAAAAGGCAGGGGTTGCAATCCTAGTCTCTGATAAAACAGACTTTAAACCAACAAAGATCAAAAGAGACAAAGAAGGCCATTACATAATGGTAAAGGGATCAATTCAACAAGAAGAGCTAACTATCCTAAATATATATGCACCCAATACAGGAGCACCAAGATTCATAAAGCAAGTACTGAGTGACGTACAAAGAGACTTATACTCCCACACATTAATAATGGGAGAATTTAACACCCTACTGTCAACATTAGACAGATCAACGAGAAAGAAAGTCAACAAGGATACCCAGGAATAGAACTCAGCTCTGCACCAAGCGGACCTAATAGACATCTATAGAACTCTCCACCCCAAATCAACAGAATATACATTTTTTTCAGCACCACACCCACCTATTCCAAAATTGACCACATACTTGGAAGTAAAGCTCTCCTCAGCAAATGTAAAAGAACAGAAATTATAACAAACTATCTCTCAGACCACAGTGCAAACAAACTAGAACTCAGGATTAAGAATCTCACTCAAAACCGCTCAACTACATGGAAACTGAACAACCTGCTCCTGAATGACTGCTGGCTACATACTGAAATGAAGGCAGAAATAAAGATTTTCTTTGAAACCAACAAGAACAAAGACACAACATACCAGAATCTCTGGGACGCATTCAAAGCAGTGTGTAGAGGGAAATTTGTAGCACTAAATGCCCACAAGAGAAAGCAGGAAAGATCCAAAATTGACACCCTAACATCACAATTAAAAGAACTAGAAAAGCAAGAGCAAACACATTCAAAAGCTAGCAGAAGGCAAGAAATAACTAAAATCAGAGGAGAACTGAAGGAAATAGAGACACAAAAAACCCTTCAAAAAATTAATGAATCCAGGAGCTGGTTTTTTGAAAGGATCAACAAAATTGATAGACCGCCAGCAAGACTAATAAAGAAAAAAAGAGAGGAGAATCAAATAGACACAATAAAAAATGATAAAGGGGATATCACCACCAATCCCACAGAAATACAAACTACCATCAGAGAATACTACAAACACCTCTACGCAAATAAACTAGAAAATCTAGAAGAAATGGATAAATTCCTCGACACATACACTCTCCCAAGACTAAACCAGGAAGAAGTTGAATCTCTGAATAGACCAATAACAGGATCTGAAATTGTGGCAATAATCAATAGCTTACCAACCAAAAAGAGTCCAGGACCAGATGGATTCACAGCCGAATTCTACCAGAGGTACAAGGAGGAACTGGTACCATTCCTTCTGAAACTATTCCAATCAATAGAAAAAGAGGGAATCCTCCCTAACTCATTTTATGAGGCCAGCATCATTCTGATACCAAAGCCAGGCAGAGACACAACAAAAAAAGAGAATTTTAGACCAATATCCTTGATGAACATTGATGCAAAAATCCTCAATAAAATACTGGCAAAACGAATCCAGCAGCACATCAAAAAGCTTATCCACCATGATCAAGTGGGCTTCATCCCTGGGATGCAAGGCTGGTTCAATATACGCAAATCAATAAATGTAATCCAGCATATAAACAGAGCCAAAGACAAAAACCACATGATTATCTCAATAGATGCAGAAAAGGCCTTTGACAAAATTCAACAATGCTTCATGCTAAAAACTCTTAATAAATTAGGTATTGATGGGACATATTTCAAAATAATAAGAGCTATCTATGACAAACCCACAGCCAATATCATACTGAATGGGCAAAAACTGGAAGCATTCCCTTTGAAAACTGGCACAAGACAGGGATGCCCTCTCTCACCACTCCTATTCAACATAGTGTTGGAAGTTCTGGCCAGGGCAATTAGGCAGGAGAAGGAAATAAGGGGTATTCAATTAGGAAAAGAGGAAGTTAAATTGTCCCTGTTTGCAGACGACATGATTGTATATCTAGAAAACCCCATTGTCTCAGTCGAAAATCTCCTTAAGCTGATAAGCAGCTTCAGCAAAGTCTCAGGATACAAAATCAATGTACAAAAATCACAAGCATTCTTATACACAAACAACAGACAAACAGAGAGCCAAATCATGAGTGAACTCCCATTCACAATTGCTTCAAAGAGAATAAAATACCTAGGAATCCAACTTACAAGGGATGTGAAGGACCTCTTCAAGGAGAACTACAAACCACTGCTCAAGGAAATAAAAGAGGATACAAACAAATGGAAGAACATTCCATGCTCATGGGTAGGAAGAATCAATATTGTGAAAATGGCCATACTGCCCAAGGTAATTTACAGATTCAATGCCATCTCCATCAATGCCTTTCTTCACAGAATTGGAAAAAACTACTTTAAAATTCATAAGGAACCAAAAAAGAGCCCGCATCACCAAGTCAATCCTAAGCCAAAAGAACAAAGCTGGAGGCATCACGCTACCTGACTTCAAACTATACTACAAGGCTACAGTAACCAAAACAGCATAGTACTGGTATCAAAACAGAGATATAGATCAATGGAACAGAACAGAGCCCTCAGAAATAACGCCGTATATCTACAACTATCTGATCTTTGACAAACCTGAGAAAAACAAGCAATGGGGAAAGGATTCCCTGTTTAATAAATGGTGCTGGGAAAACTGGCTAGCCATATGTAGAAAGCTGAAACTGGATCCCTTCCTTACACCTTATACAAAAATCAATTCAAGATGGATTAAAGATTTAAACGTTAGACCTAAAACCATAAAAACCCTAGAAGAAAACCTAGGCATTACCATTCAGGACATAGGCATGGGCAAGGACTTCATGTCTAAAACACCAAAAGCAATGGTAACAAAAGCCAAAATTGACAAATGGGATCTAATTAAACTAAAGAGCTTCTGCACAGCAAAAGAAACTACCATCAGAGTGAACAGGCAACCTACAAAATGGGAGAAAATTTTTGCAACCTACTCATCTGACAAAGGGCTAATATCCAGAATCTACAATGAACTCAAACAAATTTACAAGAGAAAAACAAACAACCCCATCAAAAAGTGGGTGAAGGACATGAACAGACACTTCTCAAAAGAAGACATTTATGCAGCCAAAACACACATGAAAAAATGCTCATCATCACTGACCATCAGAGAAATGCAAATCAAAACCACAATGAGATACCATCTCACACCAGTTAGAATGGCAAGCATTAAAAAGTCAGGAAACAACAGGTGCTGGAGAGGACGTGGAGAAATAGGAACACTTTTACACTGTTGATGGGACTGTAAACTAGTTCAACCATTGTGGAAGTCAGTGTGGCGATTCCTCAGGGATCTAGAATTGGAAGTACCATTTGACCCAGCCATCCCATTACTGGGTATATACCCAAAGGACTATAAATCATGCTGCTATAAAGACACATACACATGTATGTTTATTGCGGCATTATTCACGATAGCAAAGACTTGGAACCAACCCAAATGTCCAACAATGATAGACTGGATTAAGAAAATGTGGCACATATACACAATGGAATACTATGCATCCATAAAAAAGGATGAGTTCATGTCCTTTGTAGGGACATGGATGAAATTGGAAGTCATCATTCTCAGTAAACTATCGCAAGAACAAAAAACCAAACACCGCATATTCTCACTCATAGGTGGGAAGTGAACAATGAAATCACATGGACACAGGAAGGGGAATATCACACTCTGGGGACTGTTGTGGGGTGGGGGGAGGAGGGAGGGATAGCATTGGGAGATATACCTAATGCTAGATGACGAGTTTTTGGGTGCAGCGCACCAGCATGGCACATGTATACATATGTAACTAACCTGCACAATGTGCACATGTACCCTAAAACTTTAATAAATAAATAAATAAATAAATAAAAGAAAAAAAAACTTAAGCATTATAATATCTCTCCCAAGATTTTTTTTTTATTAATGGCTACCTTTAAGTGGAAAGATCACTAGTTACTTTGGCAAAATTCAATGCTCTAGAGACCTCATCAAGCCAAGATTTTCTCTACGTAGAGTCCAAGCCACCTTTTCAGAAGACTGTGTCAATTCTACCTTGTTATCCATTTGCTGTTTTCTTGGGATTATTGGTGAAGAGATCGTTGTGACCCTAATAACTTCCATTTAGTGAGCATTCCTCAGGCACCAGCTACCTCTTCAAAGTACTTTCACATGCATTTTCTTAGTTGACTCTCATGGTATCCTTAGCAGGCAGCCCACAGATTCTGCATAATTGTTTCCCTAACTATCTCTCCAAACTCATTTCGTGCCACACTCTCATACTCAGTACACTGCAGTCTTCTTTTAACTCCTTGAAAACTTTTTCCACACATAAGGAATTCACTGATATTATTTCCCCTGCCTAAAATTCCTTCTCCCATAAAATCCTTCTCAACTTTTGGGTCCCAGCTTAAAGATCCATTCTCCAGAGATGTTACCCCTCACCACTCTGTCTAATGTAGGTACTCTCCCTTCTTGCTAGACTATCCTAGGCCCTTATGTGTATATTTCATAACTAGCACACTTATCAGAATTTGTAGATATTATATTTGTCTATTTACTTGAATCTTGTCTGTTTCCTTAGTGAGAACATAAACTCAAGGTGGTAATGAATTATTCCAACTTTTAATCACCAAATCCCAACCTCCTAACACAGTATTGGGAAAATAGACGCATTAAATTGTTATTTGCTGTATAAATGGAATAATTATTGTTGTCTTCTCTTTATGTGTGAAAAAAAACTGAGGCTCAGAGAAGAAAATCAAGTTGTCCAAGGTGACTCAGCTCATTAGTGATAAAGGATCTGAACTCAGGCTTGTTCAACTTTGAATCCATGCCCTTCGTGATGGGCATACTTGCATTCATTTATTCATTCATCATTTATCAACTACATATTCATTGCTGCTGGGTGCTAAGAATATAATGATAAGCAAAAGCAAACAAGTAAACAAAAATTATAATAGAGTCCTACCTTCAGAAGGCTTATATCCTAGCTATACAGACTGATATTAATAAATAAATCAGGGAAGTGAATCTTGAAAGTGGAACTATGATAAATACTTTGAAGGAGAAGAATATGGTAGGACAGTTAAGGAATTTGACCTGGTTTGCAGAAGGGGACTCAGGAAAATGTCCCCTAAGTATCACAAGAAAGTAAAGATTTGAAGTAGGTGTTGAGCATAAAAGGGCAAGGAAGAGCATTGAGGGCAAAATGAAAAGAATTTGCCAAAGCCCTGTAATAACAAGCAGCCTACCTGCAAGGAATCATCAGCATGACTGCCCATAAATAGAAACATTAGATAGCAAGAGCATCTTGGGGAATATGATCCTTTATGCTTCAAACAGAAATAGTCCTAATCTTGCTAGGTTTAGCATCTAAAACAGTGGTTCTCGACCTGTGGTTCAGGGATTCCCTGGAGTCTATACATTTTTTTTATGGTGGATCCAGAAGATCAAAAATATTTTCTTAATAATACTGAGGCATTATTTGCCTTTTCACTGTCTTTTTCTCACAAGGATACAGAGGTGTTTTTCCAGAGGTAATGTAATGTGTGTTATTGCAACAGCTTGTGTAAGAAGGCAGATATGAGAATTAGATTGGTGTCTATTAATTTAGTCACGAAAGGAGTATGCAAAACTAAGAAAAGTCACTTTTCTTACTAATTACTTCTTTGTTTGGAAAATATATCAATTTCATAAGTATAATTACATAAACATGTAATGGGTTTATTGTTATTTTAAATGAATTTATACATAAATACTTACATTTTTCAGCCTTAATTTATAATATAGTAAATGTAGATAGGTAAAATGTACACTAGCAAAAGATTTTGGGGGATCCCTCAATAATTTTTAGGACTGCAAAGGAGTCCTGAAGGTACAGAGTTTGAAAACTGTAGATATAAAACTCACTATACTGACAGGAGACCATGTATAATATTTATCATGATGAAGGAATTTTTTAACCATTAAGGGTAGTGAATATTTAAATGTCTATCACTGAGAGTTAGTCAGGGGTGTTTGATTAATACAGGGCATGTCCTTACCCAAAGCGGATTCTTGGTGAAACAAATAATACGTGATAGGTACTAAATGAATATGTTTATTTGTGCTTGATCTTATTACCCAAAGGGTGAGCTGAAGATGTTGAAAGTATTTTTGGTGTGTGAAATTGTGCCATGACAGTGCCCAAATTCATGCCTTGTGCATAACATGTTCTGAAGACATAATTCCTGAATGAATAATAAAACTTCATGAATACTATAAATTATATGGTTTGAAACGTTATGGAATTGGATTAATCTGAGCGAGTACACAAAGCACAATAATGGGAAGTTTTCATGCCTTTACCAAAGAGGTATCAGATCCTTCTATTTACATAGTACAAATAGGAGTGGATTCAGTCCTCAGTCTTTAGCGACAAAACGTGAATCATAATCTGTCTAATATTTACAATCATACGAGGGATTATATTCACTTTAATTTCTTGGTAGCTTATTACCAAAGGAAAATAATATATTTATGCAAATATATACACAGACATACCCTCTTCAGGGATATTTACTTTTGTTTTCCAGATTTCTGGAATTATTGGGATACTGCTATATTAGATTTTAATGAGTAGTTCTGAAGTTAGATAAGTTTTCTTGGTTGTAGTTTTAATACTTTTTAAGTTAGGGATAAAGAAATAGAAATCAAAATTAATGAAAGAGGTATGGAAGAAAATGATGTTTAAGGACCATAGGAAAAATCCCTGAAGTTTAGGGAAAACATCACAGTATTAAGCAAAGGAGGTAAATGGTGTCCTTGAAAACACTTGCCTGTGAGTTTCTGGATCTCCATGCCTCTCATCACATTCTTCCCTCTCACCATTAGAACCTATTACTCACTGATACTGATATTTCGAAGCCTGGCTCAAATATGCCATCTATGCTGGAATGCCATTTTTATTTTTAATTCTTTAGTTTCTACCAGGTAGAATTGGCCATTTGTCCTTTAAGATTTCTCCTGTAAATTACCTGTTTATGTGTCGATTACTCTCAGTATTCTTTTATTCTGTTACACACATGATGTATTCCAACAAACTGTGTTAAGCAATTACCATTCCAACAAACCGTGTTAAGCAATTATCAACATGTTGACTTTACCCTTTCTTATTGTACTCCCGAAAAGATATCAGAATGTGAACTGGTACAAGTAATATAATTTTGGATAAAACTTGTATTTCCAGCACCTAAGCAGTGGCAAAAACTTAACAGGTCAGTCAAAGTTTATGAAGTGAATGAATGCATGAGTTTCTTGTGGAGATATACAATGGAAGCCTGGCTCTGTTACTTAGTTGTTATATAGCTTGAGTAAGTAAAGTATATTCCTCTATATTTTGGTTTCCATATCCATAAAATTGATACAACAGTATCTTTTTTCCTGTGTACTTCTCTGAGCTGTTTTGAGGTTTAATATTCCTAAAGGTCCTTTTTCAATTCTAAAGTACTATGTGATCATAAAACTTTTTAAAAGAAGTCCTTTCTTCTTATTGTCATGTAAACAGTGCATAACCAGGTAATTCCCTGTTAGGAACTGATTACTGCCTTGACGCTTTTTCACTGTAGGGACTTGGTTGAGAAGACTGATTACTTGGGCCATTTGCTGGGACATGGAAGTAGCTGAGTTATCCAGAAACTTTCATAGTAAGGGGTTTTTGCTTATGACACGGTGTTACTCTCCTTTCCCCAAAGAAGTGAGCACCACTGATTAAATGTCCTCTGCTGCTGAATCAGTGAACAAGAAAAACTTTGTTGACTCACCGCTGGGCTTGTACCAAAGGAACAGGACATAATTGAAGAGAAGTGATTTCCATAAATTGCCTCAGAGAGGGCTTTAGGACACAGACTGGTAAGGGATGATGTACTGGGATTCTTGCTTCTTTCCTTATGTAATAATGATTAAAACAGCAGGAACAGACCCTGGGCACAGCCCTTGCAGACAGTGAACATCCAAGTCTGATAATAACTTGAAATGTACACAGTGCCATCCAATAAGAGAAACACTGAGGGCAGTTGATAAAAAATTGCATCTAGTGTTATTTCATGAAGAGCAGGTTCCTCTCTCCTTCCTCCTTTTTTCCCTCTCCTCTTGGAATTGTCAGGCTTTGTAGGATCCTGATTAACTAGCACACTACAAAATTTCATTATTTCCCACAAAAACATACACAATGCAAATGGAGCTCATTTGTTCCTTCTTGATTGAGTTAATCACTCTATGTTGCAGTGTTGTTGATATTGTTTCTCCTGTGTCTTTCTTGTGCATTTTGTGTTTGCTTCTGCTCTTTTTCTGAGGCATGTCTTACATATATGGGCTCTCATACTTTCCTGTGTAACCATTTCAGAGGGTTGGTTGAGAGTGCTGTGCTTTCTCTTGAGATATACCTTGAGCCTCATAATTTTAGGGAATGATACAGTCACTTCTTGATCAAAGAGATTAATGTATGCGGGATAAATGGTGTGGTTACCAATATCTGAAAGCCATGATATATTTTGTTATAAGAAATGGAAACACAGTTGAAACTGCGTTAGGCATTAGAGGGTATTCATTGGCTCACCTATGTAAAAAGTGAATTGGCACATAAGCTTCATCCAGGCAGGACTGGATCCAAGGACCTGCATAATATTATCCACACGCTTTCTCTCCATATCTCATCAAAGCTGTCTCATAAATATTGGGTAGGATGGCTCCAGACACCTCAGACTGACATCTTACCAGGTTAGTATTCCAGTGAGAATTGTCTTTCTCAGTAAATACTGCAGACAGCTCCTGTGGAGGACTTGTTTTATATGGGTTGAATCACATGTCTACTCCTGAACCAATTATGTTATACAATATTCTGATTGGCCAAGCCAGCGTTTGTGCTCACTTCTGTGGGGTTCATCTCCAGTCCAACATTAAAGAAAGAAGTTCCCAGTGGAAGTAGAGAACCTATTACCAGAAAATAGGATGGATTCTGAATAGATTAAACATAACAGGTGTCGTTAACATATGGCCAAAACAAAGTATGGTGTAAACATATGCAGAAAAATTATACCCAGCATTTAAAAACACATTTATAAGTCTGTAGTCAGACATCTTCTGAAAGTGTCATAATGTCAAAATAATAAGTTAGAAGTACAAAACGCACAGTAAATTTATTTCAAAAGGTATGACAAGAGAGTACATCTTTAAAATGGTCTTTTCCTGAGTTAGATGATTTTTTTGTTCCACATTTTAAAATGAGATCTGAACAGGGAAGGAATTCAGTCATTGCTGCACTAGCATCCTCCCTCCTGTTTCTCATTTCCTGGTCTTTTCATCCTTGTAGCCCTTACTCCCTGGGATTATTATTCATATTTCTAGCTACATCATTTTTCTTTCTTTTTTAATATTTTATATCTTTATTTTATGACACTTTAAGTTCTAGGGTACATGTGCACAACATTCAGGTTTGTTATATAGGTATACATGTGCCATGTTGGTTTGCTGCACCCATCAACTCATCATTTACATTAGGTATTTCTCCTAATGCTATCTCTCCCCTAGCCCCCCCACCCCCCAACAGGCCCCGGTGTGTGGCGTTCCCTGTCCTGTAACCATGTGTCCTCATTGTTCAACTCCCACCTATGAGTGAGAACATGTCATGTTTGATTTTCTGTCCTTGTGATAGTTTGCTGAGAATGATGGTTTCCAGCTTCATCCATGTCCCTGAAAAGGACATGAACTCATCCTTTTTATGGCTGATTAGTATTCCATAGTGTATATGTGCCACATTTTCTTAATCCAATCTATAATTGATGGACATTTGGGTTGGTTCCAAGTCTTTGCTATTGGGAACAGTGCCACAATAAACATACATGTGCATGTGTCTTTATAGTTACTTTCTTTTCTCTGCAAAGACCATTAGCAGAGGAAACGACTGGTCTAGGATAGCTACCACTGGGTTAACTCCATTTGTTTGTTATCTTCTAGTAAGCTAGCTTAGGCAGAGGTGCAAGAAAATGGAACTGTGCAAGGCCTCTTGAGGCCTAGTCTCAGAACTGGCACCCTTTCAGTTTTGTCGCATGGTACTGGCCAAAGCAAAGCCTCAAGCCTAATCCAGACTTAAGAAGCAAAGAAAAAAAATCACAGTTTGCATGGGAGTAACTTCAAAGTCATATTTAAAGGATGAGAAAACACAAAGGGGTAAAAAATTATCATGAGTTCCCCTAAAATGCATGCTTTGCCCACGTGGTTTCTTCATGTCACTATGCTAAGTTTTATTTTTTATTAAAAGTACATTATGACATTTATGATTTTACTGAAGTTATAATAAAAATGTGGCATTGGGGAAAAACTTGATATTCAACAGTGGACTCTATTTTAATTTTTCCCTAACATAACCCATTTAAGGGAAAGAATCAATTATTCAATATCCAATCAGTTCATTCATAATCAACTGTGATTTTCAATGGCTTTTTTTTATTGAATCCCTTCAGTTATTTATAAAATTATAGCTGTTAAAGTTCAATCTTTCTTCAATCTGATTTCTCTGTGAAAACACATTTGTAATCTATCTCACGTCAATGTCTTTGCCTAATATTCTTCCACTGCCCTGTCATCTTGGAAATAATAACTGGTACAATTCTTCTGTCTTTCTTTACAGTGTGTATCCACCTCTGATTGAGCAAACACTGCTGGAAAATAAAATAACAAAATCATGCAGATAGGTACCACTGGCATATTATGGCTTTCGATCTCTTCTGCACTTCAATGTTGCTGGGTGATTCCCATAAGTTTCCCTAGTTACTCACTCAGTGGTTGTCTCCTGAGGGCTTACTGTCTGACTAGCACTTGCTGGAATGCTATTGGGAACACAGAAGTTAGGGAAAAGCAGTTTTTCCTTTTGAAGATGTTGTCATCTAGTCTAGCACATGAGAAAGATGTAAAACAAATACATGGACATATGTAAAGCAATGACAGCAACAGATTATGAAGGAATGGTAGAAGGTAATTTAAGAACTTCTTAAAGAGGATTTGTCACAAACATAAAAATCAGAGACGATTACCCTGTTGAAACACCACCACCACTGTGTCCACTTTCCATTATGGCTATCTCAGACATCTTCCTGTATTTTCCATGTACTCCCTTAGTAGAGAGTCTCACCTTATACCTTTTAGGGAAAACAAAACACAAGAAGAAAACTAATCACTATAAAACCCGCAAACTTACCTGAATTTGCATTCAGTACATTCTCTTTTCATGCTATGATACTGAAAAAAAAGTCCTTTTTCTTGTCTATATCCAGTCTTGTTCAATTCTCCCACTCATGTCACATTTGTCTTATGATCTTTATTTTCTTCTTTATTTTTAAGTTTAATTGATATACAACATACTATACCTTTAAATAGTGTAATGTGATGTTTTGACCTGTGAAATCTTCACCACAATCAAAATAGAGAACATAGCTATCACCCTTAATAGTTTCCGTGAACCTCTTTTTAATCTCTCTTTTCTTCCTCTCTTTACATTTCACTTCTTCCATGCTGATGTTTCAAGGCAATCATAGATGTACTTTCTATGACTTTAGATTAGTTTACTTTTTCTTGAATTTCATGTAAATGAGAAATATGCTATGAATTCTTCTTTTTTTGTTGTTTTTTGAGACAGGGCCTTGCTCTGTTGTCCAGGCTGAAATTCAGTGGCATAATAATAGATTACTATAGTCTCTAACTCCTGGGCTCAAGAGATCCTCCCACCTCAGCCTCCCAAGTAGCTCAGACTACAGGCACACATCACCATGTTCTGCTAACTTTTATTTTTGTAAAGATGGGCTCTCACTATGTTTCCTAGGCTCATCTCGAACTCCTGGACTCAAGTGATCCTCCCATCTCGGCCTCCCAAAGTGCTGGGGTTACAAGCATGAGCCACTGTGTCCAGCCTGAAATCTTCTTTAGTTGACTTCTTTCA
Organism: Homo sapiens; assembly: GCF_000001405.40. Lineage (NCBI taxonomy): Eukaryota > Metazoa > Chordata > Mammalia > Primates > Hominidae > Homo > Homo sapiens. The sequence goes on along the minus strand of NC_000011.10, from coordinate 42,421,163 downwards.
CTTAGTAGGTAATTTATCAGTGTTGCTTGGAATGTTTACACCGAAGTTTTTGCATAGATATAAGCTTTCTTTTCATTTGGAAAATAGCTAGGAAAGTAATGGCCAGATTAGATAGTAGGTGTTTGTGTAACTTTTAAAGAAACTGCCAAATTGTTTTCCAATATACCATTTTGTACCATTTTGTATTACCATCAGTAATACATAAAAGTTCAAATTTTTTTCCATCCTTGCCAACTGTTGGTATGGTCATGTTTTCAATTTTATATCTTTCTGGTAGGTTTATAATTGTATTTCATGGTGGTTTTAATTTTTACTTTCATAATGATTAATAATGTTGAATATCTTTTCTTGAGCTTATCTGCCATCCATCCATCTTTTATAATGAATAAGTGTCTGTTCAAATATTTTACCTAGTTTTTAAAAATTGGGTTGTTTGATTTCTTTTTAAGTTTTGACTGCTCTTTGTATATTATAGGTATGTTTTTAAAATCATATTTATGACTTACAAAGATTTTCTCCCTGTCTATGGCTTACATTTCTATTCTCTTATCAGTGTATTTTATATAGTAAGTATTTTTAATTTTGATGAAGACCAATTTACCTTTTTTTGTTTTTGAACTATGCTTCTGATATTTTATCCCAGAAATCTTGCTTAACCCAAGGTCACAAAGATATTTGCTTACATTCTCTTTTATAAACTTTATAACTTTATATATTACATTTAGGTTCATAATCCATTTGAATTAACTTTTGCATAAGGTAAGAAGTATAAATCAAATTTCTTTTTTTTCTCTTTTCCTTTCTTCCTTGCCTCACTTCTTTTCTTTTATATATGGTTACCCAATTGTTTAGACACAATTTATTGAAAAGACAAGCCTGTCTTTACTAAACAGCTTTTGTGTTAATTTTTGGGCATGCTGTTTTTAATGACTATATGATAACCAAAGGTTTATTACCAGCCAGTAGTTAGGTTTAGAGTTTCAAGAGAAGAGAGAATACATGTTTTGAAAATTTATTATACACATGGTAATTGGATATATGAGAACAAATGATATAATTAAAGAGAAATATGTGCAATGAGAAAAGAAGAGGGAATACAAGAGTGAGTAGAACAACCAGAAAGGGAAAAAAGAATTAAGAAACCATTTTTTTCAACTTGCAAATTTTTTTATTTTTCTGCAATAGATAAACTAATGGATGTCTTTCTGTTTTTGAGTTAACCTTTTTATTTTGATAAAGTTGTAAATTCTCATGCTGTTATAAGAAATAATATTGAAAGATTCCAGGTACATTTTATCCAGTTTTGTCAGTGAAGACATACTGCAAACCTATAGCACAACAGCACACCCAGAGCGCTGATATTGAAATAGTCAAAACACAGAACACGTCTATCACCACGAGGATCCCTCATGTTTTCCTTCTACAGCCACGCCCACACCACCCACTTTCTCCCACCCACTCCTTAACCCCTGGCAACCATTAATCTGTTTGTATTTCTATAATTTTCTTATTTCTAGAATGCTGTATAAATAGAATTATACTGTGTGTAACTTTTTGGGTTGGCATTTTTCACTCAGCGTAACTCTCCAGAGATTCACCTAGGTTGTTGCATATCAATAGTTTCTTCATTTTTATTGTAGAATAACATTCGATGATATGGATGTATCACAGTTGTTTTAACCATTCAGCCATAGAGGGATGCTTGGATTGTTTCCAAATTTGGGCTGTTATGAATAAAAATGTTATAACATATTCATGTACAAGTTTTTGTGTAAGATAAATTTCCATCTTTCCAGGATAAATGCTCAGGAGCACATTGCTAGATTGTATTATAGTTGCAGGTTTAGTTATTTAAGAATCAAGAAGCCTTGCTTTTTTTAAATGGAAAGGAAAAAGAAAGGTTTTCAGAGTTAGATGGTAATTACTGCAGTAATATTGATGGAACAGTACTTTCTCAAATGTTTGCACTATTTTATAGACAGGACTCAATTTAAGTTTAATTTTTGATAACATTTCCACCACTTTCTGAAGTCTAGACAATCAGCAAAACAATAATCAAGCCCTGACTTGCAGTATTTGTCAGTCTCCTGCCACGTCCTATTTCAGGCCACCAACATGATATTAATGAGCATGAAGTTAGGAAGAAATACTCATAGCACACTCTTGTCTAGTATTTTCACCATATTAATGCAATAGACTTAAGAACATAGATAATAGTAAAATGTAGCAAAATAATTAGAAAGTGATGATATTATTTGTTGCCTTCATTTATTTAATTGTAAATTTACATATAACTTAATTTTTAATAAGAGCTCTTTTTGACAACAATTTTGACTTTAAAAATTCCACAAACTTGAGCAATTGGCCCTCAGGAACCCGGTATAAATTGGCTTCAGAAAACCACTTAATGATTCTAACCTCTTGTGCCTCACTAATTATTTTCCATCTTTTCTATGTGTTCTGGCACAATTACCTCAGTATGCTCTCCTTCATTTATGTACCAGCTTAGCTCTTAAAAATGGCCTACTCCATTCCCTAGGCAAACATTTCATTGGGAACTAGTATTTTTTAATATTCTATTTTTCACGGTTATATAACTAAAACATATCTACAATAAAAATTTGGAAATATGAGAAGGAATATAAAAATCACCAATAATTGTATCACCTCTATAATAATAAAATTTCAAAAGTACATTGGAATTTTATTTTATACCTAGTCTTAGCTTCAGAGAGCTAAATTATGAGTTTCTCTTTGATCATTTATTTCTTATTCTAAAACTATATATGTATACATATGTATATGCACATATGTAATATATATGCATGTTTATGCATGTATATATGTACATATGTGAATATGTATATAAAGATGTATGTGTGTGTATATATATTTGTATGTATTTGGCTGAGGCAGACACTGATATCTATTTCCACGTATTTCTTTCAAACAGTACTAAGATTAAATTTGTAGCAGCAATGTGGCTGTCTCTAGGCGTTGGAATATTTAATCTACACCAGTTATGACAATTCTGTTCTCCATTTTCCCAGTTTCCCTTGTGATTGGGGGTGACTGAGTGACCCATATTGGTTCAATGAGTCAAATGGGTAGGGAGGGAGATGTTTTTCAGGGAAAGCTTTTACTTTCCTGATAAAAGCAGATAGATGTATAAAATATATGCAATTTCTCCATTTTCCTGCCTTAAACATGGATGTCTGGAGCAGCCCCAGGCACTTTGTGAAGATGAAGTGACAAGCATAGAGGAGAAGGCAAAGGGAATTTCAGAGATGCCAATGCTGACATCTTTTAGCTACTGAATTGAAGCCAAAGTTTTCTATCTCCAGAATTTTTAAGAGAGAAGAAAAAATTTTATATGTTTAATCCACTGTTAATAAAATATTTCTGCCTGATATACCTGCCTTCCTTGTTGCCTGCCTTCCCTTTCATAGCCCAGATTCCAGACCCACTGAGCTAGGCTCTTTAATATTTACTTCTCTACTTCTGCACTTCTGCTTCCATCAGTCTGTCTGGCAGGGATGTGCTTTCTCCTTGATCACTAGGCTTTCAGTGTAAGATAAAGTATAATTTTTCTATGTAACTATTTTGACTCTATATTCAATCCTCTGTCTCTAGGATTGAAAATGCTTTCTCCTTTGGTTTTTATTGTACCTTGTAGATTTCTCTATTGCAGAGCCTATGGGACCCACATTTGTTTATATGTACATCTCTCTGAACTTTCACTAGCACAATATTGCCTCACCCTATCCCCCGTTTTTGCATTATTGCTCTCCTAAAAAGCCTTTTTTGGACATTTCTCCTAGTTGCCCCCTTCTTTCCCACTAAATTTTAATACCATCAATATATTTCATACCAATTTATACATTGTATGCCTATCTGTACTTAAACATAACAAAGTAAGATGTTTCCATCTCCAGAAGAACTCATTTTTGTCCATGTTGAGCCATATCACCCCTGTTGAGAATGAGTGCTACAGCACAATGCCTTACTCATAGTAAGCATTTTGTAGACAATTGTTGAATTAATTAAGTAATTTTGACTTTCAGAAACTTAGCACAAAAGTATGTCTGTGTAGGGTAAACAGAAGGTACAGAAAAGAAAACTTTCTTAATTTGTTTTTGCAGCCTGTTCCTAAGCTGTCATTGTCTTTTTCTTCTATTAATATGTGAGACTGTTTTCCTAGTTAGTATTCTTTCTGTTGAGAATTGTAAGTAGCCGATCTTCAAATGGATAAAGCCAAAGGAATATCGTTAACTTATGTGATGGAAAAGATTGGGTATAATTTTGATCTGAGACCCACTTTGATCCAGAGCCTCAAAAAGTATTACCAGCATTCTATACTGTCAGTATTTTGAGTCTGCTCTGTTCTCCTACTTTATTCTCAGACTTGCCCTTCCTGGCTATAAAATGGCCTCCACTGGCTCTCGCGTTCCATCCTTGTAGATTTCTCTTCAAGAGACAGAAGTTTAAGTCTTTGCCCTACAAGGGCAAATTGTATTCCATTTCATTTCATTGTTGAGGGCATGTGCTAATTCTCAGGACTCACCCCCATAAACTGGAAGTGCAAAAACTGCACTAAGTTTCATCACTAGATGGTGAAGCAGGGATGGGGATTGAGGACTGCGGGGAAGGACAGTTGAATGAAAAAAATAGGCTGTAAAGCATGAATTGGAACCTGTAGAGGCAATGAAACAGAAAAATAAAAAAACTGGGGTTATTTCAGTGGGCAGTGTTATGGGCTGAACCATATTTCTCAAAATTCATGCTGAAGCTCTACCCCCAGTACCTCAGAATGTGACTATATAATGGACATAGGGTTAAAGAGGGGACTAAAGTAAAATGAGGTTGTTTTACTTCATTTTGAGAGTGTCCTTAAGAGGAGATTAGGACATGTGCACACACAGACTGAAGGATGATTCTATGAAGACACAGCTAGAAGACAACTACCTACAAGGCAAGGAGAGAGTCCTCGTAAGGATTCAACCCAGGCAACATTTTAATCTTGGACTTCTAGTCTCCAGAATTGAGAAAAACTACATTTCTGTTTAAGCTACCCAGTCGGTGGTACTTTGTTATGGCAGCCCTAGCAAACTAGTACAGGCTGAGTACCTTTAGAGAGGGGAGACAGCATGCCCACTGACTGCAAAATTAATTTTGCTCTTTAGTGTCTGTGAAATGAAGGAGACATTAACAGTGCTTCAGAGGAGCTCTTGGCTAAGGGAGGTTATTGCACTGGGATGTCTTCACTCAATTTTTGCTCCAAGGTACTCTCACTGCAAAGATAAATTGACATTTAAGGCCTTTTCTGATGTGAATTGTTATGTGAATTTTGACACCTCAATCCACTTAAATTGGGTCCCTTAATGCAGCTAGAGAAGTAGAGATTATTTTTGGTCAACTTTTCTTTTATAATCCCCCAAAGGTTGAACCAAGTGCTTTTAAGAGTAGGTACAACTTCCAGGTTTAAGGGCAAGGCCAGTAGTCCAATGGCTTGAGAAGGGATTCAGGGATTCTCTCTTCCTTAAAACTTGAAGCAGAAGTGGAACATAGAGACTCTAAGTGCTAGAAATTATCTTTTATGGTGGTTTTCTTTATTGTGCATGTTTAATTGAAATCTGCATTTGTAAGCCTCCCCTTTGAATGTTTTCTTTAGAAAATGAGACTGGTGGTTAAAGGCACTGCATGTAAGAGGCCTTGGTTTGTGACCCCATTTGACATTAGTCAGTTGTGCAACTGATAAAGGAAGTTGCTTTAACTCTATATTCCTCTTTAATCATCTATAAAATTGAGACCCTAACATGACTCACCTCACAGAACTTCTGTGAGAATTAAGTTCAATAATGCTCACCAAGTATCCAGCATAATGCTGGGTTTATATGAATAGATCTATGATGCTTTTGTACTGGGCTAGTATTAAATGGTAATTAATAAAAGTAGCATAGAATACCAAAGACCACTGTGATCATAGTGGGGAGAAGAACACGACTTTTTTTTTTTTTAATTTGGCACGCACCATTCAAGAAGAAACTAGGAGAAGGATACTCATCGAACATAGATTTACAGCTAGGAGTATATCTAATTATCATATGTATTAAACAGTCACCTGTTATTATTTCAAGTACTGAGGAAAATGATGCTAAAACAGGCCCCAGCTTGATCTATCTTTGACTTGTTTTAAATTGTTTGTTGGTTATGTTTTTCTGGAAAGCCAATTTCTTAATTAGTTTCTCTGAAATTCAAAAAGGATTTCCTCTGGTCTCTCTTATCTGCCCTACCCTCCCTTCAATCTATTCTGCGTTGGAGTATGATGTTAAAAGTTTCAGTCTTCTTTCCTGCCAGTCTTCAGGTCTGGAACAACTTCCTACTGTACTTTCTGGCTTTTTTATTTGGCTTTTCAATGCTCATAGGGAAAGCTTTGTTTAATGTCATTGTGTTTTGGTCTTAAATAATAAATAAAAGCATAATAAAAAATTGAATTTAGTAACTGTAGTCAAAGTAAAACTTTAGGGGATATATGAAATATTATTTACTTGGACAAATTTGCTTAAGATTTTGCATTATAAATATTTTATGTCAGCTATTTCAATTTTTAACATTAAATTTGTGCAGCAATTTTAAATAAAGGGATCACATCACATGATATGAACATAGAAAGATATATATACTTTATTTCTTAATTAAATAAGTGTACATCTTTCTATTTGTGTATATGTATACATTTACAATTATATATGTATAGAAAATATGCATGTATTTATGTATACACATATATACAGTGCCAAGTACATAGTAGGAACTGGGGGCATCTTTAGTAAATGTGGTACACATCTTGAGTTATATATCACTGCTGTGTGTGACACATAGCTAGTTGATATTGAATGGAGATTATACTGAAATTGAACAGAATCTTTCTGGAGTAAGTAAATATAATCAAGAATACTCCTGATACTGAAGAATAAAAAGACAGCCAAGGCATAGTGGTAACAACAATGAGTTAGCAGTTATTAATTCTGGATTTTAATGATCATGAATTATGAAAAATAATAATAAAAGTTTTTCATGTGTGGTTCTGAGACTTTGAAAATGTAAGGTGGGGGATTATCCAGATATCATCTAATACATGCTATTGATGATAAACAATTTACTGCATGTAAAAGTGAATATCTGGGAGAGAAACTCAAGTAGAAAGTGGGAGACATTAGTTTCCTACCAGTTACCATATAGAAATGTTTGTGACGAGTCTTGCTTTTCTAGACCTCGGTCTCATCATCTATCTAAAACAACGCTGGGGAGAAGAGCGTTCTCTGGGTGATATTGTAAGAACCTTTCTCCTCTGATGTTCAAACATTCTGTCTTTGGATTGCAGTGGACATGTTAGTGTGTAACGCAGATCGTGTGGCTGGGAGATAGTGAAGGAGGGAGGAGATGAAGGTGGCTTTAGGATGAGGTGGATACGTTAGTATGGTTATATGGAGAGCACAAAGATCTCACAGTCTGGCACAGCTATGTGTGAATCCTAGCTTTGCGTATTAGGGGTAATCACTTGATTTATTCAGTTACACTTTCCTTATCTATAACTGGACTGTTAGCAGGATTCTCGCCTCATTCCAACTGCAGCAGCCATGACATCCCTCAGTTGAGGTTACCAGTTAATGTGGTGAAGATTTGTATTCTCTAAGACTGTCTGGAGGAAAACAAAGAACAATAGGAACCACAACTGACCTCACAGATAATTTCATATTATTTTGGCAATTTCATTACATTTCTGGCCACCAACTAATTTTTCCTGAGGAAGATAAGGAGGTATGGACTTGCTCCTTCCACCACCCCTTCTTTTGATGCTGGAATTCATTGATTTATTTAATCAAATTTTGCACTATGAACATGTAAAAATCATATTACATAATTTTATCTACTCCACTCTTAGCTTGCAGAAGATCAAATGCATGTCTTTGCCATCTCATATTAAATATCTCTAGCATGCTGCCATGTATATAAAGACACTCAATAAATTGTGTATTGAGTAATCTGTTGGATAAAAGTAAAAAAAAAAGGCACACTAAACCTTACAAAAGTGTATATTTTAAAACCAGATTAAATACAGATTATCCTCAATTTTTGTTATTTCCTCAGTGTCAAATATTCAATAGTCTGTTTTAAGTGCTTTTTAAAGGCATTCATGCAACAAACATAACGGATTCACTGCTTCTGTTTTCTACATAGAAATTTCAAAGCATTCTAATAAGAAATCCTGTGAAAGGCTTTGACCATAATGGCTTTTCAAAGCTTCCACACAAAGAAACTCAGTTAAGACCAGGGCATAAATAAGACCTCAGTGCTGAAGCAGAGGAAGGCCCTGTATATCTAAACCCATTAAATGAATCATTTATTTTGCTACTCAACTGTCACGTTTTGAAGGTCACATAACAATGCTTATTTCTTGTGGCCCGTCGGCAAGCTGTAGAATCAGAGGCTAAACCAAGTCCTTGAGTCAAATACTTGAGATGGGTAATTGTATTTCCAGGACTAATACCTGCAGTTATGTTCACTGGGTAAAATCGAATCTCACGCCCTGGGAGAGCACAGCATGCCTGCAAGGGCCAGAAAAAGATTTCTCCACATTCCATCCAGCTTCGAAATAGTTATGTTATATTGAAATTCCTGGAACATGGTCAGCTTTATTTTGTCTCCCCTAATACATGGTCAGGAGATTTTCTAGAAGTGGAGGTGACATATATAATAGTCTGGACAGCGTGTGTCTGAAGCAGGTGGATCTGGGTTTGAAATTCTGTTTGACAGATTATATGCTGTCTGTCATTAGACAAGTTGCTTAACCTCTCTGGACCTCGTTTTTCTTAACTATAAATGGAGACTGATATCTATCTTATAAGGGTGCTGTGAAGATTTAATGATTTAGCACATATGAAGTGATTTCCACAGTGTCTGACATGTAGCAGATACTCACTGTATGTTAATATTATCATTCGCCTGTTCTTTTTCACAGCTGAAGTCACTTATGGTTAGAATCCTCCCCTGGGCTATGCAGGAGAGCCTCTGGCAATTCTGGTAAAACTAGCTCTTCATATTGCTATATGTTCTATTTATTTTTTCACATTTCTGTTAAAACTTTATTAAGCTATAATTTACGTATATAGTAAAGCACACAAATCTTACGTATATAGCCCAGTGAATTTTAACATATACATACATATGTGGAACCACCACCCTGATTAATATGTAGAATATTTCCAACCCCCAGGAAGATCCTTTGTGCCTATTTTCTAGTCAGTGATAGCCAGGACTAGCTGCATAATTTCCACCTCCTAGTCCAGAATGAAAATGTGGGGCTGTTTGTTCAAACAGTGTTAGAAATTTAAACGCGTTGAGAGCAGAGCTTTAAACTAAGCACGCCACCTTTCTTTCTGATTGTGGGACAACCATGAATCCTGCCCTGATTACATTTCCCTACCACCGGGGTTCGTTTTTATTTCAGTTTCTTTTGTGATCAGTTATGTTTGTGAACGTCATGTAAATGGAACCATATAGTACTTACTCATTCATGTTTGTGTTTTCTTTCAGCATGGTATCTTTGAGATTCATCCAGGCTGTTGCATGTTTTAGTAGCTTTTATTTTTCTTGTTGTGTAGATCCTATTGTGAAAATACATATTCCATATTATTTATCTATTCTCCTGCTGATGGATATTTGGAATGTTTCCAGTTACACATAAAGCTGCTTATATATGTCTTTGGGTGGACATTTGCACTTACTTATTTTGGACATATACTTTGGAATGAAATTGATGAGTTATGGGCAAAACACTCTAATAGGCACATTATGTGAAATGATTACTCATTGGAGAATTGCAATTAAAACCACAATGAGATCCCATTAAACACCCACCAGAATGACTAAAATTAAAGAGACTGGAAATTCCGTATGTTGGTGAAAATGTGGGAGAACAAAAACTCTCATACTTGGAGGGAATGAAAATTGGCTCAGTTGCTTAGTTTAGCATATACCTGCATTATGGCCCAGCATCTCCCTTCTAGATATATTTATTTTTTTATCTTCTGAAGCCATTTTGAGGAAACAAATGAAAAAAAAATCTAACATAGATTTCAACCTGATTCTTAACTTATTAATATGCTGCAGTGGCCATTTGAAATAAGACTTAAGCAACGATACCTAAGTTCCTGGTCACGATAGCTAAGTCCCAACATTATATTTTATATCTGCTTAAAAGCTCCTGCAACTTTGTATCTGTTTTCCTGCTCATAGGTAAGACAAAGGAGGCCTGATGAGATAGCAAAAGGTTACCATTAAGAACCATCTTTCATTTCCCATTTTTTTGTAGCTTATTGGTGAAGAAAAGCAGAAGTAAGACATGCAGGCACTTGGTGTTCTGTGCAGTGAAGATTTACGGGCCTCGTGTACATCCCTATGAGACAGGAGTATTAGCTGATTTACAGGCTGTGTTCAGAAAGATCCTCATCACAAATGTGACATTCTTAGAGCAGCAGGCTCAGTCATACCCACTTCCTTAGCTCATTGGTTTCCAAACATGGGCTCCCATCATGTAACTTAAAGTCTTGGGGAAATTTTAGAAAATTTATATTCTTTGGCATTATCCCTTGAAGACTCTGATTCAACAGATCTGTGTTAGGACCTGAAATCTGAGTTTTCAAGAAGCTCTTCGGATGACTCAGCAATAGAGCATGTCATAGCAACAACTATTAGAACTACAGACCTTCATTGAGCCTCAGCCTATTCAGCTGGAGTTTAGATACCTGACCGAGCTTTTGCCAACTCCCTCCCTAGATGGCTAGACCACTTCTTAAATCTCTGCAGAAAAAAATAAAATAAAATAAATAAAGAATAGACTGATGTCGCCATTTACCTAACAAAAGTATAACCTATGACTTTGGCCATCTTTTTTGGCAGGATCTGCTGATTGGATGGATCCATCTTGAATAATAAATGTCTAAACTCTTAAGCTAATCACCATGCCCTTTGGTCCTCTCAGGTGCCTTTGACAGAGTCAGTCTCTGTAGCTGAGCCAGGTAGCAATTAAAACAACCTGTTGAACATTTACTATGGGCTGGTCACTCTGCACATACATTATCTTATTTAATCCTTCAAACAACTTTTGGGAGCTTAATAATATGATTATGCTTAACTTGCCTATTTAAAATTCTAGTAAATAGTGAGGGGCTGTAGTTCTATAAAATTTTTAGAGCTTAAAGTGACTGTATTTGGGGTTACTAGGGAGAAGCCAGGATTTCTGATTTTGTAGATGATAGTTCATGTCTAGACCCAGACTCCTTTGCTTCTTTGCCCAAACACATTGTCGAGGTAACAACATGTATTAGAACATGGCTTTGATTTGTCGTATCATAAATGTTGGACTTGGGAGTCTTAGGATTCCAAAGAAAGGAGTCTTCACTCCCTGCTACAGAGCTAACTTGTTTTTTTGTGATGGATGTAGAAGTGCAGGGATCAGGGGACAATGAAGCCCCTTTTTGGGATATTCATAAATCAGATTGCTCTTCTTAGTTATGTTTTCCTGATGCCCGCAGCAGATTGACCTAAATAAACAGATAATTACTCAGGCTGTTACAAACATTCCTACCCATTTGTGATCCTTTTATTAAATGAAACAGACCTTTTTATTCCTTGTCTGATACTGCTTGTTAATAGAATAATCTTAAAGCTATTAGCATTTAAAGAGGAATTAGACAGAGATGTCCTGAATTGTCCCTTCTCCTGGCTCTTGGTGCTCATGGGACCCTTGCTTTAGCTAATTAGCCTGAAATGAATATTAAATGCATTGATCTCTATCAAGCACATCATGGAAGGGAGGCTTTTGTGAAAGTCATTTCAGTTGAAGACTTAGGTTACCTGCACCTTAGTATTCAACCCAAAACAATAGTGACTGGGAACATTCCAGAAATTAAACACACGTGTATGCGTGTGCATGCACACACACACAGAGACACGGTAACATGAGAAGGACTCCTACATTTCTTGAAATGCCCTTCCTTGCTTCAGCCACAAACCCACACAGTTTAGCTTTACTTCCATGGAAACCAAGCAGAGAATAAAAGTATAACATCTCTTTCCTGTTGTTTTCACCGCACCCTCCAGCCCCCCGTCTCTGGAAAGTTTACAATAACTGTGCCTCATGACATAGCATAAGGAGTGAGTGCTTTGATCTGAAAACAGACACACTTGGGTTCAAATCCTGACTCAGACCTATTCGAGCAGTGGGATCTTAGGAAAATTATCTCCGGAACCTTAAATTTGCATACATTTAATATGAATAAACGTTATTAACATATCCTCTATGTCATAGGGTTGTGAAATGCTTTGTGTACTACCTAGGACAGAGTAAAATCAAGAAACATTGACTGTTAATAATAATGAAGACTGGAATAAGACTTCTGGGATGTGACATTAAAAAACAGCAAAATTCTTGCCAGTTAAATGTAAAATTTACCAGAGATGAGAAGAGAGTGTTTTTCTATTTTGTTTTGTTTAGAGGGACAGTGCGATATAGCATTTTAGTTGGAAAAAGCTGAGCTATGGAGACAATAAAGACCTAAGTTTGAATCCATGCTCTGTCTCTGATTAAGCCCCATTTCTTAAGCTCTTTGAAGCTCAATAATATATAAGATGGGGGTGGTTGCATTCCAAGTGCTATATTGTGTAGATTCTATGAGAAAATGTTTATCAATGGCCAAGCACACTAACCATGTTCAGTATTATATAATTTTAGTTCCCTTTTCCTTTTCTGGGACCAATATCAATGCTTCTTCCACTGATAGAGGTGAAGAGAGAATGGATAATGAATGGTGAGGAGCAAACAGTCAATGGAGCTGGGTGGGAAAGGGGGTGGCAGGAAAGCAATCAATGTAGGAAATGAAGGTGAGGCTACATTTCACTTTATAATTTTAGTTTCTCTTATTCCTGCAAACAACCCTGAAATCCTACTGAGATCATGACTTCCTAGTACTTAAGAAACACTAAACGGATTTTCAAGAAAAAAAACAGCCAACAAACACACTCAAAAACGTAAACACTTTTTTGGAGTGATTTCACTATTTCTTGACAGTTCATGTTGATTCATAGAGCAAGACGGTATGAATTCTGTTCTGTCTGTCTTCTAACTTACTCCTGTGCTTTTCCTGCCAATGAGAGAGTTGAAAGAGAGAGATTGGAATGACATATATATATGTGGTTTTCCTGAAGTTAGGAAAGCATTTTTCTGATCAAATCAGTGACAAATCTGGGCCCTCCACCTACAGACTATGGCTCTTTAATCCTCCAGCCAGACAAAGTCACTGGGAGGTTCTCTCTAGACATTGTGATTTGGATTCCTGCACTTCCCCAGCCTTCTCAATTCTCTAACCACTGCTTAGGGCACCACAGGATTCAGAGCCCTCCTGCTGCAGCTTCAGGGCTGGCTGCAGATCTTCCTTAATTCCCCTCATCATTTGAGTCGCATGTGTGTCTCCCTCACAATACAGCACCTGCACAAGCAGTGCCCTTGTCACCATGACAACCAGCACAGGAAGAGGGTTAGGCAGGCTGCGCAGAAGGAAGTCATGTTCCCACTCTCCTGCTGGTGGCGCTGCTGATGTAGGATCCTTCCCACAGCCACCTTGATGCTGGCTGCCTGGGAACCTTTCACTTCCACTTCTGGAATGGGGGTGGAGGGGTGTGCATAGTGCTGGATCTGAAAGCTAAGTTAAATTCCAGAAGGAACTCATGTGTTGGAGAGAGAGGTTCCAAGGCTCCAGGGAACCAGAGGGTGGCCTTTCTTTTCCTGTTAGCACTGTCTGAGCTTCAGTCTTTTAACAGATGAAGTGCTTTCTTTATGAGCAGGAAGAAAAGAGGAAAAAAGAAATTCAATCAATAATTTATTGAGGCTTCCTGATGCTTAACAAGCCACTTGTCTCACAGGCCTCCACCTCCCAACCATCAGCATAAAATGAACGGGCTTCAGCAAGAAAGCTGAGTAAAAAAGGCAGAAACTGTGGAAAAACAGAAATGAGTTGGAATTCCAGCTCTACTTGTTGAGAGCTTTGTCAGCTCCTGACTTCCCTGAGGTTCTCATTTCAGGCACTAATCACTGATCAGCAAATCAATACCTCATTCATTATGAGGGTCAAAAGAAGCCAATAAGTGTAGTATGCCGGGGATACCTATGACCTGAATGGACAAGAAATTATAACTTTCCTTATATTACTATGAACATAGAAATACCAATAGGGTAAGATTAAGATTTTGAATCTCCTTCATCTGGAAGTAGTGGTAATTGACAGAAAACCTTTAACCAGGATGTGGAAGCAGCTGGTATTTTGAATACTCTCACACCGTAGTTCTTTAAGTACGCTTCCTGGACCTGTAGCATCAACATCACTTGGGAGCTTATTAATGAGCCAATTCTTTGGTACCACTGCAGATATACTGAATCAGACCTCTGGGGGTAGGGCCCAGCAATGTGTATTTTTAACAAGGCCCTGCTTACATTTGAAAACTGAGTGCTCTAATGGAAGTAGAAGACCTTTAAACAAGACTTAGAGCTTCTGGAAGACAGAGAACATGTTATGCCTATTTTTATGTCTCTAGTGCTAAGAGAAGAATGGAAAACTGAGAAACACTCTACAAATGGCACCATGAGAAAATAGAGTAGTAATGTTTGAGGGAGGTTCTTTGTGGATGGATTTAAGGTTTCTTGTCCCTTTTGGGGATAGAGAAGTACTTGAAGCACAAAGAGGTTAGGACAAGGCTACAGAGAGTGTAGGGACCTGAGGTCTGAAGCAGTGGCAGAGATTATTATCACTATTGTCATCATTATTTTTATTAACATTATTATCACCATCATCATCATCATTTAAGTGTCAGCATCATTGCCACAAGACAAGGCGGAACTTGTCACACTGCAGTAGATAACAGCACAAGATGTCTATTAACCAAGCATACTCCAGGCTGACCAGATGAACAAAGACACACATACAAAACCACAAACTCCATAAGTCACCCTTAACGAAGACCATTTAGAAACAGGTATCACCTTTCCTAAATCAACACAATGTGAAAACTTCTTGGTAACATCATTGTTTTTCTCTGGGTCTATCCTATATCTATTTTAATGAGAGATGAAAAGAGAGAAAGAAGAGGAGAAAGGAACACTGCACATCTGAATATTTCTCCAAAGTGGCCAGTTATAAAATAACAATATTTGAAGTTGATAAAAATGAAAATAAAAAAGCAATCAGTAAATAGTCATGGTGAAACAAGGTAGAATAATTTGTTTTCTCTAAGCAAATGGTTGAGTTTGGCCAGAGTTCTGGTTAGAGACAATTAACATGTCCTTTTTTTATATATGAGTTGTAGAATATAAGTGTCACATTTTTTCTTCCCCTATTGTCTGAGCATAGCATGCTTAACTCAGCTTTTCTTTTGAGGTGTGGAAGGTGAGAGCCTGTGTCACATAAAGGGGTATTTCTCAAATAGGAAGACATTCTGAATTCTGGAGGGTCCAAATATGACAACAGCTTGTCCATTTCTCTATTTCCTGCTCCTATGAGAGTGCTGGTGTCAGTAAATGTGGTTGAATGAATATACGAATGTGTTAGAAGTATGCTGATGGAGCAGCTCCTTTGAGATGGCGGTATTGGGTAAGATTTCCTAGAAGTTGCAGTATGTGATGCTATTCCTTTCACCATACCCAGAGTGATCTCATAACATATAAGTCAGATGACATTCCTCCTCTGCCCCAAACTCTTCATTGGCTCTCCACTTTCTCGGGTAAAATAATCAAGATCCTAATAGTGGCATTGTGGCTCCACTGACCAGGTGTCTTGCCATTTTCTTCATTCACTTGGCTTCAGACACACTAGCTTTCTTGCTGTTCTTGGAACAAATCAGGCATGCTTTTGTCTAAAGGCCTCTGCTGCACCAGTTGTCATCTCTACTTGCGTATTCACCTCCTGAATACATGCATAGCTAGGTCTCCTATCTATTTTAAACTTTTGTAGAAAGGTCAGAGTTTCAGAGAAGCATACTCTTCCCACCTTATTTAACACTAGACAACCCTCCTACTTCACCCCAGTGAAGATCCCATACTTGATCTCTCTTATCTGCTCTATATTTTCCCTATAGCACTTACCAACTTTAACACACGATATTATTTATATGTTTTAATGTTTACTGTTTATGTTTTCTCTACTCTTTGAAATGGGTGCATCAAAAAGGCAGAGATTATTTTTGTCTGTTTTGTTTAAAAATGTTTCAATTTACTAGAATAATATCTGGCACATAGTAGATACTTAAGCAGATGCTGAAAGAGTTGAGTGAATGAATGAAAGGTGGATAGGGTGACTATGTAATGAATTTTTAAATGCATCTTTTGAAATGGAGTTACTAATTAGTTCACACAAGACTGAGAATGTTTTTTAAACATGAATTCTTCATTGAAGATATGTAACTCAAACAGTAGGTATTTTGACCCTTGTTCCTAAAGAAAAATAAAATTTCCTTTGTAGAAAAAATAGAAGTCAACTTTGTTACATTCACCAGTAATTGGCTGGAAGGAATTCTGATTGTGAGTTCACATTCACTTTTCAAATGTGTTGCAAGCTTTCACTGGGATTCCAGAAAAGATTTACCCATAAAAGCCAGTTAATAAAGAAATTTCCCAAAGAAATCCTCACTGGAGACCACAAAGTCTCTAAGAGCTCATTAAATTTTTATGCATGCAATATGCTTCTTAACTGCCTGGGTCACTTTGCTGCCAAGACATATCATGAAGGGAAGGTGATAAACCTCATCAATTTTTTTTTCTGTCTCACCCCAGGTCTTAAGTTAGAAAGATTGTCCCCAGCCAGTGCTGATCTACATGGGCTGAGAGGCAACAATGGAATGTTCAAAAGAAACTACAGTGGCTCTTCTCACATGGAGTCTTTCTGAGATGTGAGAGAACCTTGGGTCCTTGGGATACTTTTATTGCTAAAGAAACTGAATTTCTTTTAAGTGGGGTTATATTGAAAAGAGGAACAGGGTTGGGGAGCCATTGTTATGCCCTCCTAGACCAAATGTGCACAGCTTTCAAGTTAAAACTTTGCACTGGAAAATCTAAAAGATGTCTCTATAGACCTTTGTATTAGAAACTCTCTATGATACGTGAATCAGTGGGATCTTTTGGAACCTATGTTCCTTGTGCCCACATGAATAGACTAGGCTCCCCTGGGAAGAAAAGAAGAGTAAACTGCTTATGCATTTGGTGGGGCTGGGAAGGGGGTGGGGAGAGGGAGCATTAACTCAGAAGACCAAGTCAAATGCAGGCACAGAGATGTAAGATATGACTTGAGAGAGAGAAGAAGAGCTGTTTGTAATTAATATGTTTGCTATTCAGATATTTGATTTCTTACAGAAAAATCTACTTCATGTAATTTTCCAGTACCACTTTTTAACTATACATATAGTCTGAGGTTTAATTTTATTAAAGCATTTCTGTTGCAATAAACTTGTATATTATAAAATTCAAAATACATGAAAGAAAATGGGAAAACATTGCAATCACAAAAATATATTGTCTTGGAAAGGCCCCAAATGAAATAGTTTTATCAGATAAATGCTTAACAGGCTTTTTTTTTCACATTTTATTTAGACATTCTGACATTAAGAAGACTTATCAGATAATATTTTTGTGACCTACAATTGGTTGCTGCCAAAATGTGAAAAAAGGATATCCCTTTTTGAACACTGATTATATGTCAAAATGTTTGCTACATGATAAAGTCTTTATTTCACCAAATCTCCATGGCTATGAGAAAAAAATCTCAATTTTATATAAGGGAAAACTGACACTTGCAGAATATGAATTATTTGTTCAGGGTCTCACAGTTTCCAATAGAAGCAACAGCCACAAACTCAACTGTTTTTTGACTATTAAACGTATGCTCATTAACTTCTACATGCATACCCTCTCCAATGAGAAAATAATTTTATTTCCTGCCAATAGAATCTGATTCAGTCTGCTTTTTCCTATTTTAACTGGTAAAATAATATAAACAATTTAAAAGGAAAAGCATTCCTAATGCTAACAATATAAAATAATAAAGTCACATTTACATGTACATTTAGACAAATATATTTTTGCATGGCTGTAATAATCAGTATGAACACAGTTTTATGCTCTGCTTTTCAAATTCCAAGTTATTTTACATGCTATTGCAAAATTTTAAGATAGTGTTGTCGCGTTTTTAACTTTTTATTTTAGGTTCAGGGATACATGTACGGGTTTATTATATACATAAATAGCGTGTCACGAGGAATTGGTGTGCAGATGATTTCATCACTCATGTAATACGATTAGTAGTACCTGATAGATAGTTTTATGATCCTCACCCTCCTCCCACCTTCCACCCTCAAGTTGGCCCCAGTTTCTATTGTTCCCTTCTTTGTGTCCATATGTACTCAATATTTAGCTCCCATTTATAAGTGAGAACATGCAGTATTTGGTTTTCTGTTCCTGTGTTAGTTCATTTAGGATAATGGTCTCTAGCTCCATTTATGTTGCTGCAAAAAACATGATCTTATTCTCTTTTATGGCTATGTAGTCTTCCATGGTGTATAGATACCATATTTTCTTTATCCATTCTACCACTGATTGGGTGTTTAGATGGATTCTATGTCTTTACTACTGTGAATAGTGGTGCAATGAATGAATGCATGCATACGTTTTTATAGTAGAATGATTTATATACCTTTGGGTATATATACAATAATGGATTGCTGAGTTGAGTAGCAATTCTCTTTTAAGTTCTTCTAGAAATTACTAAGTTGCTTACTACAATGACTGAAATAATTTATATTGCCACCGGCAGTATATAATCATTCCCTTTTTTCCACAGCCTCACCAGCATGTTATTTTTTGACTTTTTAATAATAGCCACTCTGACTGTTGTGAAATACTCTCTCATCATGGTTTTGATTTGTATTTCTCTAATTATTAGTGATGTTGAATATTTTTCTATATGCTTGCTGGCCACGTGTACATCTTCTTTTGAAAAGTGTCTGTTCACGTTCTTTGCCCAATATTTAGTGGGTCATTTGGTTTTTGCTTGTAAGTTTGTTTAAATTCCTTATAGAGTCTGGATATTCGACCTTTGTTAGATCCACAGTTTGCAAACAGTTTCTCCCATTCTGTAGATCATTTTTTTTTTACCCTGTTGATAGTTTCTTTTGCTTTGCAGAAGCTTTTCAGTTTTATTTGGTCCATTTGTCAATTTCTGTTTCTGTTGCAATTGCTTTTGGAGTCTCTGTTATGAAATCTTTGCCAGTTCCTATGTATGGAATGGTATTTCCTATGTTATCTTCTAGAGTTTTTATAGTTTTAAGTTTTACATTTAAGTTTTTAATCCATCTTGAGTTAACTTTTTGTATATGGTATAAGAAAAAGGTCCAGTTTCAGTCCTCTGCATATGGCTAGCCAGTTATCACAGCACCATTTATTGAACAGGGAGTCCTTTATCCATTGCTTGTTTTTGTCAACATTGTAGAAAATCAGATAGTTGTAGGTGTGTGGCATGATTTTTGGGCCCTCTATTGGTTCCACTGGTCTATGTGTTTGTTTTTTGACCTATACCATTCTGTTTTGGTTACTGTGACCTTGTAGTGTAGTTTGAAGTAGAATAATGTGATGCTTCCAGCTTTGTTCTTTTTGCTTAGGATTGTCTTGGCTCTTCAGGCTCTGTATTAGTCAGGGTTCTCTGAAGAGAGAGAATTAATAGGATAGAAGTATATATGAAGGGGAGTTTATTAAGGAGTAGTGACTCACATGATCACAAGGTGAAGTCCCAGAATAGGCTGTCTGTAAGCTGAAGAACAAGGAAGCCAATATGAGTCCCAAAACCTCAAAAGTAGGGAAGCCAACAGTGCAACCTTCAGTCTGTGACCAAAGGCCTGAGAGCCCCTGGCAAATCACTGGTATAAGTCCAAGAGTTCAAAAGCTGAAGAACTTGGAGTCTGACGTTCAAGGGCAGGAAGCATCCAGCAAGGGAGAAAGAGGAAGCCTGGAAGACTCAGCAAGTCCCTCCAACTTCTTCTGCCTGTTTTATTCTAGCTGCACTGGCAGCTGATTAGATGGTGCCCACACAGATTGAAGGTGGGTCTGCCTCTCCCAGTCCACTGACTCAAATGTTAATCTACTTTGGCAACACCCTCACAGACACACCCAGTAACAATACTTTGCATCCTTCAATCCAAGGAAGTTGATACTCAATATTAACCATCACAGGCTCTTTTATGGTTCCACATGAATTTTAAAATAGTTTTTTTTCTAATTCTATAAAGAATGTCCTTGGTAGTTTCATAGGAATAGCAATTGAACCTATAAATTGCTTTGGGCAGTATGGACAATTAATATTATTTATTCTTCCTATCCATGAGCATGGGATATTTTTCCATTGGTGTCATCTCTGATTTCTTTGAGCAATGTTGTGCAATTCCCATTGTCAAAATCTTTCACCCCCATGATTAGAGGTATTCCTGGGTGTGTTATTCTTTTTGTGGCTATTATGAATGTTATTGTTTTCTTGATTTGGCTCTCAGCTTACCTGTGTTTAGGGTATAGGAATGCTGCTGATTTTTGTACATTGATTTTGCATTCTGAAACTTTGCTGAAGTTGTTTATCATGTGTATTAGTCTATTCTCACACTGCTATGAAGAAATACCCAAGACTGGGTAATTTATAAAGGAAAGAAGTTTAATTGGCTCACAGTTTTGCATTGCTTGGGAGGCCTCAGGAAACTTACAATTATGGTGGAAGGCAAAGGAGAAGTAGGCACCTTCTTCACAGGGTGGCAGGATGGAGTGAGTGCAAGCAAGGGAAATGTCAGATGCTTATAAAAGCATCAGATCTTGTGAGATTCACTCACTATCATGAGAACAGCATGCGGGGCTGGGCATGGTGGCTCACTCCTGTAATCCCAGAACTTTGAGAGGCCGAGGCAGGCAGATTACTTGAGGTCCAGAGTTCAAGACCAGCCTGGCCAACATGGTGAAATCCTGTCTCTAGTAAAAATACAAAAAAATTAGCCAGACATGGTAGTGTGTGCCTATAGTCCCAGCTACTGGGGAGGCCAAAGCAGGAGAATCACTTGAATCCAGGAGGTGAAGGTTGCAGTGAGCTGAGATTGTGCCACTGAACTTTAGCCTGGGCAAAAAGAGTGAGACTCCATTTCAAAACAAAAAAGAAAGAAAAAGAAAAAAAAAGAACAGCATCGGGGAAACAGCCCCCATGATCTGATTACCTCACCCTTGTCCTGCCCTTGACACATGGGGATTATGGGGAGTACAATTCAAGATGAGATTTTGTGTGGGGACACAGCCAAACCATATTATCAGCTAATGGAGGTTTGGGGCCAAGGCTATGGGGTTTTCTAGATACAGAATCATGTTATATGCAGATAAGGATAATTTGACTTCCTCTCTTCCTATTTGTATGCCTTTTATTTCTTTCTCCTGCCTGATTGCTCTGGCAAGGACTTCAAGCATTATGTTGAATAGGAAGGGTGACAGAGACCATGGGTGTCTTGTTCCAGTTTTCAAACACTTCCAACATTTTCCCATTTGGTATGATGTTGGCTGTGGTTTTGTCATAGATGGCTGTTATTATTTTGAAGTATGTTCCTTCATTGCCTAGTTTATTGAATGTTTTGAACATGTTGAAAACTAAACTCTGATTATTTTATCTCGTCTAAATTCCTATCTAAATGGTCTGGGGATTCATACCCTACAAATCATAATCTGGGGATTCATACCCTACACATCATAAATTCTCATCAGATGAGTTTTACTTAACCCTATATATCGTGACTTACTTTTCAACCTGACTCTGGCATAACATTATGAGAGGAGGAAGAAAATCAAAATATTTTACCCCATAACACCTTTCTTTGCCATATCTTGAAATGTCCCTGCAAAGCAGTCATTTGTGTGGGGAAATCTGCATCTGTAAGAATCTCTATTAACATAGCTAGATCTTTTTCTTCCCAATTCTAAAGAGATTAACTAAAAGTCTAGCACCTTTTAAAGATCTGAATAGGAAACTTGTCATCTGTTGTCTCTAAGGCAGCCACTATAAGACTTCAAAGAAATCTCGGTCTCCACAATCTTTTATCTTAACCTGAACATTTCCTTTCTATCAATCCCAGGTCTTTAGACAAACTCAACCAATTGTCAACCAGAAAAATGTTTAAATGTACCTATAGACTGGAGGCCACCCCACTTTGAGCTGTCCTGACTTACTGGACCAAACCAACCTCTCTTAAATGTATTTGATTGATGTCTCATGCCTCCCTAAAATGTATAAAACCAAGTTGCACCTTGACTATCTTGGGCACATATTCTCAGGACCTCCTGAGGGCTGTGTCATGGGCCATGGTCATTCGTATTTGGCTCAGAATAAACCTTTTCAAATATTTTAGAGTTTGACTCTTTTCATTGACAAAGCGATGTTCTATTTTATCAAAAGCCTTTTCTGCATCTTTTTGTTTTGAGAAAGCTTCTCTCTGTTATCCATGTTGGAGCGTAGTGCTGTGTTTGTGGCTCACTGCAGCCTTGACCTTCTAGGCCCAAGTGATCTTCCCACCTAGTTCTCCCGAGTAGCAAGTAGCTGGGACTATAGATGCATGCCACCATGCCTGGCTAATTTTTTGTATTTTTTTGTAGAGATGAAGTTGCCCAGGCTGGTCTTGAATTCTTGGCTGAAGCAATCTGCCCACCTTAGCCTCCCAAGTTGCTGAGATTATAGGCATGAGCCACCGCACTCAGACCCTTTTCTGCATCTATTGAGATAGTCATGTGGTTTTTGTTTTTAGTGCTGTTTTTGTGATGAATTACATTTATTGATTTGCATGTGTTAAACCAGCCTTGCATCCCAGGGATAAAGCCTAATTGACCGTGGTGGATAAGCTTTTTGATGTCCTGCTGGATTTGATTTGCCAGTTTTTTGTTGAGGAATTTTGCATTGATATTCAAGGATATTGACCTAAAGGTTTTGTTGTTGATGTTGTGTCTCTGCCAGGTTTTGGTATCAGGATGAAGCTGGCCTCATAGAATGAGCTGGGGAGGAGTCCTTCCCCTTCAATGTTTTGAAATAGTTTCAATAGGAATGGTACCAACTCTTCTTTATATATCTGCTAGAATTTGGCTATGAATCTATCTGGTCCTGGGCCTTTTCTGGTTTGTAGACTTTTTCTTATTGATTCAATTTCAGAACTCATTATTGATCTATTCAGGGATTTAATTTCTTCTTGGATCAGTCTTGAGAGGTTGTGTGTGTCCAGGCATTCATCCATTTCTTCTGGGTTGTTTAGCTTATGAGCACAGAGATGTTCACAATAGTCTCTGAGTGATTTTTGTACTTCTCTGGGGTCAGGGGTAAAGTCCCCTTTGTCATTTTCTGACTGTGTGTATTTGCATTTTCTCCCCCTTTTTTTAAATTAGTCTAGCTAGTGATCTATCTTACAAATTTTTTCAAAGAACCAACTGCTGGATTTGTTATCTTTTGAATGATTTTATGTCTCAGTTTTTTTTTTTTTTCAGTTCAGCTCTGATTTTGGCTATTTCTTGTCTTCTGCTAGCTTCAGGGTTGGTGTGCTATTATTTCTTTAGTTATTCTAGGCAAGTTATTAGGTTGTTAATTTGAAATCTTTCTAACTTTTTGATGTGAACATTTAGTGGTATAAACTTCCCTCTTAACACCACTTTTCTGTGTCCCAGAGATTCTGACATGTTGTATCCTTGTTCTCATTAGTTTCAAATAATTTCTTTATTTCTGTCTTAGTTTCATTATTTATCCAAAAGTTAATCTGGACCAGATTGTTTAATATCCATGTAATTATATGGATTTGAGCAATTTTGTTAGTACTGATCTTTATTTTTATTGCACTACAGAATAAGAATGTGGTTGGTATGATTTCATTTTTTTATTTTGAATTTTCTAAGGATTGTTAATGTCTGATTGTTTAGTCTATTTTAGATTATGTGCCATGTGAAGATGAGAAGAATGTATATTCTGTTGCCTTTGGGTGGAGTGTTGTATAGAAGTCTATTAAGTCCATTTGATCAAGTGTCAATTTCAGGTCTTGAATATCTGTTAGTTTTCTGCTTTGATGATCTGTCTAATATTGTCAGTGGGGTGTTGAAGTCTCTCAGTATTATTGTGTGCAAATCTAAGTCTCTTTCTAGGTCCCTAAGAACTTGCTTTATGAATTTGTATGCTCCTGTATTGAGTACATATAAGTTTAGGATAGTTTGTCTTGTTGAATTGAGCATTTTACCATTATGTAATGCCCTTCTTTGCCTTTTGTTGATCTTTGTTGGTTTAAAGTCTCTTTCGTCTGAAATTAGAATAGCAATCCCCGCTTTTTCTCTGTTTTCTGTTTGCTTGGAAGAACTTTTCTCCATCCCTATACTTTGGATCTATCCATATTATTTCATGTGAGATGTGTCTCTTGAAGACTGCATATATTTGGGTCTTACTTCTTTATTGAACTTGTCACTCTGTGCCTGTTAATTTGGGCATTTGGTCTATTTACATTCAACGTTAGTATTGATATGAGTGGATTTGTTCCTGTCATCATTTGATTAACTGGTTATTATTCAGACCTCTTTGTGTGGTCCTTTATAATGTCACTGGTCTATGTACTTGTGTTTTGGTAGTGGCTGGTCATGTTCTTTCCTTTCCATGTTTAGCACTCTCTTCAAGACCTCTCATAAGGCAAGTATGATGATAATGAATTCCCTTAGCATTTACTTGTCTAAAAAAGATCCTATTTCTCTTTCTCTTATGAAACTTAGTTTGGCTGGATATGAAATCCTTGTTTGAAAATTCTTTTCTTTAAGAAGGCTTAATATAGGCCCAATTCTCCTCTGGCTTATGAGGTTTCTGCTGAAAGATCTGCTGTTTGCCTGATGGAGTTCCCTTTGTAGGTGACTTACTACTTTTCTCTAGCTGCCTTTAATATATTTTCTTTCATTTTGACCTTGAAGAATCTTCGATATGTCTTGAGGATTGTCTTGTGTAGTATTTTGCATGGGTTATCTGCATTTCCCAAATTTGAATATTGGCCTCTCTAGAGAGGTTAGAGAAATTTTGATGGACAATATCCTGAAATATGTTTTCAAGTTTCTTGCTTTGTCTCCCTGTCTTTCAGGGATAGCAATGCATCTAGATTTTGTCTCTTTACATACTCCCATATTTTTTGGAGGTTTTGTTCATTCTTATTTATTGTTTTATCTTTATTTTTGTCTGACTGAGTTGCTTCAGTAATCTGGTCTTCTGTAATTGCTCTGAGATTCTATCCTCAGCTTGGTCAATTCTGCTGTTAATACCTGTGATTGTATTCTGAAATTCTTGAAGTGAGCTTTTCAGTTCTACTAGTTTGGTTTGGCTCTTTCTTAAAATGGCCATTTCATCTTTTATCTCCTGTATTGTTTTATCGCATTCCTTAGAATCCTTGAATTGGGTTACAACTTCCTCCTGAATATCAGTGATCTTTGTTCCTATGAATATAATCAAACGAAGACACTCGGGCTTTCTGAGTTGCCAAAGTTCTTGTGCTGGTTCTTTCTCATCTGTGTGGGCTGATGATCTTCCTCCGATTTTTGAAGTCGCTGTCCTTTGGATTTTTATGTTTTTGATTTTATCTTTTTTGATGTCCTTAGGGGTTTGATTGTGGTATAAGGTGGGTTCAGTTGACTGACTTCATTTCTGGTAAATTTTTGGGGAGTTACGGCTCAGCTCAGTACTCCAAGGATTCATGCTTTAACTCTGGAAGTTGGTATTGGGCTCCTGGCTTTGTTCACTGGCCCCTCAAAGTTGGGAACCTGCTGCATTGGAGGGGCTGAAGTGTTCCCAGACCACTGACCACAACACTCCAAAGGGTGATGGCCACCAAGGTGATTTGTCCAGTAATATCATCAAGATCCGTCCTCATTCACATGTGCCAGCAGCAGCCACAGCACATAGGGGTGTATACTCATTGGCTTGGGTAGGGCACTCGTGGGCTGGGCCTTCTGGTGTCTGTGTGGGCATTGGCAGTGCTGGTGGTGGCAGCACCCCTAGGAGGCACCCCCGTTGGGCATCCAAGGCTGCACTGCAAGCAGGCACAGCAAGGCTTGGACCCTGGGAGAAGCCAGAAGACAGAAGGATGCCCAGCCCCATCTCACAGACAAGTTTACCCTACTCTGTTCATGCTCATAAATTCCTGTATGGTTTAAGGCTCCTAGGGGAGCATGGCAAGCCTTGGGGGATGGCATACCTGGCCATTCCCCAGAGATGTCTGGCACCAAACCTTCTGGGCTGTGCACAGGCTGAAGTTCTGCCCCTACTACCTCTATAAGCAGTTCTCCTTGCCAGCTCACGTGTCCATGGGGGTTGTGGGGTCTCCTGCTGCCAGGATTCCAGAGGTCCATGGTGACAGCTGGTTGCTCCTTGTCTCCTCAAGTCACCTCTTTCCCAGGACTTGTTGGGGGCCAGAAACTAGTTCTGGTGCACAGTAGCCCCATTCAATGTTCCTAGCTTCCTCCCCCTTCAGCCCAGCATCTGTGTCCTCCCTCCATCACTCTCAATGCCCTCCCTCTAAAGATCTGCTCAGAGTGTGCCAGTCTTCACAGTATCCTGGTCCTTCAGTGGCAGATGTTCCTCCTAGCTGTGTCTAGTTGGCCATCTCGCCTCCATCCAGCACTTTTAAGATAGTTTTAATACCTATATAACATTCCAATTAGTGGATATACCATAGTGTAGGATATTTTAATTATTTCCCATATTAGTATAACTGATAACACAGTCAATATTTTAATTGAAAGGGGGAAAAGCCTAAATAAATAAATTCTCTAGGACAATTGGTGAGAATGGCATTACTGAGACATCTTTATTTCCCTTGACATACATTGATATATTGCTTTTCAAAATGATAGACCCATATTGTAATTACATCAAAAATTTATTGAGTTTATAAATTTTACCACATCCTTGCTGTCACTGGCACTTGTGATCTATTTTAAAAGTTTATCTGTGCAATAGCAATGAAATGTAACCTCATTGTTTTAATTTATGTTTATCTGCAAGACTGAACATTCTTCCATGTTCATTTCTAATTTTCTTTCTCTTTTTATCATGCAAATCATTGGCATCACTTAAATACCCAATTTTGTTATTTCTAGTATTCACAAAACATATATATGTATCTCAATCTACCTAACTTACTATATATATTTATATATTTTTATAAATATCTCTGGGTGTATTTCATCTTCAGGTTGAAGGACACATAAAATTCAAATGATTATTTTTTCTGAGGGATACCAAAACTTCTAGTAACTTTAGCATTTCCTACTGAGAAATCAAGATTTATTTATTTTATTTTTTAAATACTTCATTTTAATTTTTATGGATACATTTACCTTCCTTCAACTCCTGCTTCCAATAGCTCAATGAAACAGTCTCCCCGGTCAAATTAAGAAATTGTGAAAGAAATTATTGTTAGAATATTAATGATCTCAGACTGGTGACACCTCTGGATATGAAGGATAGGGCCCTGGAATGAAGACGATAGATGCAGTGCCTCGTACACTATGGTGCCTATACTTGTGCCATGCTTTGGCCCCTGAGAGGGAGTGCTAGGATTAAGTCCAAGATCTTAGTGCTGGTTTATGGACTGACTAACATACAACATAAAGAATAAATTCTGAGTGATACCCACAACAGCTTCCATCCAGAGACCTAGTTTTCAATTTTAGGCATTTTTTGATCTCATAAATTTACATGAAATGGTGGCCAGAGAAAGAATTTATAAAATTTATAAACGATAAAACTTATTCTTGAAGGAAAAACAATAGAATATGTCTACTTGGTTGAAGTGTTTCTGCATTAGAAGCAAGTACGAATGATTCCAGAGGGGATAAAGGGCTTGTACCAAGACAGACTAAACTCAGTTTTTCATATTGCTTGGTAAACACAACTATATGCTGGGCAGTACCTCAGAAGCTCTGACCAGCAAATGGGCAACAAAAGGCCATGATATTTGGTGGCAGTAATGAGAATGAGAATGCATGGCACTTGTTTTTCCTTTTTCCTTCATGGTTAAAACCCTTTTTGATATGAATTAGAAACTGAATACCTACACTACAATAGGCATTCCAAAATCGTTAGATGGTCTGGGAACTGACCTAATTCCCTTAAAAAAAAAATTCTTTTAACTTACCATTCATTCACTAACAAGAGATGTGGGACAAAACATGACACAAAAGAAAATTTAAACTTTAGCATTGTAAGTCTTAAGTTCTTTTCCTCTCATTTAGTCAGTGTCCTTGGACTAGATATATAATATATCTGAGACTAGGTTTTTTATTTATGAAACAAAGGGTGAGATCAAATCACCAGGTTTTCTTCCACTTGTCACATTCTGTGATTCTTTGGTAACATATACATCAAACACCTACTTCTGGCTCATGAGGAAAACATTTTTAAAGTGTAAGACATATTCTTCACTCTGCTGAAACTTTCCACCTTGTGACCCACCCACCCACCCCAAATAACACAGGCAAGTAAGAGTGCAGGCCCCCAAAGGAATGACTCATACAATGGCAGAGCTCTGAGGGTGTTCTTTATGATGGGTGGGCACTATACAGTGTGTAGAGGCTGGAAAGAGAATATGATGGCCTTGAAGCCACACATCGCTGTGTTCCAGACCCTATCTCAGAGCCTGCTCTCCGTGCTGCTTTAATTATATGACTGGACTTCTAGGGTTTAGTTTGCTTTTCTGTCAGATGGGAAAAGCAGTCATTAACTTGAATGGTTCATTGTCCTAAGAGTGAGAGACGGTGTGTGCAGGGGGTTAGTAGTTCCCTGATAGGTAGTAGACAAAAAAAAAAAAAAAGGTAAACAAGATACAGAAAAGGAAGAAGATGGAGAAAGAGGAGACACATGGGCAGTGTAAGCAAGGGGTTAGTGTTGGAAATTAGAGAATTTTTTTTGCATGTGTAGTAAAGGAGTTAGTAAAATGTAACATATTTTTATATCATCCCCATGATAAAGATTAACATTCTAGTGTGGCCAAAAAAGGGGGAGTAAAAATATGTAATTACTGTGATGAATACTTCTTAAGTCCATGGTACATTGAGAATTTATAGGAAGGTGACCTGAATTAATCTGATGTGTCAGAAGATGATTCCATAAGGAAGTGATCTCTGTGCTCAAATCCTGAAAGAGACTATATTGGAACTGATTAGTTGAAAGGAACAATACACACCAAGTCCTTGAGGTGGGAAGGAGAGTGGCATATTGAGCAACTGAAGGGTTGATATAACTGGAGCAAGGAAAGGGGTAAGAATGCCACCAGAGCATCCAGAGAAGTGAGTGGGGCCTTGGAGGCCACAGTAAGTATTTGGCCTTTATCCTAAGATTGATGGGAAGCCATTTTTTTACTTTAGGCATGGCAGAGGCGTGATTTTATAGTTACATATGTAATTATAACGTGTTTACAATTAATAGGTCCTATTCAATAAAGGATAACCAAATAATTTCTTTCTGGACATATAGGTTACTTTTGTGTGTCAAGCCATAATATCTTCTTTAAAATTTTATTTTAATTTCTGGGATACGTGTGCTGAAGGTGAAGGTTTGTTACATAGATATACATGTGGCATGGTAGTTTGCTGGACCTATCAACCCATCATCTAGGTTTTAAGCCCAAATACCGAATGCATGCGGGCATAATATCTTTAACAGTGATTTTTTTCCTACTGTTCACATACTGTGCTGAGTTCAAAATCACCGACAACAATAAAGGAGTTTCCTTAAGGTATAAGTTTTTTTGGTGTGTGCTAAAACTTAAAAGCTAATGAGGTCATCACCTTTAAAAGGCTTAGTCTTGAAAGGACTGTTCTCTCAAATGTGTTTTTTTCTTTGATAGGTGCTTGGTTATGTGCCATCCTTTCAACAAACACATATAATAAGCCAGCATTATGCACTATGGAACTAGAGATAGAGCCATGAACAAAAGAGGTAACTCTTCCACTCTTATGAAACTCTTTCTTTTCTTTTTCAAATCACTATCAAAAGCCTTTCATTCTGATATAAAATCCTGTATGTATCCTGGCAGGCTTTCAAATTTATATTTATACTGACCTTCATGCTTTTATTCTTGCATTCATCTGTCATCTTCTTGACAATTCTCCATGAAAGTAGAGACAATAGAAGGTAAAGGCTAAGAACACAGGTTTATAGTGAGACAGACTGGGGTTCAAATTCTGGCTCAGCTATGTTTATCACTTTTGTGCTAAGTAGTTTACCTACGTCATTTTAAACTCAAAAAGTACCTCCATGTGATAAATGTTATTTTCATTTGTAGAGGAAAAAAGTAAAGCTCAGAGAGGTAAAGATATTTTCCAAATGTCACACACCTAACTCTAAACTGTAAGACAAGGCTACTTAAGGTTAGCAACTTTTTTTCTATAGTGATAAAATATATTTTATATTTCCCTAACTCAGATATTCTGCAAATCTCTTGAGGCAGGCCAATCACTAGGCCTCTAAATACTTTGGCTTATTAAAACCATCAGTCTGCTGTTGAAAGAGTTGCCTGGCCAGAGAAAACATTTTCTCTTGTTTCTTAATGAAAAATCAAGTCTGCTGATTAATACAAAGTAATAGTTTTGACAGCTTCCTCTTGACAGAGCATTTGCTTTCTCATTTCCTAATGAATTTCTCCCCAAAGAAACTCATTAAATTTCAAGGCACAAGGCTCCCTAGAGACCTCCCCACTCCCACCATTCACTGACTAAAATATTCATCATTTAGAGACCCATAAACCTTGCCAAATTCCCTGAGTTGGTCTCATTGAATCTATTGCTTACCAAGAATTCTTTGTTTCATGTTATGATCAAAATAGGCCTTGTCCCATATCAATAGGAAAGGAAACAGTCTCTCTTACATACAGATGTGAAACAGTTTGCTTATGAGGTGGAGTGATTTAATAATAATTATTATTATATTATTATTACTATTATAACATTACTATAATTACAGTTGAGTTAGAGGTCATGGCTGATTGGGGTATAAACACAGAAGTTTTGTTTGTTCTGATAAGAACTCCAAAACACACTCAATTTATTTACCTTTCCCACAGGAGCAGGTGCCCTTCGTGTTATCTCTAGTTTCATAGCATTTTATTTTATTTAATTTTTTTGAGATGGAGTCTCACTCTGTCACCCAGGCTGGAGTGCAGTGGCACAATCTTGACTCACTGCAACCCCCGCCTCCCGGGTTCAAGCAATTCTCCTGCCTCAGCCTCCCAAGTAGCTGGGACTACAGGCGCACGCTGCCATGTCCGGCTAATTTTTTGTATTTTAGTAGAGATGGGGTTTCACTGTGTTGCCCAGGCTGGTTGCGAACTCCTGAGCTCAGGCAATCTGCCTGCCTTGGCCTCCCAAAGTCCGTTTGATTTTAGTTCTTAGGTTCAACTTCTCAATATTAAAGCTTTGAACTTCTCTCTGATAGAAAGCTCTTTTTCACCTTCCCTACCTGCAGCAGCTCCCCCTCCTTCTTCCATTTGCACCTACAGAACATGGCTAAGCCAGTGGCGATAAGGCATGAAGGTCTGCTCTCCTTTATACATCCCTCCTTCACTATGGTAACATCTTGGCTGTTGGCGTCAGAGGAAAGAGCAAGGAAAATAGGGAAGTTGGGCTTTTTTCTGGGCTGCTTGGGATTGCTTTCCTACCTTGCTGATTGTTGTCTTGGTGCGGACTGGTGGTGGTTTTAAAAACCCTCATGCTGATGGGGGCTCATATCCACATAGCCCCACCTAACATTGGATCCTTTCTCAGCCTCTAAGTCCCACTAGTGGTGTCATGCCATCTTCCTCTACTGTGTATGTCTCCGTGCCCCCCACTCCATGGTCCTCCAAAAGCCTGAACTCCCCATCTCACCTATCCCTGTGGCCTCACTACTGGTAGCTATGGGCACTAATAGGGTCTGTTTTCCATACTTGTTTATTTATCATGTCATTCCTCCTTGAGGCTCTTTTCCTTGCCCTCAGAGCATTGGGCAGGTAATCAGACTGGCAGAGTCCTGGATATCTTCCTGGGTTATAACTGCCACTCCCCTCTTGTGTTGTTAGTGTCCTAGGGTAGCCAAAGCAAAGTACCACAACTGGGTGGCTTAAAACAGCTGAAATTTATCTCACAGTTCTCGAGGCTAGAAGTCCAAAACCAAGGTGTTGGCAGAGTCACACTCTGTCCGAGACTCTGAGTAGAATCCTTCCGTGTCTCTTCCTGACTTTGGTTGTGGCTGTCAATCATTGTCATTCCTTGGGCTACAGCTGCATCACTCCAATCTCTGTTTCCATGGTCACATGGTGTATGAATCAGGGTTCTCTTAGAGGGACAGGACTAATAGGAGATAGATACTTATATATATATAAAGGGGAGTTTATTAAGTATTAACTCACATGATCACAAGGTCCACAGTAGGCTGTCTGCAAGCTGAGGAGCAAGGAGAGCCACTCTGAGCCCCAAAACTGAAGAACTTACGATGTTTGAGGGCAGGAAACATCCACCACGGCAGAAAGATGTAGGCTGGGAGGTGAAGCCCATCTCTCCCTTTCGTGTTTTCCTGCCTGCTTTATATTCACTAGAAGCTGATTAGGTTGCCCACCAGATTAAGGGTGGATCTGCCTTCTCCAGCCCGCTGACTCAAATGTTAATCTCTTTTGGAAACACCCTCACAGACACACCAAGGATTAATACTTTGTATCCTTCAATCCAATCAAGTTGACACCCAGTATTAATCATCACAAGTCCGCCCCTTGTCAACTTGAGCCCATACACATCTCCTGAGATCATATATAATCTTCAAATAAAGATAATAATGAGGTCATAATTACACCTAACATAATACAGCTATCCTTCATACAACCAGAAATACACCAATCCCCAACCCAAATACTATTACATAAAGTTAACAATACTTAAATGCTGATATGAAGTCAATAAATCTTATGTCACATGATGAAGGAAAAGGAAGTAAAATGAAGATATTTTCTTAGTACAAGTGTATACATGCACAAACATTTTTAACAAAAGAAGGAGGAAATACTGATAACAATTACAGTCCTCGTTTCTGCAGCTGGTCATGTGGTCGTAACTGGTATTGATGACTACCTTCTTCTACTACCCATTCTGTATTCCCCTTGCCTTAAGCAAGTACCTCAGCAGGTTGTAGGTTTTTTCCTGGTGGAGTGACCCAAACCTTCATTCCTGAAGGGTCTGGGTCATTTGTAGTCCTGTCTGCATTGGGCTGTTGTAGTTTTCCATTGACCTTAATCACAGGACATGGGAATACCCTAATGGATCTCCTGTATTCCATGCATACTCTTCCCTACCTCTGTTATGGAGTAGTAGACTGATTTCATCTTGATAGTCCAGGTCAGTCACCCCAGTCAACACTGTAACTCCCTTCTTAGCCTGTTGACTTAAAGGTAGGAGGAGCCCAAAGTGTCCAAGTGGCAAGCTTAACTTCCTATTTAATGAAATCATTGTCTCTCCTGGTGGCAGTGTTCCTCCCTCTGGAACTAAGACTTCTAGGCCAGCAGAATGTAATGTCATGGGAACAGGAAGCAAAAATTTTGCTAGTGGATCACTAGGGGTGATGGTGAGTTGTGCCACTTCCACCCCCTGATTCCTGGACCCATGATTCCTGGCTATGGGTGAAACAGTATCATATATTGGATGCTGATTCAGAGCATACACAGCCTTCTGGAGAGCTTTGCCCCAGCCCTGCAAAGTACTGTCACCTAGTTGGTGCTGTAGTTGTGACTTCCAAAGGCCATTCCACCATTCTATCAATCTAGCTGCTTCAGGATGATGGAGAACATGGTAAGACCAGTGAATTCCATGAGCGTGAGCCCACTGCCACACTTCTTTAGCCATAAAGTGAGTGCCTTGGTCAGAGCCAATGCTGTGTGCAATACCATGATGGTGGATAAGGCATTCCGTGAGTCCGTGAATGGTTGTCTTGGCAGAAACATGCCATGCAGGCAAACCCATATCTGGAGTAAGTGTCTATTCCAGTGAGGACAAACCTCTGCCGTTTCCATGATGGAAGAGGGCCAATGTAACCAACCTGCCACCAGGTATCTGGCTGATCATCCCAAGGAATGGTGCCATATCGAAGGTTCAGTGTTGGTCTTTGCTGCTGGCAAATTGGGCACTCAGCAGTGGCCGTAGCCAGGTCAGCCTTGGTGAGTGGAAGTCCATGTTGCTGAGCCCACGCGTAACCTCCATCTCTGCCACCATGGCCACTTTGTTCATGGGCTCATTGGGCAATGACAGGGGTGGCTGGGGAAAGAGGCTGAGTGGTGTCCACAGAACGGTCATCCTATCCACTTGATTATTAAACTCTTCCGCTGAGGTCACCCGTTGGTGAGCACTCACATGGGATACAAATATCTTCACAGTTTTTGACCACTCAGAGTTTGATCTGCATACCTCTTCCCCAAATTTCTTTGTCACCAGTTTTCCAGTCATGCTTCTTCCAAGTCCCTGACCATCCAGCCAAACCAT
Source organism: Homo sapiens (assembly GCF_000001405.40). Classification (NCBI taxonomy): domain Eukaryota; kingdom Metazoa; phylum Chordata; class Mammalia; order Primates; family Hominidae; genus Homo; species Homo sapiens. The sequence continues at coordinate 42,386,500 of NC_000011.10, read as the reverse complement.
TGGCTACAGCCCATGAATCAGTATATAATCACACATCTGGCCATTTCTCCTCCTATGCAAAGTGCACAACCAGGTGCACTGCTTAAAGTTCTGCCCACTGGGAAGATTTCCCTTCACTGCTGTCCTTCAGAGATGTCCTAGAAAGGGGCTGTAGTGCTGCAGCTGTCCACTTTCGAGTGGTGCCTGCATATCGTGCAGAAACATCTGTGAACCAGGCCCTAGTCTTCTCAGCTAACCATAGGGAACTCCCCATGAGGCCATCAGTGCAGGCTGGGGGAGAGAAGGCAGGGTGGCAGGAGTGGAGACCATGGGCATTTGAGCCACTTCCTCATGTAACTTACTGGTGTCTTCAGGACCTGCTCAAGCCCAATCATGTATATACCACTTCCATTTGATGACGGAATGCAGCTGTGCATGACCCACTTTATGGCCTGATGGTCAGAAAGCACCCAGTTCATGATAGGCAGTTTGGGTCGCGTGGTGACTTGATGACCCAGAGTCAAACAACCTTCAGTTTCCAACAAAGCCCAGCATGGAAGAAGCATCCAGCATGGGAGAAAAATGTAGGCTGGGAGGCTAGGCCTGTCTCTGTCTTTCACATTTTTCTGCCTGCTTTATATTCACTGGAAACTGATTAAATTTTGCCCACCAGATTAAGGGTGAATCTGCTTTCCCCAGCCCACTGACTCAAATGTTAATCTCTTTTGGCAACACCCACACAGACACACCCAGGATTAATACTACGTATCCTTCAATCCAGTCAAGTTGACGCTCAGTATTAACCATCACACATGGCATTTTTCCTGTGACTCACCATTGTTTCCTTTTAAGGACATGTTGAATTTAGGGCCCACCCTACTTCCATGTGATCTCATCTAATTTAACTAATTACATCTGCAATGACTTACTTGCAAATAAGATCAAGTTCTGAGATAGTAGAAGTTAGGATGTCAACATATCTTTTGTCGGGAACACAATTTAACCCATAACATCCTTCCTTCTGAGCACTCTCAAATTTGACAAGTGATTTCTTTGGCTTTGAGAGGGAGAACTAGTCACATGATCCCAACCTTCTTCAGCTGGAATGTGAGGAGAAGAGGTAAAATTTCTTCATGGGTATTGCATTATTCAAAATCAGTAACTTCCTCCTCTCACACAAGAGCTCTCTCTCTATAGTTTATTTATCTTAAAATTTCATTTCATTTTTTTAGCAATACTGGGGGGAGGGAAGTTAGATGACAGCTAGGTTTAATTAGAATGCTGCTTCTAGTAAAGACAGGTGAAGTAGTCAGCCCAAGAGCTAGCAGATTTGAACTTACAATAGTCTATCCTGATCACTTTTGTTCTCAGCTATGGCTTAATTGTCAATTCGGGTAAACAGAAAAATTCTATCTAGTACCTCATAGTATCTTGTTGTGCTAGTGATACTGATGCTAATAATAATGATAATAATAAATAATCATAATGTTGCTCACTAACTTTTTTGTGTGCAATTAGGTCTGGCATTCCCATTAATCCTTTATATATACTGTCATATTTAATGTTTTAAATCAAAGTATTTGTTTTTTTATTTTTAAGCATTTTAATTTTGGACTTCTTTCAGCTTTGTAGAAAAGTTACAAAAATATGGAATTTCCATCTGTCTCTCATGCCACTTCCCTTAATGTTAATATCTTACATAAGTTTAGCACACTTATCAGGACCAGGAAATTAACCTTATATAAAAATTTTAAATAAATTAGAAAGTTTATTCATATTTCACTAGTTTTTGCAGTCATGTTCTGTTTCCCTCCCAAATTCCTATCCAGAATCCCACATTACTTTTAGTAGTTATTTCTTTTTAGTCTCCTGCAGTCTGTAACAGTTCCTTAGTCTTTCCTTGTTTTTTCTTTATTATCCTTGACACTTTCAAGGAATATCAATCACATTTTTTTTTGTCAAAAGTCCCTAAGTTTAGGATTGTCTGATGTATGCTCATGAGTTGGCAGATGGAGAGTATGCATTTTGCCAAAAATACTTCAGAAATGGTGCTGTATTTCTTCTCAGTGCATCCTATCATTGGGTTCATAATGTTACAAGTAATATTGACCTCAGTCATTTGGTAAAGGTGGTTTTGCTAGGTTTCACCATCGTAAAGTTATCTTTTCCTTTATAACTAATGAATACTATAAGTGAGATACTTTGAGACAATTCACACCCTGTTTTTCCTCAAACTTTGCTTACTAATTTTATCATCCATCATGGATCTTGTCTGCCACAGTCCTTACTGTGGTGTTTACCTAATTGTTATTTTTTATTTTCCTCTTTTCTTCTACATTTATTAATTGGAATTGAACTGCAAAGAAGTGTTGTCCTTTCTACCCCATTTATTTATTTACTTATTTATTAAATCAGCCTGGATTTGAATAGTTTTTTATAATTTATGTTATGATTCAATGCAGTCAGCATATTGTGGCTGAGATTGTTCCAGTTTTGACATATAAATGAACATATTTGTATGATTTAATATATATACATATATTTTCTAGCTATTTCCAGTGAGAGGGCCTAGAATCAATGGCACTCCAGTACCAAAGAGTGCATCTAGTCCCTGGTTCTTGCTTTATAAATGCCATTTTTTTTTTAAATAAAAGAAACCAGGGCTCATTGGAAAAACAGTAGATAACAAGGCTGGGACAGAACAAATACAAGATAAATCTGATTAAGATGTGTTCAAAAAGAGGTGGAGGCTCGTTGAAAGAACATATGAGCTAACCTGGCAAAGCTCTAATTGATCATATTTAATTTTGTATCCAAACTGTCATCCCCATTATATAGGTGAGGAAAATGTAGTACAGAACTGTTAAGTAACTTTTTTGAGGTCACACATTTAATAAACATCAGAACAAGCACAAAAACTGAGGCGTATTTGTCTGTTGTTGTTGCTGTTGATTTTACTCCAAAGCTCATCCGCTTAACCAAGCTGCAATACTTTCTTCCAAGCAGAAATACTTTAGTAAATTCATGTCAGCTCCAATTTTGCCTAATAGAGTATGTCTATGATTCTCTCCTCATATAAAAGGGCATGTTTTCTGCCTCCATATACAAGCATAGATTCTGAATTATTGCATTTTGCTTACAGTCTAATTGTAGAAAGTTTCAGTAACTTCAGTGCTTTCTTGGGATGAAAATATTTATTGAGTAACCAGATTAATAATAAATTTTAGAGAAACTTATGAGCAATAATCTTAGATATGAAAGCAGATTTTCCCTTTAGCTTTAATTTCACCTTCTAAATTGTTTCCTATAGTATTGTTATTTGAAACACAGATTAGCTTAATATCCTTGCTTTGCACTTTTTAAAATTGCAAAGTGCCTTGCTTTATATGTTGCTTTTCTAAAAAGTCTGTTATTTATACAATTCTGTTGCCTTGTTATTTTATTTATTTTTTTCTTACTTACATGAGGACTTTCTTTTCTACCTTTAAAATCTAACAGTTTTACTAGGTTATGTTTCAAAATTAATCATTCTGGGTCATTTTTTTTGGTGTACTTTCATTTTTATCATTATTATTGTACTTTAAGTTCTAGGGAACATGTGTACAACGTGCAGGTTTGTTACACATGTATCCATGTGCCATGTTGGTGTGCTGCACCCAATAACTCATCAATTACATTAGGTATATCTCCTAATGCTATCCCTCCCCCATCCCCCCACCCCACGACAGGCCCTGGTGTGTGATGTTCCCCTTCCTGTGTCCAAGTGTTTTCATTGTTCAATTCCCACCTATGAGTGAAACATGTGGTGTTTGATTTTCTGTCCTTGCAATAGTTTGCTCAGAATGATGGTTTCCAGCTTCATCCATGTCCCTACAAAGGACATTAACTCATCCTTCTTTATGGCTGCATAGTATTCCATGGTGTATATGTGCCACATTTTCTTAATCCAGTCCATCATTGATGGACATTTGGGTTGGTTCCTAGTCTTTGCTATTGTGAATAGTGCTACAATAAACATATGTGTGCATGTGTCTTTACAGTAGCATGATTTATAATCCTTTGAGTACATACCCAGTAATGGGATGGCTGGGTCAAATGGTATTTCTAGTTCTAGATCCTTGAGGAATCGCCACACTGTCTTCCACAATGGTTGAACTAGTTTACAGTCCCACAAACAGTGTAAAAGTGTTCCTGTTTCTCCACATCCTCTCCAGCACCTGTTGTTTCCTGACTTTTTAATGATTGCCATTCTAACTGGTGTGAGATGGTATCTCATTGTGGTTTTGATTTGCATTTCTCTGATGGCCAGTGATGATGAGCATTAATTCATGTGTCTCTTGGTTACATAAATGTCTTCTTTTAAGAAGTGTCTGTTCATATCCTTCACCCACTTTTTTATGGGGTTGTTTGATTTTTTTTTGTAAATTTGTTTAAGTTCTTTGTAGATTGTGGATATTAGTCCTTTGTCAGATAGGTAGATTGCAAAAATTTTCTCCCATTCTTTAGGTTGCCTGTTCACTCTGATGGTAGTTTCTTTTGCTGTGCAGAAGCTCTTTAGTTTAATTAGATTCCATTTCTCAATTTTGGCTTTTGTTGCCATTGCTTTTGGTGTTTTAAACATGAAGTCCTTGACCATGCCTATGTCCTGAATGGTATTGCCTATGTTTTCTTCAAGGGTTTTTAAGGTTTTAGGTCTAACATGTCTTTAATCCATCTTGAATTAATTTTTGTATAAGGTGTAAGGAAGGGATCCAGTTTCAGTTTTCTACATATAGCTAGTCAGTTTTCCCAGCACCATTTATTAAATAGGGAATCCTTTCCCCATTGCTTGTTTTTGTCAGGTTTGTCAAAGATTGGATGGTTGTAGATGTGTGGTATTATTTCTGAGGGCTCTGTTCTGTTCCATTGGTCTATATCTCTGGGTTGGTACCAGTACTATGCTGTTTTGGTTACTGTAGCCTTGTAGTATAGTTTGAAGTCAGGTAGCATGATGCCTCCAGCTTTGTTCTTTTGGCTTAGGATTGTCTTGGCAATGCGGGCTCTTTTTGGTTCCATATGAACTTTAAAGTAGTTTTTTGCAATTCTGTGAAGAAAGTCATTGGTAGCTTGATGGGGATGGCATTGAATCTATAAATTATCTTGGGCAGTATGGCCGTTTTCACGATATTGATTCTTCCTTTCCATGAGCATGGAATATTCTTCCATTTGTTTGTGTCCTCTTTTATTTTGTTGAGCAGTAGTTTGTAATTGTCCTTGAAGAGGTCCTTCACATCCCTTGTAAGTTGGATTCCTAGGTATTTTATTCTCTTTGAAGCAATTGTGAATGGGAGTTCACTCATGATTTGGCTCTCTGTTTGTCTGTTATTGATGTAGAGGAACACTTGTGTGATTTTTGCACATGGATTTTGTATCCTGAGTCTTTGCTGAAGTTGCTTATCAGCTTAAGGAGATATTGGGCTGAGACAATGGGGTTTTCTAAATATACAACCATGTCATCTGCAAACAGGGACAATTTGACTTCCTCTTTTCCTAATTGAATACACTTTATTTCTTTCTCCTGCCTGATTGCCCTGGCCAGAACTTCCAATACTATGTTGAATAGGAGTGGTGAGAGAGGGCATCCCTGTCTTGTGCCAGTTTTCAAAGAGAGTGCTTCCAGTTTTTGCCCATTCAGTATGATATTGGCTGTGGGTTTGTCATAGATAGCTCTTATTATTTAGAGATACGTCCCATCAATACCTAATTTATTGAGGGTTTTTAGCATGAAGCATTGTTGAATTTTGTCAAAGGCCTTTTCTGCATCTGTTGAGATAATCATGTGGTTTTTGTCTTTGGTTCTGTTTATATGGTGGATTACATTCATTGATTTGTATATGTTGAACCAGCCTTCCATCCCAGGGATGAAGCCCACTTGATCATGGTGGATAAGCTTTTGGATGTGCTGCTGGATTTGGTTTGCCAGTATTTTATTGAGGATTTTTGCATCAATGTTCATCAGGGATATTGGTCTAAAATTCTCTTTTTTGGTTGTGTCCCTGCCAGGCTTTGGTATCAGGATGATGCTGGCCTCATAAAATGAGTTAGGGAGAATTCCCTCTTTTTCTATTGATTGGAATAGTTTCAGAAGGAATGGTACCAGCTCTTCCTTGTACCTCTGGGAGAATTCGGCTGTGAATCCATCTGGTCCTGGACTTTTTTTGGTTGGTAGGCTATTAATTATTGCCTCAATTTCAGAGCCTGTTATCGGTCGATTCAGGGATTCAGCTTCTTCCTGGTTTAGTCTTAGGAGGGTGTATGTGTTGAGGACTTTATCCATTTCTTCTAGATTTTCTAGTTTATTTGTGTAGAGGTGTTCATAGTATTCTCTGATGGTAGTTTGTATTTCTATGGGATCAGTGGTGATATCCCCTTTATCATTTTTTATTGCATCTATTTGATTCTTCTCTCTTTTCTTCTTTATTAGTCTTGCTAGTGGTCTATCAATTTTGTTGATCTATTCAAAAAACCAGCTCCTGGAATCATTGATTTTTTGAAGGTTTTTTTGTGTCTCTATCTCCTTCAATTCTGCTATGATCTTAGTTATTTCTTGCCTTCTGCTAGCTTTTGAATGTGTTTGATCTTGCTTCTCTAGTTCTTTTAATTGTGATGTTAGGGTGTCAATGTTGATCTTTTCTGCTTTCTCTTGTGGGGATTTAGTGCTATAAATTGCCCTCTACACACTGCTGTAAATGTGTCCCAGAGATTCTGGTATGTTGTGTCTTTGTTCTCACTGGTTTCAAAGAACATCTTTATTTCTGCCTTCATTTCATTATGTACCCAGTAGTCATTCAGGAGCAGGTTGTTCAGTTTCCATGTAGTTGAGTGGTTTTGAGGGAGTTTCTTAATCCTGATTTCTAGTTTGATTGCACTATGGTCTGAGAGACAGTTTGTTATAATTTCTGTTCTTTTACATTTGCTGAGGAGTACTTTACTTCCAACATGTGGTCAATTTTGGAATAAGTGTGCTGTGGTGCTAAGAAGAATGTATATTCTGTTGATTTGGGGTGGAGAGTTCTGTAGATGTCTATTAGGTCCTCTTGGTGCAGAGCTGAGTTCAATTCCTGGATATCCTTGTTAATTTTCTGTCTCGTTGATCTGTCTAATGTTGACAGTGGGGTGTTAAATTTTCCCATTGTTATTGTGTGGGAGTCTAAGTCTCTTTGCAGGTCTCTAGGGACTTGCTTTATGAATCTGGGTGCTCCTGTATTCGGCGCATATATATTTAGGATAGTTAGCTCTTCTTGTTGAATTGATCCCTTTACCATTATGTAATGGCCTTCTTTGTCTCTCTTGATCTTTGTTGGTTTAAAGTCTGTTTTATCAGAGACTAGGATTGCAACCCCGGCTTTTTTTTTTGTTTTCTGTTTGCTTGGTCGATCCTCCTCCATCCCTTTATTTTGAGCCTATGTGTGTCTCTGCATGTGAGATGGGTCTCTAGTTGCAGCACACTGATGGGTCTTGACTCATTATCCAATTTGCCAGTCTGTGCCTTTTAATTGGAACATTTAGCCCATTTACATTTAAGGTTTATATTGTTATGTGTGAATTTGATCCTGTCATTATGATGTTAGCTGGTTATTTTGCTCATTAGTTGATGTAGTTTCTTCCTAGCATCGGTGGTCTTTACAATTTGGCATGTTTTTGCAGTGGCTGGTACCGGTTGTTCCTTTCCATGTTTATTGCTTCCTTCAGGAGCTGTTGTAAGGCAGTCCTGGTGGTGACAAAGTCTCTCAGCATTTGCTTGTCTGTAAAAGATTTTATTTCTCCTTCACTTGTGAAGCATAGTTTGGCTGGATATGAAATTCTGGGTTGAAAAATTCTTTTCTTTAAGAATGTTGAATATTGGCCCCCATTCTCTTCTGGCTTGTAGAGTTTCTGCCAAGAGAGCCACTGTTAGTCTGATGGGCTTCCCTTTGTTGGTAACCCAACTTTTCTCTCTGGCAGCCCTTAACATTTTTTGTTTCATTTGAACTTTGGTGAATCTGACAATTATGTGTCTTGGAGTTTCTCTTCTCAAGGAATATCTTTGTGGCATTCTCTGTATTTCCTGAATCTGAATGTTGGCCTGCCTTGCTAGATTGGGAAAGTTCTCCTGGATAATATCCTGAAGAGTGTTTTCCCGCTTGGTTCCATTCTCCCCGTCAGTTTCAGGTACACCAATCAGACATAGATTTGGTCTTTTCACATAGTCCCGTATTTCGTGGAGGCTTTGTTCGTTTCTTTTTACCCTTTTTTCTCTAAACTTCTCACTTCATTTCATTCATTTGATATTCCATCACTGATACCCTTTATTCCACTTGATCGAATCAGCTACTGAAGCTTGTGCATTCATCACGTAGTTCTCGTGCCATGGTTTTCAGCTCCATCAGGTCATTTAAGGTCTTCTCTACACTGGTTATTCTAGTTAGCCATTTGTCTGATCTTTTTTCAAGGTTTTTAGCTTCTTTGCCATGGCTTCGAACATCCTCCTTTAGCTCGGAGAAGTTTGATCATCTGAAGCCTTCTTCTGTCAACCCATCAAAGTCATTCTCCTTCCAGCTTTGTTCCGTTTCTGGTGAGGAGCTGTGTTCCTTTGGAGGAGAAGAGGTGCTCTGATTTTTAGAATTTTCAGCTTTTCTGCTCTGGTTTCTCCCCATCTTTGTGGTTTTATATACCTTTGGTCTTTGATGATGGTGATGTATAGACGGGATTTTGGTGTGGATGTCCTTTCTGTTTGTTAGTTTTCCTTCTAATAGTTAGGACCCTCAGCTGCAGGTCTGGTGGAGTTTGCTGGAGGTCCACTCCAGACCCTGTTTGCCTGGGTATCCCCAGGTGAGGCTGCAGAACAGCGAATATTGCAGAAAAGCAAATGTTGCTGCCGATCGTTCCTCTGGAAGCTTCGTCTCAGAGGGGCACCCAGCCATGTGAGGTGTCAGTTGGCCCCTACTGGGAGATGCCTCCCAGTTAGGCTACTCGGGGGTCAGGGACCCACTTGAGGAGCCAGTCTGTCCGTTCTCAGATCTCAAACTCTCTACTGGGAGAACCACCACTCTCTTCAAAGCTGTCACAAAGGGACATTTAAGTCTGCAGAAGTTTCTGCTGCCTTTTGTTCAGCTATGCCCTGCCCCCAGAGGTGGAGTCTACAGAGGCAGGCAGGCCTCCGTGAGCTGTGGTGGGCTCCACCCAGTTGGAGTTTCCAGGCTGCTTTGTTTACCTACTGAAGCCTCAGCAATGGTGGGCGCCCCTCCCCCAGCCTTGCTGCTGCCTTGCAGTTCTATCTCAGACTGCTGTGCTAGCAACGAGCAAGGCTGTGTGGGCGTGGGACCCTCAGAGCTAGGCGCAGGATATAATCTCCTGGTGTGCCGTTTGCTAAGACCATTGGAAAAGCACAGTATTAGGGTGGGAGTGACCCAATTTTCCAGGTGCCACCTGTTACAGCTTCCTTTGGCTAGGAAAGGGAATTCCCTGACCCCTTGCGCTTCCTGGGTGAAGCAATGCCTCACCTTGCTTCGGCTCACGCTCAGTGGGCTGCACCCACTGTCCTGCACCCACTCTCTGACAAGCCCCAGTGAGATGAACCTGTTACCTCAATTGGAAATGCAGAAATCACCTGTCTTCTGCATCACTCACGCTGGGAGCTGTAGACTGGAGCTGTTCCTATTCAGCCATCTTGGAACCTCTATCTTCCATTCTGCGTTAGTTTTACCCAGTATGTTGTAAACCTTTTTTAATGGGTAAATTTGGGTCTTCTTTTATTTTCAAAAACGTTTCCTTGGATTACAGTTTTAAATATTATTTGTTTCATTGTTATGATTTTTGTCTTCATATCAGCAATTGCATATAAGTTGGATTTTCTTTGCTTGCTTTTTATTCTAACCACCTTATACTTAACATTTTTTATATCTTCACCTAATTTTCATTCCCTTGGTTATTTGTATGTTTTGCTTCAATTATCTTCAGTAAATATTTTCCATTATTTAAATTTGACTTCTTTTAAAAAATAGTTTTAAATTACAGGAAAATGAAAAAGATTTTACAGAGATCTGATATATTACACATCCAATTTTAAACATTATTTCCATCTTACATTAGTATGGTAAATTTGCTAGAATTAATAAACCAATATTGACACACATATTATTATTAACTACGCTTATACTTTAGTTAGATTTTCTTAGTTTTTCCTGAAATCATTTTTCTGTTATAGCACACTATCCAGGATACCGCATTACATTTAGTTGTTGTGTGTCCTAGGTGGTGAGAGTTTCTCAGATTTTTCTTATTTTTGATGATGACAGTTTTAAGAAGTGCTTTTTATGTATTTTGTAGAATTACCTTCTATTGGAATTTGCCTGGTATTTTCTTCATGGTCAGATGAAAATTCTGGGTTTTTGGGAAGAAGACCTGGGAGGTAAAGTACCATTTTTATGATGGCATAACATTAAAAAATGCTCATCATCACTGGCCTTCAGAAAAATGCAAATCAAAACCACAATGAGATACTATCTCACATCAGTTAGAATGGCGATCATTAAAAAGTCAGGAAACAACAGGTGCTGGAGAGGATGTGGAGAAATAGGAACACTTTTACACTGTTTGTGGGACTGTAAACTAGTTCAACCATTGTGGATTCCTCAAGAATTTAGAGCTAGAAATACCATTTGACCCAGCCATCCCATTACTGGGTATATACCCAAAGGATTATAAATCATGGTACTATAAAGACACATGCACACATATGTTTATTGTGGCACTATTCACAATAGCAAAGACTTGGAACCAACCCAAATGTCCATCAATGATGGACTGGATTAAGAAAATGTGGCACATATATACCATGGAATACTATGCAGCCATAAAGAAGGATGAGTTAATGTCCTTTGTAGGGACATGGATGAAGCTGGAAACCATCATTCTGAGCAAACTATTGCAAGGACAGAAAACCAAACACCACATGTTCTCACTCATAGGTGGGAATTGAACAATGAGAACACTTGGACACATGAAGGGGAACATCACACTCTGGGGCCTGTCGTGGGGTGGGGGAAAGGGGGAGGGATAGCATTAGGAGATATACCTAATGTAAATGACGAGTTAATGGGTGCAGCAGACCAACCTGGCAGATGTATACATATGTAACAAACCTGCACGTTGTGCACATGTACCCTAGAACTTAAAGTATAATAATTAAAAAAATCAATCAATAAAATAAAATAAAATAAAAATTTTAAATGAAAAAAAGAAAATATATATTATCAACATGTTTCGTCACAGCTGATGATTACCTCAAAAACAGACAGCATTTGTCAGATTCCTCCATTGTGAGGTTACTCTTTTTCCCCTTCTATACCATAGTCTTTGGATGGAATTCATTATGTGTTTCTCATTCTTAACAAGTTCAGGGTTTTAGGGCGGGGTGCAGTAGTTTAACGCCTGTAATCGCAGCACTTTGGGAGGCCGAGATGGATGGATTGCTTGAGTCTAGGAGTTCAATACCAGCCTGTGCAATATGGCAAAAACCTGTCTTTACAAAATATACAAAAATTAGCCAGCTGTGGTGGCACATACCTGTGGTCCCACCTACTTGAGAGTCTGAGGCAGGAGGATCATTTGATCTTGGGATACTAGGTTGCAGTAAGCCAAAATCATGCCATTGCATTTCAGCTTGGGTGACAGACTGAGACATTATCTCAGAAAAAAAGAAATAAAAAAGGAGTTCAGGATTTGATCTTAATTCTTGAGGGTAGAGTAAGTATACAAATTATTTGGTATTTTTCTGCAGAGGAAATTTGTCTCTTTTATTTATTAATTATGCAATTATTTGCTTATATTAGTATGGGCTCATGGATTTTTATTTTATACTATGGGTTATAATCCATTGCTTTTTTATTTTTTTGGTCAAATTTTTCTAGCTGTGACCATTGGTAGCTCTTTAAATTGGCTCTTGTGTCTCTTGAAATTACCTCCAGCAAAACAGGCTTGGGATCAGTTCAGATAGTAGCATCATGAAGAGAGCAGAATAGGAGATACTAGCCTTTATGCTCTCACAAACAAAACACAAATACAGACAGCTATCCATAAACAAAAATAGCCCAGAAAGGGCTCACAAGCTCATTAAAGAATCTTTAGCAAAAGAGTGTAGGAAAAATAAAACATGGAGAATATCAACATAGAAATGATCATTGATAAGAGATGCCAAAAATGACTAGGAATGAAGAAGAAAGTGAGAGTCTATTAGCATCAGCCACATAGAAGGAACCACTGTGGTCCCCAGTGGCCTCTCCACAGAAGACACTGGCATCTTTTATCACTGATGTGTCCAACAGCCATTCACACTGAGGAACTCCCAAGAGGATGATGTGGTTGCACATCTTTCCTACACCGAAGAAGTGGCTGAGATTGAGCCACTATGAGAAAGGAGCCACTATCTCTTCCAACCTATACATGCCCTAACACTGGAGCCACAGTCAGCCTGTTAATGCTACAATCCAAACCTAGGCCCCATGGCTGCACTCAGACCATTCACTTCCCAGACACCAGAGCCATCATCATTGCAAGGTAGTTTGCATTCCAAATCCTGAGGCCAAGCTTTCACTGGATGTGTCTGTGATCTAGACGGTGGCTCGGCTAAACAATGAGTTTGATTCTGGAAACACTATAGCTCTGCACACACCCATGCTCCCATTCTTGGCTCCCTGGCTGCTTCACTAACATTCATGCCTCACATACTATTTCCAATGCAGCCACAGGGTCCTGCTTCTAAGGCACCAGTGTTATTACCACCCCAGACCACAAAACTGTAGACTCTCCAGGCATGCCTGTGCTTCAGACATCAGCTGTGTTGCATCTCTAGGGGCATTATTCTTCATCAGGCAATCAGATACCGCCACTACAAGTAAGCCTACAAGCCCAATCCAGTGCCAAGAGCAATCCCCTTGGTCATAGGTTTCCAAGTGGAAGAAAAAGAAATTGGGAGAAGCTTAGCAGGATTGTCACTGAAGACCTCAACACTCACCCTCACTGTGAACATCCACAGCATTGGTGGCTGAGGATCCCTGAAATATTTGTGAACACTGACCTTACCTGACAGAACTGCAAAGACTATACAGCTGTGTCCTCGTTGGTGCTAGAACTACTGCATCCAGCCTAACAAATGCCCTCTTACTCTCCCACCACTCACAGGGTAAAGTTATTCCACAATGAAAATAGTCTGTAGAGTCTGGAAGAGATAACTGCTTCACAAAATGCTAACACACCAATAAAGACAGTGAGAAACATGAACACCAAAGAGATGTAACACTATCAAAAGAACAAAATATTTTCCCAGTAGCTGAGCCCAAAGAAATAGAGATACACAAACTGTCTGGAAAAATTCAAAATAATTGCTTAAGGAAGCTCAGGAAACTTTAAGAAAATATAGAGGAACAATTCAATGAAATTAGGAAAACAATAAATAAACTAGAAATTTAATGCCAAGATTAAAATTATATTTTAAAAAATCAAATTCTGGAGCTAAGAGATACAATGAATTAAATGAAATATGTAATAGAGAGTGTCAACAGCAAAATTTATTGAGCAGAAGAAATAATCTGTGAACTCAAATACATGTTATTTGAAAATATACAGTCAGAGGAGAAAAAAATTTAAAAGAGTGAATAAAGCTTATAGGATTTATGGGACAGATAACATCAAAAATGCTAACTTTTAAATTATAGAAGTTCAAGAGGAGAGGAGAGACACAAAGGGGTAGAAAGTGTATTTTAAAAAATAATAGCAGAAAGCTTTCCAAATCTAGGGAATGATATAAATATCCATATTAGTCCATTTTCACACTGTATAAAAAAATGCCCAAGACTGGGTAATTTATTAATGACAGTGGTTTAATTGACTCACAGTTCAGCATGGCTGGGGAGGCCTCAGGAAACTTACAATCATGGTGGAAGGTGAAGGGGGAGCAAGGTACCTTCTTTACAAGGCATCAGGAAGAATGGAAGCAGGAGGGACTACCAAACTTATAAAACCATCAGATCTTGTGAGAACTCACTCACTATCATGAGAATAGCAGTGGGGAAACCACCCCCATGATCCAATTGCCTCCACCTGGTCTCTCCCTTGACATGTGGGGATTATGAGGATTTTAATTTAAGATAAGATTTAGATGGGGACACAAAGCCTAACCATTCAATATCCAAGCACAAGAAAATCAAATATCACCAATAAGATTCAATTTAACCAAGATTACAATAAGACATATTAAAATCAAACTAACAAAACAAAAATAGAGCATCCTGAAAACAACAAAGCAAATGACATATAAGGGAATTTCAATAAGGCTAGCAATGAATTTCTCAGCAAAAACCTTATAGACCAGGAGAGAGTGGGATGATATAGTCAAAGCGCTGAAGACAAAAGCTGTACTCAAAATACCCAGCATAGCTGTCCTTCAGAAATGGAGACATAAAGATTTTACCAGAAAAAAAACAGAGAGTTTATCATTACCAGACCTGTCTTTGAAGAAATACTAAGAGTATTTTAATAAGCTGAAAGAAAAAGATGCTAATTAGCAACATGATAACAAAAACTATAACATTCAATGGTAAAAGTAAGTAAACAGTCACATTTTGAAAAGTAAGTAATACTGTCATGGTGGCATATAAATCACTTATATCTTTAGTATAAAGAATAAAAGACAAAATTATTAAAAATAATAATAGCTACAATAGTTTGTTAAAAATTACACAGTGTAAAATATGTAAATTGCATCATCTAAAACATAAAATGTGCATAGTAGAGAAAAGGAGTTTTAAAAATGTGATCAAGATATTATCAGCTTAAGGTAGTCTATTATAACTAAATGTTTTATGTAAGATGTCTTATATTTTATGTGGCCACAAGGCAAAACCCTATAGTAGGCACATAAAAGATAAAAAGTAAGGAACTAAAGCATCTCAGGAGAGAAAATTATCTAGTAACAAAGGAAGACAGCAAGAAAGAAAAAAACATAAAATAGATCTGTAAAACAATTTAAAACTTAATAAAATGGTAGTAGTAAATCCTCATGTACCAATAATTATTTTGAATGTAAATTAATTAAATTCTTCAATCAGAAGACATAGAGTGGCTGAATGAATTTTTTAAAATTCCCTACTATATGCTGCCTAAAAGAGATTAACTTCACATTTAAGGACATACAGCGATTGATAATGTAAGGATGAAAAGAGATATACCAGGCTGAAAATGAAAACCAAAGAGATCAGGGATAGTGGATATTTATATCAAATAAAATGCACTTTAACTCAAACTGTATAATAAAACAATGAAGGTCTTTATATGATGATAAATGAATTGATTCATTAAGGAGATAAAGCAATTGTAAGTATACACACAACGAACTCTGATCACCTAAATATATAAAAAAAAATACGAATAGTTTTGTAGAGAGAGATAGACTGCAATACAATAAAAGTAGCAACTTAAATACCCTATAACAAAGGACACACCACCTAGAAATAAAACCAATAAGAAAGCATAGCATTGGAACTATACTTTAAACCAAAAGAATGTAACTGACATATCGCACCCAACAGAACAGAACACACATTGTTCTCAAGCACATATGAAACATACTCTAATCTAGATCACATCTTAGGCCCCAAAACACATCTGAACAAATTTAAGACTGAAATTATATGAAGTATCCTTTCTGACCATAAGGTATAAAACTATAAATCAATAATAGCAGCAATTTATAAAAATTCTCAAGTATGTGGAAATTAAACAATATCTCTTAAACAACAAGTGAATGAAAGATGAAATTAAAAGGGAAATTAGAACATATTTTGGGACAAATGAAAATAGAAATGCAGCATTCTAAAACTTATGTGTTGTAGGAAAAGCAGTTCTAAGAGGGAAGTTTATACCAACAAATGCCTACATTAAAAAAGGAGAAAAATCCCAAACAAAAAGTCCAAAGTTAGTACAAGAAAGGAAATAATGAAAATCAGAGCATAAATAAATGAAGTGGAACCTATAAAAATAGAAAAGATCAACAAAAGGAAGAGTGGCTTTTTAAAAATATAAGAAATCAAACTTTAGATAGACTAAGAGAAAAAGGAGAAAAGACATAAATAAAATCAGAAATGAAAGAGATTGCAGTTGATACCATGGAAATACAAAGGACTGTAAGAAACTAATATGAACAATTATGTGCCAACAAATCAAATAACCTATAAGAAATAGATAAATTCTCAGACACATGCAACCCACCAAGACTAAATCATGAAAAAATAGAAAATCTGAGCAGACAAACAATAAGTAAGGAGACTGAATTAGTAATAAAAAAATTCTCTCATTAAAGAAAAGCCTAAAACCTGATGGCTTCACTGCTGAGTTCTACCAAATATTTTAATAAGAAATAATGCCAATTCTTTTAAAATTCTTCCAACACGCTGAAGAGGAGGGAATACTTTCAAATTCATTTTAGACAGCCAGTATTACCCTGATACCAAAGCCAGGCAGGACTCTATAAGAAAAGAACATTATATGTCAATATCCCTGATGAATATAAGTGCAAAAATCCTCAACAAAATACTAGCAAACTGACCTCAACAGCATATTAAAAGGTCAATCACCGTGATCAGGTGGGATTCAGGGGTGATTTAACATAAATCAAAAATGTGATATACCATATCAACAGAATGAACTTCTCAATAGATGCAGAAAAGGCATTCAATATCCTTTTATTTAAAAATTATTGGTAAATTATGTATAGATTAAATGTATTGCAACATAATAAAGTTCACATATGACAAGGCCAGAGCTGACATCATACTCCAGCAAAAAGTTAAATGCTTTTCCTCTAAGATCAAGAAGAAGAAAAGGATGCCAATTTTTGCTGCTTCTATTCAACATAGTACTGGAAGTCCTAGGCAGAACAAATAGGTAAGATAAAGATGTAAAAGGCATTAACACTGGAAAGGAAGAAGTTAAATTGTCTGTTTGCAGACAACATAATCTATACAGAAAACCTAAAGACTCAACCTAAAAAAAAAATAGAATAATAAACAAATTCAGGAAAACTGCAGAGTACAAAATCAACATTTAAAAATCAGGAACATTTCCACACAGTAACAATGAACTATCTGAAAAAAAATCAAGAAAGCCATTCCACTTATAATAGCTACAAAATATAAAATAGGAAAAAATTTAACCAAGGAGTTTAATTTCTAAAATATTCATACTGCACAAAGAGATTTACAGATTCAATAAAATTGAAAATAAAATTAAAAATTAAATTGAAAACAGTAGAGAAAACAATTGTTAATGGAAAAAAAAATTCTATTATTTGTATGGAGCTGCAAAATACATTATGTATTAGTCCATTTTCCCTTTGCTGATAAAGACATACCCCAGACTGGGCAATTTACAAAAGAAAGAGGTTTATTGGACTTACAGTTTCATGTGGCTGGGGAGGCCTCACAATCATGGCAGAAAGTGAAAGCCAAGGAGGAGCAAGTCATGTCTTACATGGATGGCAGCAGGCAAAGAGAGAGTTTGTGCAGAAAAACTCCCATTTTTAAAATCATCACATCTCATGAGACTCATTCACTATTAGGAGAACAGCCCAAGAAAGACCCACCCCCATAACTCAATCAGCTCCCACCAGGTTCCTCCCACAACATATGGGAATTGTGGGAGTTACAATGCAAGATGAGATTTGGGTAGGGGCACAGCCAAACCATAACACTGCACTCCTGGGCCCCCCCAAATCTCATGTCCTCACATTTCAAAACAAATCATGCCTTCCCAACAGTCCCCCAAAGTCTTAACTCATTTCAGCATTAACTCAAAAGTCCACAGTCCAATGTCTCATTTGAGACAAGGCAAGTCCCTTCTGCCTATGAGCCTGTAAATTCAAAAACAAGTTAGTTACTTCCTAGATACAATGAGGATACAGTCATTGGTTAAAAATGGCTGTTCCAAATGGGAGAAGTTGGCCAAAACAAAGGGGCTACAGGCCCCATGAAAGTCTAAAATCCAGTGGGGCAGTCAAATCTTAAAGTTCTGAAATGATCTCCTTCAACTCCATGTCTCTTGAGGCTTCCACCCTCTGGAACCACAGCCCAAGCTGTACCTTGGTCTCTTTTAGTCATGGCTGGAGTGGCTGGGACACAAGGCACCAAGTTCCCAGGCTGCACACAGCACAAGGACCCTGGGCCCAACCCAAGAAACCATATTTTCCTCCTAGGCCTTCTGGCCTTTGATGGGAAGGGCTCCTGTGAGGACTTGTGACATGCCCTGGAGATATTTTCCCCATTGTCTTGGGGATTAACATTCACCTCCTCATTACTTATGCAAATTTCTGCAGCCAGCTTGAATTTCTCCTCAGAAAACAAGATTTTCTTTTCTATCGCATTGTCATGCTGCAAATTTTCTGAACTTTTATGCTCTGCTTCCCTTATAAAACTGAATACCTTTAATAGCACCCAAGTCACCTATTGAATGCTTTGCTGCTTAGAAATTTCTCCCATCAGATACCCTAAATCATCTCTCTCAAGTTCAAATTTCCATAAAACTCTAGGGCAGGGCAAAATGCTGCCAGTCTCTTTGCTAAAACATAACACGAGTCACCTTTGCTCCAGTTCCCAACAAGTTCCTCATCTCCATCTGAGACTACCTCAGCCTGGACCTTATTGTTCATATCACTATCAGCATTTCTTTTTTTTTTTTGAGATGGAGTTTCAGTCTTGTTGCCCAGGCTGGAGTCCAATGGCATGATCTCCACTCATTGCAACCTCCACCTCCTAAGTTCAAGCAATTCTCCTGCCTCAGCCTCCCAAGTAGCTGGGATTACAGGCACCTGCTACCATGCCAGGCCAATTTTTTTTTTTTTTTTTAGTAGAGATGGAGTTTTACCATCTTGACCAGGCTGGTCTTGAACTCCTGACCTCAGGTGATCCACCGACCTTGGCCTCCCAAAGTGCTGGGATTACAGGTGTGAGCCACTGCACCTGGCCACTATCAGCATTTTTGTTAAAGCCATTTAACAAGTCTCAAAAAAGTTCCAAAGTTTTCCACATTTCCCTGTCGTCTTCTGAGCCCTTCAAACTGTTTCAACCTCTGCCTGTTACCCAGTTCCAAAGTCGCTTTCACATTTTTGGGTATCTTTTTAGAAATGTCCCAGTCTACTGGTACCAATTTACTGTATTAGTCTGTTCTCATGCTGCTGATAAAGACATACCCCAGACTGGGCAATTTACAAAAGAAAGAGGTTTATTGGACTTACAGTTTCATGTGGCTGGGGATGCCTCACAATCACAACAGAAGGTGAAAGGCAAGGAGGGGCAAGTCATGTCTTACATGGATGGCAGCAGGCAAAGAGAGAGCTTGTGCAGAAATACTCCCTTTTTAAAAATCATCAGATCTCGTGAGACTCATTCACTACCAGGAGAACAGCCCAGGAAAGACCTGCCCCCATAATTCAATCACTCTCCACTGGGTTCCTCCCATGACACATGGAAATTGTGAGAGTTACAATTCAAGATGAGATTTGGGTAGAGACGCAGCCAAACCATATCACCTTGTACAGCAAAAGCAATCTTGAGCAAAATGAACAAAGCTGGAGACATCACACTGCCTGATATGCAAACCTACTTCAAAGTGAAATTAATGAAAATAGTATCATTCTAGCATAAAAGGCACATCGCTCAACTAAAGAGAATAGAGAGCCCAAAAATAAATCTACACATTTACAATCAATTGATTTTTGACAAAGATTCCAATGACACACTTTCAGGAAAGGGAAATTTTCAATAAATGGTCCTGGGAAAACTTGAGATTCACATATAGAAAAATGAAATTAGAACTTCGTCTCACACCATATACAAAAAAACTCAAAATGGAGCAAAAACTTAAATATAAGTCCTAGAATTGTAAAAATACTAGAAAGAAAACATAGAGAAATATGTTCATTGTTCTGGGCAATGATTTCTTAGGTATGACCCCATAAGCACTGGCAACAAAATTAAAATTAGGCAAATGGGATTACATCAAACAAAACACTTCTGCTCAATAAAGGAAACAATCGACAGAGTAAAGAAGCACCTTACGGAGTGGAAGAAAATGTTTGCAAACCATATATTTGATGAGATGTTAATACCTATTATATACGTGGAACTCAAACAACTCAGTAGTAAGAAAACACAGCTTGATTTAAAAAATGGGCAAAGGACCTGGATAGACATTTCACAAAAGAAGACATACAAATGGCCAACAGATATACCAAAAAATGCTCAACATCATTAATCACCAGGGAAATGCAAATTAAAGCCACATTGAGATATTGCCTCACATTTCTTAGAATGAATGTTATCAAAAAGACAAAGGATAAGAAGTGTTGGTGAAGACTTAGAGAAAAGGGAACACTGGTATACTGTTGGTGGGAATGTAACTTAGTACAGCCATATGGGGAACATTATGCAGGTTTAAAAAAATTAAAAATAGAACTATTATATGATCCAGCAATCCTACTATATATATACCCAGGTATATATCCAAATGATATAAAATCAATATATCAAAGAGATACCTGCCTTCCTATGTTCATTGCAACATTATTCACAGTAGTCAAGATATGGAATCAATTTAAGTGTCCATTGTCAGATGAATGGGTAAAGAAAGTGTGTTATATATACACAATGAAATATTATTCAGTCTCAAAAAGTCAAGGAAGTCTCATCATTTGCAATAACATGGATGAACCTGGAGGACATTACATTGAGTGAAATAAGCTAAGCACAGAAAGACAAAAGCTTCATCGATCTCATATATATGTGGAGTCTAAAAAAGTCAAATCAAAGAAACAGAGCAAAATGGTGGTTATCAGAGTGGTGGTGGCGGTGGTGAAAGTATGTGGGAGATTTGGTCAAAGAACACAAAATTTCAGTTACGCAGGAATAATTTCAAGAGATCTATTGTACATCATGATGACTACAGTTTATAACAATATATTGTGTACTTGAAAATTGCTCAGAGAATAGATTTTAAGTGTTCTCACCACACACACACAACCATATGTTAGTAACGTGTATGTTAATTAGCTTGATTTAGCCATTCTGCAATGTAAACATATATCAAAACATTTTGTTGTATACCATAAATATTTATGTAATTTTTGTCAATTAAAAATTAAATACATAGATGAGGTTTTTGTTTTTATTTTTAGCATTTATTAATACGTATTAAAACTAC
Source organism: Homo sapiens (assembly GCF_000001405.40). Lineage (NCBI taxonomy): Eukaryota > Metazoa > Chordata > Mammalia > Primates > Hominidae > Homo > Homo sapiens. The sequence continues at coordinate 42,365,254 of NC_000011.10, read as the reverse complement.
AAGATACCCCAGGTTCATCCTATGTATTTTGTGTCCTATTCCTTGAATAAATAAATGAGTTTCCCAGGGAGCTCTGGTTCCTTTAATTGGAGAATGGTATTAGAAAACATGATCTAATTGCTAGGTATGTTGTTGTGATTCAGTATCACTGAATCAAGGCCACTTCAGCTGACAGTGAAAGGAAATATATTTGAATATACACATATCTAAAAAATATTTTCATATTCAATCTTCATTATTCACCATATTTAAGCTAAACATGAGTTCCTACTGAAGTTTACTGCTCTAATCCATGGCCACATGAATCATTCTAGCTTGCTCTCCTTGTGTATAAGCTTTCATTCAACAATAAGAAACCTGAATTTTTTAATTCACCATCTATTTACTTAATTGTTCAATTTCAGTATACATGCACAGTAGTGTCAATACTGCTAGCGTATTCTCATGGGAGGCAACTTTTCCACTTGGAAACAGTGCTTATGTGCATTTTTTTTAATCTTTAGTATTACAAGCTCCACTTGTTTCCAAAGTTAGTTTGGTTGGCACTTTCTCCATCTACCCCCTCAACAAGTTTGTTTCATATATTTGTAATATCATTAGATTCTTTTGCCACACGCTGCATTTCATCCTGTGATCTCTGGTTCTCCTAAATGATTTTCACTTAATTTACATACATTAAAGTTTAATCTTTGTGCCATAAAATTCTATGGGTTTTGACAAATGCATAATGTCATGTATCTAGCATTGCAGTATCATATAGAATAGTTTATTTGTCAATAAATGTCCCCTCTGTTTGATTTACTAAATATTCCTTTCTTCCTTTCCTCAGATCCCTGAAAGTTACTAATCTTACTTTCTTCATAGTTTTGTCTTATTCAGAATGTCATAAATTATATTGGAATTATAAGATATATAGCATTTTCACACTAGCTTCTTTCTTTAAGAAATGTGAATGTTTATCAATGTCTTTGTAGCTTGATAGTTCATTTTTAAAATCAATGAATCATATTATATTGCATGGATATACCACAGTTTGTTAATTATCCTTTAGAAGGACATCTTGGTTGCTTCCAGTTTTGGCAATTTTGAATAAAGTTGCTATAAACATCCACATGCAGGTTTCTGTGAGGACATAAGTTTTTAAATTAGTTGGGTAAATACCTACAAGTGAGATTGAAGGGCATATTGATTACTTCCCATTTTTGACAATTATAAATAAAACTTCTATAAACATTCTTGTTCAGGTTTTTGTGTGGACATAAGTTTTCAATTTATTTAGGTAAATACCTAGGCATGCAGCTGCTGACTCGTATGGTAAGACTATGTTTAGCTTTGGAGGAAACTGCCAAACTGTCTTTCAAAGTGGCCGTACTATTTTGCATTCCAAATAGCAATGAGTGAGACTTTTTGTTGCTCCACATTCTTGCCAGCATTTGGTGTTGTCAGTGTATTTCTGACTGAAAGTTTGTCTTCACATTCCCAAATGCTGGTTTGAGGATTTTTAATTTATTTTTGAGCATAGTGCTGTAGATTTTTGAGATTCAAGATTGTTTTGGGGGAGTGGAGGGAGGAAGATATTTCACCAGCTAATACACTCTTATTCATATGTTCTGTTTTTATTTCTGTATATGGTCAGATTTTCTGCTATTCCTATTCATTTTTGAACAAGTTTTTCGTTCAAGAATCCCCTCTATTCACTTGTGCTGTTTTTTGTGCAGTTTCTTTCATGGATGGGGTTGGTGGAACAGGTGCAGGGCAGGGCGGAGGGCAGGTGCTATGTCTTATTTCTTCCTTGTTTCTGTAAGATCCTTAATTCATTCTACTGTTAAAAAAATTCCTATTACAACCTCATATTAGACTTTCACTTTATTACTTGATTTTTCGTCATTTTTTCTATGTCTTCTGCACACCTCCTTTCTTCATACATTCCCTTAACCCTTCTCTACCCCATTCTCCAGGTTTGCAGCAATAGGCAGAAGCTCTATTAAGATTTTTTAATCTACTTACAGTTAACTTAAAGGTGGTGCTGTTTTTAAAAAAATATTTTGGTAATGGTAAAAGTATATTCTTTTCATTCATGTTATGAATTTTGTGGGGAAGATATGGGGAAAATCTGAAATCAGGCAGTTACCATTGTCTTTAAACCCTTAACTTTGACTTACAAGCAGGGCTTTCAACTCCTCTGAAGTTACTGGGCCTGGATGCAGTTGGATAAGAAGATAATACTGTAAGCTTTCAAAGCCTGAGGCCGCAAGTCCTATATTCCAATATTATACCTAGAAAAGTGAAACATTTGACAAGAAGATAGATGATTAGATGAACGGATGGATAGACTAAGGTATATGGATAGACAGATATATTGTTATGATATTTATCAGAGGCAGAGGGATGATGGAAAACTTTTCCAGCAATGTGGAGGATTAGCTGGTCCTATCCATTGTCTAAACAGAAGGGAATTAGAAAAGAAGAAATTTTCTGTGGAAAAGAGCCTGATACAAGGTGTTTCTCTGTCCATGTATTCTAATGCAGTCAAATTAGATTGGCAATTACTGCCAACAGTCTTACTCAGTTTGGGCTGCTATAACAAATACCATAGACTAGGTAGTTTAAACAATAGGTAGTTTAAACTAGATAGGGAGTTTAAACAATAAAAATTTCTCACCATTCCAGAAGCAGTTCTCTTTTTTTTTTTTTAGAGAAGATAGCATTTTTGAAGCATCCATCTCTTAGTATGGGCGTGTGTAGTGAGTCCAAGGTGCCAGCAAGTCTGGTAGCTAGTCAGGGCATTCTTCCTGGTTTGTATGGCCATCCTCTCCCTGGGTCCTCACATGCTAGAGAGCAGAGATTGAGAGAGAGAGAACAAGGTCTCATGCTTCTTCTTCTAAGGTCACTAATCATTTAGGAGGGCTCCACCCTCATGAACTAATCATGTCTCAAAGGTGCCACCTCCCAATACCATCACATTAGGGGTTAGAATTTTAACATGAATTTAGGGGACACACAATCATTCAGTTCATAATATCAACAACAACACCACCAACAACAACAAAATAGCAAGCCAAAGAAAGAAGTTTATTTTATTTCTATGGAGAGCAGTAGTTTTGAAGCATCCATCTCTTTGTCAGTGAAAGAGTAAAAGTGTTGGATCTGACCTCTGCCCCAGCTCTGGAGGAGATTCATACCTTGTCCAAAAGTTTCTGGACCAGTACATTGGTAGACAGTCTTTGTATCACCAGTGAGTAGAGAAGATGAGGGCCTGAGAGAGAAAAAGTGTGTGTGTGTGTGTGTGTGTGTGTGTGTGTGTTTGTGACAGAGAGAGAGAGAGAGAGAGAGAGAAATGATACTAAAGGAATGTGGGCAGCCTGCACTTTCACTTCTTGGCAAGGACATAGATGTTTTCCCTGGTAGAAAGGACACTGTAGAAGACAGTGTGCTAAAAGTACATTGAGAGTTCCCTAAATGAGCAGCTATTCCAAAGCAAGGCAAGTTAGGCAGAAAATGGGGTGGATTATTCCCTGAGGAGTGAAGGGACAGATGAATCATTTATTCACAGTATCACCCATGCTGGAGAACTATTCAAAAAGAAGCTTCCATGAACCTCTCAATAATCCAAATATGTATGGTGAAACCCCATCTCTACTAAAAATACAAAAAATTAGCCAGGTGTAGTGGCGCATACTTGTAGTCCCAGCTATTTGGGAAGCTGAGGCATGAGAATTGCTTGAACCCATGAGATGGAGGTTGCAGTGAGCTGAGATCGCACCACTGCACTCCAGCCTGGGCGACAAAGACTCTGTCTCAGAAAATAAATAAATAAATAAAGTTCATTTAAAAATAATCCAAACACGTGTCCCACAAGATTCTAGTATTTCTATGCCAGCAGCTTAGAGGAGATCAGAAGCCAGCTAATGCTAGAAAGAGAGAGGAAAAAAAAAAAGAGCCACAGATAACAAGCTTGTCAACTAGTCTGGATAGTTACTTTCAAAAGCAGACATTGTCTCACACACACAGAGAGCGAAAAGGGTTCAAGATCATTCGTTCCATTTGCCACCTCCCTTATACACACACAAAACCATATAATTGCATAGTCACAAATCACACTAGGTCAGACACAATCACACACACACAATCACACACTTCCTCACTCTTTACCCAGATAATTTGCAGAAAGTGTAAGTAAAAAAGTAGAAGGCTATTATGAATAAGTAAATGAAATCTTTCATGGACATTGCATCCCAGAGTTGACTGTTCTATTCCGTGTCACTAAACCTAAATTTCTGCCAACAGATATTGATTTCCTTTACGTTGTAAACCTGTCCTGTTTACTTTCACAAGTTTGTGAGAAAGATGAAAAAAATGTACATTCTTGCCATTTTAAGTAGTAAAATAATCATATTGCTATCAAATAATAATGCCAATAATAATAAAAATAATCAATTCTCTGTCACTGTCAAGTTATCTCAAGTTGGGAGATGTCTTACAGATTTCTATAGGAGACTTTTTTTCTGCTTTAGCTAATCTGCTTCTAGCCACTTTGACTGTGAGCTGGTGAGGAAGACTTAAAAAGCCAAAGGAAGAGGAGAAAAAAAAGTTCATTAATAGTAGATAAAAGGTAGAAGCACATTTTAAAGACTATTTGGTGGATAAGAAAAGAATATGAAAATTAGTTCAACCTTTGTGGAAGACAATGTGGCAATTCCTCAAAGACCTAAAGACCATTCTACCCAGCAATCTCACTGCTGGTTATATACCCAAAGAAATATAAATCGTTCTATTATAAAGACACATGCACACGTATGTTTATTGTGGCATTATTTACAATAGCAGAAACATGGAATCAACCTAAATGCCCATCAATGATAGACTGGATAAAAAAATATGGTGCATATACATCATGGAATATTACACAGCAATAAGAAAGAATGGGATCATGTCCTTTGCAGGAACATGGATGGAGCCAGAAGCCATTGTCCTTAGTAAACGAAGACAGGAAGATAAAACCAAATATTACATGTTCTCACTTATAAGTGGAGCTAAACGATGAGAACACAGGGACACACAGAGGGGAACAACACACACTGGAGCCTATCGGGCGGGGGAGGGTAGGAAGAGGAAGAGGATCAGGAAAAATAATCGGTACTGTACTTAATATCTGGGTAACTGACATGGTTTGGCTGTGCCCCCACCCAAATCTCATCTTGAATTGTAGTTCTCATAATCCCCACATGTCGTGGGAGGGACCAGGTAGAGTTAACTGAATCATGGGGGCGGTTTCCCCCATCCCGTTCTTGTGATAATAAGTTGGTTTTCACAAGATCTGATGGTTTTATAAGGGGCTTCCTCCTTCGCTGGGCCCTCATTCTTCTCCTTGGTGCCACCGTGTGAAGAAGGACATGTTTGCTTCCCCTTCTGCCATGACTGTAAGTTTCCTGAGGCCTCCCCAGCCATGCTGTACTGTGAGTCAATCAAACCTCTCTCCTTTATTAATTACCCATTCTCAGGTATGTCTTTATTAGCGGTGTGAGAAAGGACTAATACAGTGACTAAATAATTTGTACAACAAACCCCCATTATACAAGTTTGCCTATGTAACAAACCTGCACATCCTGCACCCCTGAACTTATAAGTTAAAGAGAAAAGAATAGTTCTTCACGGCAGTTTAAAAAACAAAACAAACAAAAACAATAAGCTGTTTGATCTCTTTCCATTTCAATCCATTCAACAAGAAACAACTCCTGTATTACCTGATTGCCTACATCTCTGACCTTGCTGAAGCCAGCTTTCCTACCTATACTGGGTGCCTTTGAGGACTCCTGAAGTCTTTCTTTAACATGTACATATTTTTCAAGGAGAGATGAAGACAAATTAGCTATTGGTAGCACCATCCATTTACAAAAGGCTTTAGAGTTTATATGCAGCACCTTATATAATCTCCATAACCACATTTCAGATGGGTAGAATTACTTCTTCTTACGGAAAAGGAAATGCATGTACACCACTGTATTCTAGCCTGGGCAACAGAGTGAGACTTCATCTCAAAACAAAAACAAACAAAAAAAGTTACAAACTTTGATGAGAGAAAGGATGACACATGAAACCCACCTGTTTGTTTGTTGCACTGGAAAACATAGCATTCAAAAGACGTGTCATTTTTTCCCTTGGCTGGCTAAAACTTTGAAGGCCCATATGAGATAGTATTTTAGTTGGTAAATGGTAGGTGTGGGCCCCAGATAGCTGATCAGAATACCCTGGGGAGAAGAGAATTCTGTAGAAAGGAAGTGATTTTCAGTATGTGATGGATAATCATTACACTTTCATACATTTGGGTATTTGCATACATTATTTGGTAATTAGCGTATGTAATTGCTTTCTGACATCACATCTTAGCTTGCCTGTTTCATCTGCTTTTCTACCGAGTGCCACTACCAAATATTTAGCTAGAGTTCTGTAGTCTTTATAGAGCTATGCCTATGGTCTGCATCTGCCTTAACTGCTAAAGACTTCATTATATAACAGAGATGATTTCAAGATTTCAGAATAATCTCTGATTTGTGAACTCCTGATAGGAGTTCCATTTTGCTACTATCTGGAGAGATTATAAATCATAGTGATTATAATGCATGGTAATAGAAGATAATTAGATTTGACAGTTAATTAGTATACTGTGTTGGTGCTACACAGCCCTAAAAATCATTTTACATGGCAGCACATCACCATCATGAATGTTTTTGCTGGTGTGTATCAGCAGTGCTCTAGCCTAAAACACTGATGCTCCACAAAAAAGGTGGTGTGCCTATGGGTTAGGGTCATTCACAAAAAACTCCATGCGAGTGATGCCTTTTTTTTTTTTTTTTTTTTTTGAGACAGAATCTCACTCTGTCGCCCAGGCTGGAGTGCACTGGTGTGATTTCGGCTCACTGCAACCTCTGCAGCCTGGGTTCAAGTGATTCTCCTGCCTCAGCCTCCTGAGCAGCTGGGACTACAGGCGCATGCCACCACAAGTGGCTAATTTTTAATTTTTAGTAGAGATGTGGTTTCACCACATTGGCCAGGCTGGTCTCGAATTCTTGACCTCAGGTAATCTGCCCGCCTAGGCCTTTCAAAGTGCTGAGATTACAGGTGTGAGCCACCACACCTGGCTGGTGATGCATTTTACACAATTCTAATAGAAGGAAAATGTAAAGATTGAGATGTTGGGGTATTTGCAGGGAAGCTTGCCTGACTGACCTTCAAGAAATTTGATAGTCTAATACTACTTTAGAAGTAGAAGTCTTATCAAGGTCCCTCAGCTTTGTAGATTCAGGAATTTGAACTTGTCAGTGTGGCTGATATCAGTGGATTTAGGGAGATTGATTCGTGCTGAAAAAGCTCACAAGAGACTAAAGACCAAAATGAAAACAATGTGTTAATTTTTTTGATAAATAAAACTTGCTTTCAACTCTTTGTTGGAAAATAATCATAGGTTAGCTTAATGAGTATAAATTTATAATAAAAATTAGTTATAAGACTATAAAATTTAATGTTATAATTGTTTTCTGTGATATACATTTTTGAGAAACAAAATATCAGTTAATTAATTATAAAACCTTTCCTTTTGATCAGAGTTTGAGTGGGTAATTTAAAAACATGGCTATTTTCCCTCCAAACCTGATAGTATATGCTCAACCTCTTTAGTTTGATTTGGCATAAAGTCTTGACTTGGTGTGAGAATTTTTTTTTTACTTACGGTCATTGTATATCATTGTTATGATGTATCTTGGACTGATTTAATAGTTTATCTCTGACAGGTTATACTTCTTTTCTCTTAAAAAATGATTTAGGAACACTTCATTACATTTTCACACAAAGCCCAGAAAACGTTAGGGACAGCTGAAATCAGCAAAAGCAGTTGGAAAAGCTGAAAGCATCCCCATTGGTTCCTAATAAATCTAATATTAAGCACAATGGCATGAATGAGGACTTGCAGGTAATAATGAACGATGTAAGTGAAGAGTTTAGAAGACTGACTTGACCTGAACAAGTAAAAATACAGTGAAGAGTTATACAAATCAATTAGTTGGATCCCAGGGAAAGATGGATTGGAGGTAAGCAGTTGAAGAGATTCTAGAATGAAATATCAGGGTACAATTCATCCTGGAAAGCAGAACCACTGTAAATCCTTACATAGGGAGGAATGAGATACTCTTAGTTCAGTCCTGGAACATGCACTGATTGAGTGCCAATCTGTCTTTAGCCACCTTCTGGGTCCTGGGGACACGAAGATGGATGTTAAAAGGTAGCTTCCTGCCCTAGTATCTAGAGGGGAAGAAAAACATCAAACAATTCTAATGAATTCATTAAATAATCCTAAGTGGCAAAGTGCTATAAAATAGTTTTGGGTTTCATGGGAGGGTATCACAACAGAATTAAACAGAATCTGTGAGGGGTTGGGTTCAGAAGCAACTTTCTAATATTAAAAAAAAAGATGCCTTTGCTAATAATAATGAATCTGCGATTATCAGCAGGGCATTAGGATGCCTAAAAAGTGAATCAGATATTAGTTGCTTAATGTGGGCACAGCAGATCTGAGATTCTTCCTTTTTAAAATAAGATTTTTAACTGCAGTAGCATAAGCCAATGTCCTTGGGAAAGCTTTTCTGAGGCTCAGTGAATGTTCAGATGTGTCTGAATGATAACTGGTCTCCCTGGGATTCCAAACTCTTTCTAACTTGAGTGCATTTACTCAATGACCCTGTGTATGTCACAAATTCCAAATGCCTATTTTGAGACTTTTCTGTATTTATAAGTGTAGGTATGTGCAGGAATGTGGGAGACTGAGCACTAATGAACTGTACCTGGAAACTGAGTAAAACTGAGTGGGGAACACACAGCTGGTGAGACCTATGTCCTTTTTGCGGAGTCATTCATTCTGCAAATTGCCATCCATGTCAAAATGTGCAGACAAGATTGGGGTAGTATTCTAAAGAGAATGATGCTAACAAGCCATTTCCTCTCTTTTCTCTTGAGATTTGAAATGCCACCAGAGCCCTGAGATGCAATAGAGGATTTTAATGTACGTTCAGGTGTATGATTCTTTCTATTATTATTCTGGTTATTATTTTCATTATTCACAACCTATTAGCTTTTCACCTTGAGCTAATGTGAGATTTCAGTGCCATGGAAAATCAATGAAGCAAAAATTTCTCATGCTACCACAAACAATTACTGTTGATTTAAGTACAAAGAGTAAATACCACATGGACAATATGGATAAAGAGATTAAAATGCACACACATACATACCATCCATTATTGAGAATCTTTTAAGTGGTTTTCAAAATTAGTGTTTTCTGCTTGGAAGAAAAGATTCCCTTATTGAATGACCATAACCTGAACTGAAGCTTGCTTTCAGCGTAATTAGCTGTGTCCTAACTTCTGATAATGATATCAAACTTTGAATTTAATTAGACTCTAATTGCTGTTTTAAATTGTCTCCTACCTCAGACTTTGCTTTATTTGCCATCTCATTCTGATTTTTTTCTGTTTTTATATTCATGCTGGTGTAGAGATAACAATAGCTACTAAGTTACTCACAAAACTTTTAACAAACAGGGTGGCCTGAAAAAGGAAACACTGTTTTTCAGGAAGCTTCTTTTAACATGGATTTGCTGTGACAGAAAATGGCTGTATTTCAAGCACATTTTCAGCTTTTTCTGGGAAACAGCTAGCCCATAATTCCTTTCAGTTGTGTGTGGCCACGTGGCTGAGTCTTGGCTAACGAAATCTGGATAGAAGTGATCCTGCCCCCATAAAACCTTTCATGGGATCCTCTGTTCTCTTTCTTCCCCTGTCTGCTGGCTGGATGTTGATGTCCAGGTGACTTTGAAGGTCAGGTGCAGTTGCCAAGCCTCAGTTGAGTTTCTTTCCCCCAGTCCCACCTACTGGATTTTCATTACGTGAGTGAGAAACAGTCTTCTACTGGGTTAAGCTGTAGAGTTTCATGGTACTTCTGTTACAGCAGCCAGCATTACTCTAAAACATTTGGCAACGTCTCCCATGGCCATTGGCTAATGTTGTGGAATACTGATATATCAGTCAGGGTTCTCAAGAAAAGTAGGCCAGTGTGTGTGTATAGGTTGTGTGTGTGTGTGTGTGTGTGTGTGTGTATTTTTCATGAATTGGCTTATGTAATTGTGGAGACTGTCAAGACCAAAATCCAGAGGGGCAGTCCCACAGACTAGAAACTCTCATGTAGAAGTTGATGCTTGCAGTTTTGAGGCAGAATTTCTTCTTCCTCAGTGAATCCTAGGTTTTGCTCTTAAGGCCTTTCAATTAATTGGATGAGGTCCTCCCATATACATATAATTGATGTAATCTCCTTTACTTAAAGTCAACTGATCGAAGATGTTAACTGTATCTACCAATACTTTCACAGAACCCTTAGATTAGTGTTTGATTAAATAACTTGGCGTATAGTCTGACCACAATGACATGTTAAACTAATCATCATGCTCTGGTTAAGAAAGCCTTCTTCACTTAAGTCTAGATATTTATACTCTTGATAACTGTATTAGAGGTTTTTATTAATGTAATAGAAATGCCTAAGAAGAAAGCTTTTCAGGAAACACACCATTTTTCTATTAGAGAAATCCTGTACATATATATTCCAAGAGTCACTAGAGTCCAACCAGACACAATAAATGTGAGAATAAAGAAGAGCTGAAGAATAGGAATGTTGGGGCCTATGTAAAACTGGAATAGGTAGTCAAATTCAAAAGTTCCACAAAATTTTGCAGGGAAAAAACAAAACTATCTGTGGGTTGGGTATGGCTGCTTTGTAACCTCTAAATTTTTATGGCTCTTTCCCTACCCATAAATATTGACACTGTTGGAATGTGATGAGTCCATTGGGGTTGGTGATTCAGTTGACCTGTAGCAGCCTTTGACCCAGAGACATAGAAAATATGGAGAAAGAGGAGGTAAGGAGAGTCTACCCTCCAGAGAGAAGTTGTAATTTGGGTGGGGGTAAAATGCAGTGTGAGATGGTGGGAGCATGTATATGATTTCTATGGCCTCAGTCTTATGAATCATGAAAGGCAATGATTTCCAATCAAGTATACAATCCAACAAACATTGTTTGACTAGACAGTTATGGAATTAGAGTGACACAGGACTGCTTTCAAGTGCCTGCCAAGTCCCTTATTTGCTTTGTAACCTTGAACAAATCTCAAAACATTTTGGACTTCAATTTTCTAGTCTGTCAATTAGGGGGATTGAATTCCATAATCCCTAAAGTACCCTGTAGCTCTGACATTTGTTGATTCTGTGATGTGTCTCCTCTGAGTGGGGGTGCATGTTTCTGTTCATTTTCTTGTTGTAGCAAAGTATTTAAAAGTCCTTTAGAACTCAGCCACCCTTTAAAAATACATATCAGGATTAGTAACAGCGTCTGCTAATATTAAATATTTACTGAGTGCACTTAAGTGCCTAGCTTTTCATGTACAATATCATGGGATCATCAAACTATTTCAATAGGTACAAAAGACTGAAACTAAGATGCATAGGTTACATTAATCATTGAGCACACAGCTAAAATATGGCAGTACAAGCATTCAAAATCAGGTGTTGTGACTCTGGGACACTTGTGCTGTCCCAGATAGCTTTGTCATCTGTGACCCGGGAAGTGTATGCAGTTTTGCTACCTGAGTTTTTTATCTATACATCACAGCTCCCTCCTCAACAATCAGTGTCCTCACTCCCTTCCCTTGTCTCCTTATTTCCCTCTCTGTACCCCTGCACAGATCCCATCTGCCTTGGCCCTTGGTTAGTAATGACAGCCAGGGTGCTTCCCACTTGCAAATAGCTTTTCACTTTGATCATTTGCCAGTGGGCCAATATGAAATGTGCAGTTTGTCAGAGCAGGAAAGGAGCCACACACTAGTAGAAGTCAGGGTACAGGCCAGCATTCACTCTCCCCTTTTCCCAAGACGTGTTTGCAGTTGGTTAGGCAATTTAGAGAAAAAGAGAAGATTTGAAATGAAACACAGTAAAATAGAAAAGCAGAGAGATTGCTTCTGAAAGGTGGTTAAATTACCTGGGTCAGTGTCCCCTATGGAAAAGCTAATGGCATCTTCCCTGAGAAAGGTTGTTCTCTTTCTTGCAATAAAATAAGATCTTTTAGGACCATAAACAGCCCTCTTCTGCCCTACCAAGATTACCCGCTCCCCTGTTCTCTCTTCATTTATTGTCAGATGACTGCTCTGCCAGGGCTCCTCTAGCTGTAGTGCTACACTGATGGAGTGATAACTTCATCTATTTCCTTTTATCCAATGTTTTTCACGAATAGACTCTTCAGGCTGGCTCCTTATTATATTGCTAAGATCTCTATCCCAGAACTCTAGTGCTTTCCCTATAGCAAACCGTTATCTGAGAGGCTCTCTGTCATTCTAGGTACAAAAGGTTGAAAATAAAACCCAAATACCCAGATTTCACAAATTTGCATGGTAATTCTTTTGTTTTTCCAATTCACAATAGTCTAAATCTGCACTCCACTTGGCTGCAAGGCATTAGATACCTTTACCAAGTTTCTTTCTTCAAATACTTCTGAGAATTCTAAGGAATGCCTACACATGGCAAAAAATCTGTCCTGATTAGCACTGTCCACCTCAGTCACACTAGGATTTGTGAATTACTGTTTCTACAGTTTGAAATGTAGGTCCTTCTCATCTTTGCATGTGCATTAGTTTTCTGCTCCTGCTATAGCAAATTACCATGGATTTCATGGCTTCAAACAGCATACAATTACAATGTATTTTTTTTTAGGAAAAAAACTATTTATTTTTTAAAAATGTGTTAAACTATTTTATCTTACAATTCTATAGGTTAGAAGTCAAGTACAGATCTTACCAAACTAAAATCAGGTAGCCAGCAGGGCTGCATTCCTTTCTGGGGGCTCTAAGGGACAGTCCATTTCATGCCCATTAGGTTTGTTGCCAGAATTCAGTTCTTTGCTCCTGTAGGGTAGATGTCCCCATGTTCTCGCTGACTATCAGTCAAGAGTCATTCCAAGCTTCCGGAGGCCACTATACTTCTTGATTCCTGGCTTCTTTCTTCCATTTTTAAAGCAAATAATGGTGGGTCTAGAACTTACCACATCACATCTGTCTGATCTACTTTTCCTCTACCACTTCTGAAGACTCAATGATTAGATTGGGTCCGTGTGGATCATTGAAGATAATCCCTCCATCTCAAGGTCCTTAACTTTAATAACATTCACAAATTCCCTTTTACCATGTAAGGTCACATATTAACAGGTTCTGGAGATGAGTGTGTGAATATCTTTGTTGAAGCCATTATTCTATTTTCCACAGCATGAAGAGCCTCTTCATGTTATTCATACATCAGCCCAAATGCCACCCTCTCAGAGGGGCCTTCCTTGATCATAGAACCTGTTTTTTTCACAGTAATGATTATTACTTACATTTATTCCAACTAAAGTGGAAACTCTGTGCAGAGGGAACTTGCTCACTGCTATATTCCAAACATCTGAGTAGTGAATGGTGCAAAATAGCTGCTCAATAAATGTTTATTGAATGAATAAAAGCCAGAATGAATGGAAATGCTTTGAACCTGTCCTGCTTTAGTGGATTATAGTTTGAGCCTTAACATCCTCCTTAAATATTTGCCCTTTCCATGATGGTTCACAGAAAATTTCTTTTTCTTTCTCTCTCTTTTTTTTTTTTGAGATGGAGTCTGTCTCTGTTGCCCAGGCTGGAGTGCTGTGGCATAATCTCGGCTCACTGCAAGCTCCACCTCCCGGGTTCACACCATTCTCCTGCCTCAGCCTCCTGAGTAGCCGGGACTACAGGTGCCTGCCACGATGCCCGTCTAATTTTTTGTATTTTTAGTAGAGACGGGGTTTCACTGTGTTAGCCAGGATGGTCTCGATCTCCTGACCTCGTGATCCGCCTGCCTTGGCCTCCCAGAGTTCTGGGATTACAGGAGTGAGCCACTATGCCCGGCTGGCAGTTGACAGAAAATTTCAACTATCTTCATCAAAACAACTCACTCTACCTGCAGAACAGTGTCCCTAAGTTATCGAATCTGGGAAAATAACACAGAGAAGACATCAGTGGAATAAATAGACTGGGCTTCATTCTTCCCTACCAGGTTCTCTGCAGAAGGGATGAGGATGTGCCTCTGTGCATCTCCTGCCATCACAAGTCTCCGTGCCAAGCCTTCTGTGAGTAACAACAGCTAGCTCATGTATATCTCCCAAGAATTAGCATGTTTGTTGGGGGACAAAGTAGTTTAACACATTTTTAAAAAAGAAACTTTTTTTTTCCTAAAAAAATACATTATTCTGTATATCTAACCATTCATTATCTCGGATTTCTTCTTTGCTTTTTGCTTTGCTTTACTATTGCATAAGCAAACAAACAGAATCTCTCCTATTCCTATAAGAAAATGAAAGTGTTGCCCCAAAAGTAAAATACATTGTTATTTAAAAAGCAGAAAAAAATACATCTAGGTGTACATCAGTATCTACTTCCAAATACACACACACACAGACACACACACACACACACACATGCGCATGTGCGCGCATACACACACAAAGCCTTCTAACCAGAATTTTAAAATCTCAGGCCAAAACTCAGCCAGGGTATGTGTTTACAGGAACACTGATGGAGTACCAAACAAACAGAAAGCATGTCCGGTGCGGGGTACTTTCTATAAAATGTCATTTAATCTTTTCTTGAGCTTACTAGTTAGATATTGTTAATTCTGTGTTATATATGAGTATGTTTTCTGGGCGACATAAGTCAACATGACAGAAGAGAATTTGAGATGCCAAAATTTGGAAATCTAATGCCAAAATCAGTGCTCTCTTTTAGGTCACTCTGTGATCTATTTCTACTCATAATATTTCTGATACAAAACATGCAGGGTTATTTCCTCCCCGACACCAATGAATTATCTGACTTTCCAGACACCAAGTGAGTGCACTACAATTTAATTCAATTCTGACATTAACTCAAGTTAGTAACCACCCCGCAGTTTAAACACTGTCCCACTTCCGATGCCAAATGAAGTATTAAGTGCCCAGGATATCCACACTTCTGTCCAACTAGGCCACAAAATTGGAGGATCCCATGATGCCCTTCTTTGGTTTAATAATTTTGTACAATGGCTGACAGAACTCAGGGAAACACTCCATTTACTGTTGCTGATTTATTATAAAGGATGTTTGTATCATTCTGTTCTCACACTGCTAATAAAGACATACCAGAGACTGGGTAATTTATAAAGGAAAGAGGTTTACTTGATTGACAGTTCCACATGGCTGGGAAGGCCTCAAAATCATAGTGGAAGGTGAAGGCGAATCAAAGTCACACCTCACATGATGGCAGGCAAGAGAGTGTGCGCAGGTGAACTGCCCTTTATAAAACCATCAGATCTCATGAGACTCATTCACTATCACGAGAAATGGGAAAACCCGCCTCCATGATTCAACCAATTCCTACCGGGTCCGTCCCATGACACATGGGAATCATGGGAGCCACAATTCAAGATGAGATTTGAGTGGGGACATGGCCAAACCTCATCAATATTATAAACGACACTAATGAATACCCAGAAGAAGAGTTATATATGGTGTGGTCCGGGAAAGTCCTGAGCAGAGAAGCTTCTTGCTGAAGCACAGGAATTGAATGTGCCACCTTCCGGTGTGAGTTTTATCAACCCAGAAACTTTCTGAACTCCATCCTTTAGGGTTTTTTTTGGAGGCTCCATAATGGGGGCATGATTGATTAAATCATTGGCCGTTCATGATTGAATACTATCCCCAACCCCTTTCCTCTCTCAGAGATCAGGGGTAGGCTGAATGTTTCAACTTTCTAACCACATTGTTGGTTCCTCTTGCAATTAACCCCATCTAGAAACTATATAGGAGCCCACCAAGAGTCAAGTTGTCAGCATAAAATCAGGCATGTAGAAAGGACCTTATTATTAATAATATAAGATGCTCCTATTACCCCTATCACTCAGAAAATTACAAGATTTTAGGAGCTCTGTGCAAAGAATTGAGGATGAAGACCAAATATGTATATTTCTTATTATATTACAATATGAAAGAACCCTACTATCTTATTTATCCCTACACACATATTACCCTTATGTTGTCCATAAAAGCATCTTTTCATAGGCCTACGCTTCTAGAAGAACACAGATAGTCTCTGATTTAAGCTGGTATGACTTATAATTTTGACTCTATGATGATACAGAAGCAATACCTATTCAGTAGAAACTGTCGTTCAAGCACCCATCCAACCATTCTGTTTTTCACTTTCAGTACAATATTCAATAAGTTACATGAGATACTCAACAGTTTGTTATAAAATGGAATTTGTGCTATGTGATTTTGCTCAACTGTAGGCTAATGTAAGTGTTCTGAGTATGTTTAAAGTAGGCTAGGCTAAGCTATACTGTTCAGTAGTTTAGATATATTAAGTGCATTTTTACCTTACATTTTCATTTTACCATGGGTTTATTGGAATGTAACCTCATTGTAAATTGAGAAACATCTATACTCTAATGCTCAAAAATATTTTTCTTGTCTCAAAGCACTGGTTCCTTTAAAAGTTTGATCTCACCAAATAGTCTCTGAGACAAAGACCAGCTACAAAGCACTGTAGCACAGTGGGGACACTGTAGAACTTGAATTCAAATCCTGACTCTGCAAAGTTTTGGCAGTAAGATTGTGGGCTAGATATGGTGCAGTAAAGCCCTTGGGAAAAGGGAGTTTCTTCCTGAAACTAACTTTACCAAGTCTCTACTATGAGCTCTGGACTGCGTCTAACATACTGTTTCAGTCGTTATATCATTCCATTTCATTCAAATTCTCTAAGCATTGGTTTCTTTATCCTTAGAATAGGATTGGAAATTATAGTGCCTTCCTCACTGATGATTGGCAGCAGAGGTGGCATCAATGTGATGCCATTAATATTAAAATAATTTTTTAAATTCAAATTCCTGTGCAAGCATTAGCAAAATCCAAAGTTAAATGATAAAAATATTAACCTGGTTTAAGTACAAAGACATTTAAATCTTGCATAACTAGAAATCCAACAAGGCAGATTCCAGGTGTGGAAAAGAAGACAGACTTTAGAATGTCATCAAGGAGCTGGATTTTTATTGTCTTTGCAATTTTCTATGCTTAGTATTGGTTTGATCTAAGGCTGGTTTTCTTTATGATGTTAAAATAATTTACAGAAGAATCTGTGATCAAGAAATTATTTTTTCGTGTCTAGCCGGTAATTGTATGTACACACTTTCCCTAAGTTTGATTAGGCCAATTTATGTCTCGAAAGCACTGCTGGATGAGAAAGCATTACTATAAAAATACCTTTCACTAATTAACTTGGAGTAAGTAGAGTTTGGGTCACTTTACCCAAATCTCATGGGGGAAAAGGGTCATCTGCAGAAAACTGCAATTCTATTTCGAAGAACACAAACAAATTTTGGGTAGGCAGCAAACAAGTCCATTCGCATGGTGAATCTCTGCCTCCTTTTCCACACTCCTTGCCTCCAAAAGGCAGACTAGTCCTTAATATGGTTGACTGGAGTCCAGGATATTCATTGCCTCCTCGTAGTAATGAGTTGCTTTACTTTTTCACAGATACGAAGACTGACCTTGAGAACAGATCAGATAGTCTTAACTTTTATTTTAATTTCTACCTCAACTCTGATAGATCATCTATAAAGGTGGCCACCAAGTTGCTTCTTGTCTTTGTATTCATGTTCCTTGCAATGTGTTTTGCTGCTCCTTTGATTAAGAGGTAAAATTTTTTTCTCCATGCTGTGAATCTGGGCTTGCCTTGGAGGTTGCTTCAACCAATAAACTGCACTAGGGCCAATGTTGTGAAGCTTCTGAGTCTAACTCTCAAAAGGCATGGTAGCTTTTGTTCTTGCTTACTACCCTGAGTCTACCACGTAAAAAAGCCTGGGTTAATTTCCGTGAGGATGAAACAATACATGGAATGAGAGGTCAAGCCAACAACTGGCATGAACAAATAAATGATTGCTATTTCAAGCCACTATGTTTGGAATGGTTTATTATACAAAAATCGATCACTGTTATATAATCTATGGGTTTGTTATGCAAGAAAGAGGGACCATTAATATGCACACTTATATTAAAGCATAAAGTATATTATATTTAAAATGTGTGCTTATATTTTAAAAAAGAGATAATTGCTTATTTTATATGTTTATTTACAGGATTAGAAAAGAAATAGAGCAGAGGGAATGGAGATAGACTCTAAACATTTTTTATTTGTTGATTTGAATGTAGAGTCATGCAGATATTATATATAATTATATAACAAAATAAAAACTTAAAAGAAATTCTAAAAATCAAAACTAAATGCACATTAACTTTAATTTCTATTCAAAGTAACTTAAAATACAATGAGATGACTGAACACCACTGCAGGAAAAATTAATTGCAAAAAAAACCAGAAACAATAAATAAACACTTTAGACTCTGGATGTTAGGAAAAATAATTATTCCTGTCTACCATTTTGATACCCTATATACTTTTCAGTCTTAGTATTTTTAAATCATTTTATAATTTACAGAAGAATTACAGAGCAGTAGAAAATAGCATTATTAGAAATTTGAACAAGGATTTAAATATAGCAAACCACTTTGCATTAATCATATTTTGGCACACAAACATCATGAACAATATGAGAATGATGTCCCACGGCCTTTTAACAAGAAGGGATGGTCCAGATCCTTGTGACAAAATACGTACTAGTATTGAATGTCTATTATCCCTTTTTGTCTTTAGAAATATGGTGTTTACTCATAAATTCTTGAGTTTGGGAAATTTATCTAGCACATCATCATCTGAAGACCAGTCTGAAATTTCACTTATGCAATCAATTTCACTATCAGTTTCTTTGCATTCATCTGATTTATCTAATAATTGTAAAGCATATTGCTTCATCAATTTTCTTTTTCTGTTATGGAAAAAAGAATTCAGTATTCAATTCAGTATTCAACTGCATTTATTGAAAGCTAAAAGCAGGCTATAAAAATAAGTTCTCTAGTCTTGTAAAATGTCTTGAAAGATGATGCAATACCTTGGGCATTAAGAAAACTGAAGGATGATATAATATCAATGATTTAGTCATTATTGTATCATCTTTCTAGTCAAGGCCATCATTTTTTAAAGTTTTTTAATTGTATAATTGAGGATAAATATCAATATGAGTAATGATAAAATAATTACTAGACTGATGAAATAGCAAACTGTTGTAAGATATAAGAAAAATAAGATTACTGGTATAGATCAATAGGATCTAACATTAAAAATAACATCTACCCCATCTCTACTAAAAATTAAAAAAAAATTTAGCCAGGCGTGGTGGCAGGCACCTGTAGTCCCAGCTACTTGGGAGACTGAGGCAGGAGAATGGCGTGAACCTGGGAGGCAGAGCTTGTAGTGAGCAGAGATCACACCACTGCACTCCAGCCTGGGCGACAGAGCGAGACTCCATCTCAAAATAAAATAAAATAAAATAAAAATAACATCTATACTATCTAACAATGCATCTTAGATATATAAAAGAATCTAATGGATGTATATGGTAATTGCAAAATAAATGAGTTTAATTCTATTTTTTAAAGTAGATTTTCTTTCTCTTTACTTTCTAGTAGATTATTTCAAGGAATTTGTTGAATGAATGAATTCTTGGATAAACAATATACATCTCAGTCTTTGTTCCTCTATTTAATGTCTGTTTTCCCCTTTGTTTACAGTTAAATATATTTTACAAAGAAGTTTGACAAAGGGAAATTGGATGAGGATTTTTTTTCTTAGACTACATCTGCCTTCAAATCAGAATGGCTTTGTGAGAAGCATCTTAGAACCCTAATATTAAATATTCTATTCGAAATACTCCCATTGTTTGGGCCTTTTAAAAAATGAAACCCTTGGCCAGGTGCGGTGGCTCACACCTGTAATCCCAGCACTTTGGAAGGCTGAGGCAGGTGGATCACGAGGTCAGGAGATCGAGACCATCTTGGCTACCATGGTGAAACCCCATCTCTACTAAAAGTACAAAAAATTAGCTGGGCATGGTGGCGGGCACCTGTAATCCCAGCTACTCGGGAGGCTGAGGCAGGAGAATGGCGTGAACCCGGGAGGCAGAGCTTGCAGTGAGCCGAGATAGCACCACTGCAGTCAGCCTGGGTGAAAGAGCAAGACTCCATCTCAAAAAAACAAAAAAACAAAAAAAAAAAAAAAAGAAGAAACCCTCACCCTTATTAGAAAGGTAGATTAGAAACTCAGAGGTTTTTTTTACTTTTATCCAAGTGAGAGGTGACAGCGTGCTGGCAGCCCTCGCTGGCTCTCAGTGCCTCCTTGGCCTCGGTGCCCACTGTGGCCATGTTTGAGGAGCCCTTCAGCCCACCGCTGCACTGTGGGAGCCCCTCTCTGTGCTGGCCCAAGGATGGAGCCTATGCTTGTGGGGAGGTGTGGAGGGAGAGGCGCCAGCAGGAACCAGGGCTGCTCTTGGTGCTCACAGGCCAGCATGAGTTCTGTGTTCCGGGCGGGCAAGGGCTCGGCAAGCCCAGCACTCGGAGCGGCCGGCCAGTTCCACCAGCCCGGGCAGTGAGGGGCTTAGCACCCGGGCCAGCAGCTGCGGAGGGTGCGCCGGGTCCCCCAGCACTGCTGGCCCACCTGCACCGTGCTTGAATTCTCAACCGGCCTTAGTGGCCTCCCTGAGGGGCAAGACTCAGGACCTGCAGCCCGCCAGGCCCAAGCCCCCCTGCAGTGGGCTCCCGCACAGCCTGAGCCTCCCCACCAGGCGCCAACCGCCTGCTCCACGGCACCCTGTCCCATTGACTGCCCAGGGGCTGAGGAGTGCAGGCGCACAGCACAGGACTGGCGGGCAGCTCTGTCTGCGGCCCTGGCTCGGGATCCACTAGGCGAAGCCAGCTGGACTCCTGAGTCAAGTGGGGACTTGGAGAACTTTTATGTCTAGCTGGAGGATTGTATATGCGCCAGTCAGCACTCTGTGTCTAGCTCAGGGTTTGTGGATGCACCGATCAGAACTCTGTATCTAGCTAATCCGGTGGGGACTTGGAGAACTTTTATGTCTAGCTAGAGGACTGTAAATGCACCAATTAGCACTCTGTGTCTAGCTCAGGGTTCATGGATGCACCAATCAGCACTCTGTATCTAGCTAATCTGGTGGGGACTTGGAGAACTTTTATGTCTAGCTGGAGGATTATAAATGCAACAATCAGCACTTCGTGTCTAGCTCAAGGTTTGTAAACACACCAATCAGCACTCTGTGTCTAGCTCAGGGTTTGTAAACGCAGCAATCAGCACCCTGTGTCTAGCTCAAGGTTTGTAAATGCACCAGTCAGCTCTCTGTATCTAGCTAATCTGGTGAGGACTTGGAGAACTTTTATGTCTGGCTAGAGAATTGTAAATGCACCAGTCAGCACTCTGTGTCTAGCTCAGGGATTGTAAGTGCACCAATCAGCACCCTGTTGAAATGGACCAGTCAGCTCTCTGTAAAACAGACCAATCAGCTCTCTGTAAAATGGACCAATCAGCAGGATATGGGTGGGGCCAGATAAGGGAATAAAAACAGGCTGCCCGAGCCAGCAGTGGCAACCAGCTGGGGTCCGGTTTCACAGCTTGGAAGCTTTGTTCTTTAGCTCTTTACAATAAATGTTGCTGCTGCTCACTCTTTGGGTCCACACTGCCTTTATGAACTGTAACGCTCACTGTGAAGATCTGAAGCCAGTGAGACCACAAACCCACCAGAAGGAAGAAACTTTGAACATGTCCGAATATCAGAAGGAACAAATTCCGGACACACCGTCTTTAAGAACTATAACACTCACTGTGAGGGTCGGCGGCTTCATTCTTGACGTCAGTGAGACCAAGAACCCACCAATTCCGGACACACAAGCACTAAAGTAATATAGCCATGTATTTAGCAGTGGCAGACTCAGCTATGTGGGACTAATTAAGAAAAGCAATTATTTTTCTTCATTAAAAAACACACGTATATATGTGAATAGCCCCCTTGAAGACTGCAGAGTTTCTAGGATTTTTTTTATTTGAATGAGAAGTGGTAGAGTTTAATTTCTTAGAGCAGCTATTCTAGATTGGTTTCATGTTTAATGGAATGAGCTGATTACGTCCAAGTGGAGAACCGAATATCTCTAGCCCAAAAGCTATTATGGAAATATTGGATAGAGACCTTGGTAAATTAGATATGAAGCTAAAATCAAACTTAAAATGAATTGTAATCTCGTTCAACACAGGACATTCATGTTGAGTCAGGCACTGATACAGAGAAAACATTGAAACAAAAATCTCTTTTCTTAAGAGATGACTTCTCAGTGAAGAAAAAAAGACATTTATAAAAATAAAAGTGACAGGATATGACAATGGTTGATGTGCACACCAAATTCTACGTTATTCAATATGTTGAATGAATCACCTTAGACTAAGTAAATAGAGTATAGCTTCAGAGAAGAGTTTTTATTTGTTCTAGGACTTCGAGGACATGAAGGAGTTTTCCACCTACCTTAAAACATTTCTACACAGAAGGATTGGAAAAATGAAAAACACGAAGGCCTGGGGCATACCAGGCTTTTGGATAAAGGTAGGATCTCTAAAATGATGTGACCGTGAGATATGTTAAACAAATGTGATCATTTAGTAGGAACAAGGGGTATCTAAAGTAGTGTCCTTGGAGCTGTGCCTTGTGTCTCTATTCTCCACAACTGTTCTGAACCAATTCACTTTGGGAGGCAGCTAGAGGACAATATTGATAGATATCAGTGTGAGCTGAGAGTTGGAACAGAATAGAGAGCATACATGGTAGAGGTCATTAATAGCATCCAATACAACCACACAGTAAGGCAATTCATTATTTGGGGGAACCCAGTTACTTCCTGTTTGGCTTGCTCTTTCACATACAAAATGGTGATTAGGGATCATTCTTAAAAGTCTCTAATTATTAATAAGATATTTAGTGGAGTAATGGCACAAGGACTCCTCGGATGAGCTTGCCACTGTGTAAAGTTCTCATAAGAAGAATGAATATAGGGGAACATGGTGGTCTTCTGCTGATGATCCCCAGTTGTCCATGTAAACCTATGGAACTGTAATGGGAGCGAGAGGGTACAAAATCCCAACACGAATTTGCTGGATATGAATAAACATGGGGTTGAGACCTTATATTTGGAATCAGGAAGTAGCAGTAGTGTTAACAGCAAGAAAGAAGAGAGATATAATTATTGGCATAATCAAATGAATATCTTGCTAGTGTGAAGTGTAGGCCTTAGGATTTTGGCTGCAAGGAGGATTTTTCTGACCAATAATTTCTGACCACAATTGGAGATAAACCAGCCCATTGGTGGTGAACATTTTTATTCATTTTTATTGTGATTAACTACTATGGTTCAATATATACCAAGCACCCAATGCATTGTTCTCAATACATCTTGGTTGAGTAAATGAAAACATTTATGTGTTATACACAGGTATTTTTCATAACAGATATGTTCTATGAAGTCAAGAAACTTGTGCAGTAATTGCAAAACATGGCTGCAAATTTCTCCCAGCCCAGGATGCACACTTCTTTGCAATATGATTTTGCTGCTCCCTTTAAGAGTAGACGGAGTCTGCTTCTTCAGCTGCTTGAATCTATGCTGGCCTTCTGACTTCCTTTGATTAATGGAATGCCATTGATGTAACATTTTAAGAGTTCTGAATTTAGGTCTTAAGACGCTTTGTAGCATCTGCTCCCACTCTCTTGGAACTTAAACCAGAAGCCTACACTAACTTCCTGAAAGACGACTGACCACATGGAGATAGAGCCAGTACATAAGTGAGGTCATTTTAGACTATCCGGCCCCCATCCAGCTGCCAGCTTTTTGCTACCACACGAGTAGTTCTATGAGAGCTCAGCTGAAAAACGACCCACCTGTATCAAGCCCAAATTGCTGGCTCACATATTCATGAGTAAATCATTGTCTTAAGCTGTGAAATTTGAGGGGTGGTTTGTTACATAGCAATATACAACCAATGTAACTTGTTTTGTTATTTACTGCTTTATTTCTAGAGCCTAGTTAACTGCTTGGCAGACAATTAGTCCTTGTCAATTTTTTGTTTATAGACTGCAAAGTTTGCTTCTTATGAGAGTCATACGAGGTAAATATTTTTAGTCCCATTTTGTAAACAAAGAAGAAGTTTAGAGTAGAATAACTGGTCTATATTAGAATGCCAACAGGAAACAGAGTGCACACACAAGTTAGATTAACTTGAGAAGACTTTAGTATAAGGACTATTTACAAAGGTATGAATTGGGAGTTAAATTACCTGGGGATTATAACACGAAATATCATTTTTACTACCCCTAGGCCTGAAGAACAGAGAGAAAACAGCAGTTACCAGGGAGAGGGAGGGAGAGAGAGACAGAGAGAGGGAGGGAAGGGGTGGAGAGAGAGAGAGAGAGAGAGAGAGAGAGAAAGAAAGAGATGCTAGAGAGGCTTCTGATAGGAGTTAATAACATTGGTGGAGGGATTCCCACAGGAAGATGCAGAAATAAATGCCACCTCTCTGTCTCCTCCTGTCCTCTGATTTCTTGCTGATGCCTCTCCTTGGACAAACATAAACAGAAGCAGAGGTCTGAAGGGCCTGTTGAGAAATTCATGTAGTCAGTCCCCTACTCACAGAGTGGGACTGAGAAGTACAGAGAGTGGATCCAGAGAGGAATATGTCAGATACGCATCACTGTGCCTCCAAATCGTTGTCTAACAAGAATCTTGGTTGGTGACCACGCAGATTCTATGCAGCGTGCATTTTACTAGTTGAGTTTAGATATCAGGTTCTTAGAATATGAGAACTGATTTCTAACACTTCTTTTCTAAAAGTTTACAGAATAATTGTCTAAAACCTGTCTGCATGGCACAGAAGTAATTCTGAGACAGGAGAGTTCCCCGGACCCCTTTGTGGGACTTGCAGCAGGGGTGTGGCTTGCTTACTGGGCCACTGTACTCAAACCCCTTGAGGGATGGGGAGCACACAGGCGAGTGGATGCCAGGGCCTGGGTGAGTGCTTTTGGGCTCCAGCCCTGCTGTAGTGTCTAGAGGTGTGTTACAATTAATGCTCTTTTAGCGGTTGCCGTCCACAGATGGTGAAGTGTTAACGGAGAGTCAGGGTGACAGCCTTTTACACTCTGCCCTCTTGGTTGCTGGGTCCTTGTCCAGCATCCAGGAAGAATCGGGTCACATGGACTTAAAGGTCATTGAATGCAGAGGTTTCATTGAGTGATGGAGATGGCTCTCAGCAGGATAGGGAGCTGGAAAGGGGATGGCGTGGGAAGATAATCTTCTCCTAGAGTTTGGCCATCCCCAGCTGAACTCTTTTCCAGCCATCCAGCTGCCTCTTCAACATTCAGATGATTCCTTTCTTTTCTCCTTCTCTGCCATGCCACCCTGCTCCTCTGCCAGTGGAGTTTGGGGTTTTTAAGGGCAGGATGGGGGGCGTGGCAAGCCAGGGTGGTTTTGGAAAAAGCAACATTCGGGCAGGAATACAGGGATGTGAAGTTCTCATTTATGGGTGTGAGCCCAGGCTTGTGGGTGGGGCCTTTGCTGGTAGAACTTCACTCTTCTACCCAGTATTTCCCTGCCTCCTGTCTGTATCAATTCCTTGCTCATTAGCGACTTAATTATTCCCAGAGTGGGGCAGAAGGGTGGAAGATGCTCATCAGGGTAAGAAAGCCATCCTACTGATGTACACTTTTTTTATAGTTATTGTGTGCCTGGTGTTCTTAGGAAGACTGTTCCTTGTGATTGAAGAATATTTTCCTTGATAATTTGATTCTATTTTGAGGAAGGTAAATGCTGTTTGTTTCTTTCTTGTGAATGAAGATGGAAGGGTAGTTGCTACAAGGTTGCAGAGAGAAGCAAGGGGAGAGAGACAATTGTGACACTGTTTACTTCTTTCATGGTTGTTAATTTTATTTCATAAAATGAAAATAGATACAGAATGAGTTTCAATCAAGAAAATAACTTGGCCAGGCCGGGCACAGTGGTTCACACCTGTAATCCTAGCACTTTAGGAGGCTGAGGCAGGCAGATCATTTGAGGTCAGGAGTTCGAGACCAGCCTGGCTAACATGGTGAAACCCCATCTCTACTAAAAATACAAAAAAAATTAGCCAGCCATGGTGGCTGGTGCCTGTAATCCCAGCTACTTAGAAGGCTGAGCCAGGAGAGAATCTCTTGAGCCTGGGAGGCAGAGGTTGCAGTGAGGACATTGTGCCACTGACTGCACTCCAGCCTGGGCGACAGAGTGAGACTACATCTCAAAAAAAAAAAAAAAAAAGAAAGAAAGAAAAGAAGGAGAGGGGGAGGGGGAGGGGAAGGGGAAGCGCTTGGCCGTAGAAGCATACAGACAATTTCCAAGTTTCTGATTGGCAAATGTGGGCAATGTGGTACAGTGAAGAGAGTGCTTGGTTTGGGAATCTAGTCACAGGCTCCCTGCTTAGAGGTATGTCATGATGATACAATTATTTAATCTTTCAATGGTTCCAGTTTCTCATCTATTGAAATACCAAAATTATGACAGCCCCATTTACCCACTTTCCTCAGAGGGTAGGGTGCTCTAACAAACATATAATAACATTTTTATGTATAGTATGCTAAAAAGTACAAAACTTGTTTTTGTCATATTTTTCTTCTCAACAAATGCAAATATTTTCCATTCCCTGGAATAATCAGAGCAAACAAAGGCATGGCTTTGTTTCTTGGAACAAATCTGGTTACCCTGGATAGCCTGTCCCCTGAACTCTGTGTCTGAAAACTGTGCTGTGTGAGGAAAGGTGACAAGTTGGCTACAAAGAGCCTTCCTCTTGGGCAGCATTCCTTTGTGCTGGCTGTCCTGGAAAGCAAAGGGCTGTACCATGTGTAGCCCTCAGGGACCCAACCCAGAAGAAAGAATGTTTGATTCATAGAGTTCCTCTGCCTGAATAATCAGATGGGACAGAGGAGCCTGGCCTGGGTTACGAGATTTATGAAATGCAAAATTCACCAGTGGCCTCTATCTCTTCGTTCCTTTCTAGTGATAGGTTAAGAGCTCAGGTTAGAAGAAATAGAAAAAAAGAAGAGAGCGGTAGGCAAGTTAGGCAGTAATTTATCATGCTTCTGGCCTAAATCCAGATGGATATTTGTACACAGCTCAGTGTCTGCAGTGAAAAGAGAAGCCATATGGGAGTAGGGAGAAGTGTTAAAGTAGGACCAATCAGCGTGGCAGAGACATCACATGGGGATGGCTTCAAGAGGCATTATGTAAGGAAGAAAGTGACTTTTTATTTCTGTCCACAGTGTCTTAGTGTTTCTCAAATAATTAAGATAAATGGATAGAGGTAGAACTAGTCCCAATTCCATTATAGAGGGTCAAAATAGAAAAAAAAATTATAGGAGTTAAGTGTCAAATATATTGAGGGAATCTTTTATTTTGCTTTTATTCTGGTTAAATACACTGCCTAAACTTACTACACATGCCTCAGAGAACCCAGTGAAATAAGCTGTTGCACGTATTGATGTTTCAGGCACACTGTCAGGTCAGTACCTTCTACTATTTGCTGTTTACCTATTTCTTCATCGTATATCTTGTCCCATCCCAGTTCTAAACACGTGTG
Source organism: Homo sapiens (assembly GCF_000001405.40). Lineage (NCBI taxonomy): Eukaryota > Metazoa > Chordata > Mammalia > Primates > Hominidae > Homo > Homo sapiens. Next base: position 42,337,530 of record NC_000011.10, on the reverse strand, counting down.
TGTGTGTGTGTGTGTGTGTGTGTGTGTGTGTGTGTTGTGGTGGCATGTGGTTTCCTGATATTTGGAGGCTGGCTTCCCCATAGAAACATGGAATTATCTCACCTCCCATCTTTCACATCCTCTGTAGCCTCAGGGTACATTCCCCACATTTTGCTCTAATTCTGTGGATTCTAATCCCTGATCGTGGCTAATTTAATGACCTGGCACAAATCTGATTCCATTTATGCAAGATATAAGACACATTTAACTTCTGAAACTATTATGACTTGTTTTTTATGGATGGTTTCAGATTTTTTTATCTTATTTGGAAAAAAATTCAGAGCATGTCTTAATCAGACGAGGCTTCTATATCAGAATGCCATATGCTGAGTGGCTTAAACAACAGAAATTTATTTCTCACAGTTTCTGGAGTCTGGAACTTTAAGATCAAGATGCCAACAGATCTGGTGTCCGGTGAGGGCCTGCTTCTTGGCTTGCATATGGCCATCTTCTCACTGTATCCCCACATGGGGGAGAGCAGAGGGATAAGAAGTAAATTCCCTTGTACATTTTAATAGGGGTATTAATCTCATTCATGCGGTCTCCACCCTCATGACCTAATTACCTCCCAAAGTTTCCACTTGCTAATAGCATCGTATTTGGGGGTTAGGATTTCAACATGTGAATTTTTAAGGGATTCAAACTTTCAGTTCATAGTAACACATAACTTTCCTTTGCATGAGGAAAAATGTAGCTGTGATATACTTGTTTGGGACAATGTGGTTCTAAGAAATTGGCCTTCTGTATATTTTGCTTAAGGCTTCATAGACCTCAGCTTGGGGAAGATTCTTGCTGTTTTTTCAGTAAAATGATTGTAGAAGGATAATAAAAGAGCAACAACAACAACAGCTGCTTGTTTAATAAGCACCCACTAGTTAGGTCAGGCACTTAGTGTGTGTGTACATAGAGGTGTTAATGTATGTATATTTGCATTTGTACGTATATGTGTAATTTGTGTAATTCTCCAAAAGAATAACTCAGAAATTTATTTAGAAAATAGCAAAATTGATACAGAGAAAAGGGAGCTCGATCATGTATAGACCGTCTCAATAATGAAAAGCAAAGGCAGGGCTTACAAATATTCTAGCTGTGAAATGTACATGATGTGCCTGAGGCTGTGCAATGGTGATCAGCAGATAAGTTAGTCTTTACACCATTTTCTTTTTTGGTTCTCTTTTTGATCAAACTTTGTTACCGTAAGAGCTAAGTTATCAAGAGGACTTCAATGTCTTTTTGATGCAGTAACATCAGCTGGGTATTGGCTCAGGTAATGAATTGCTAAGAAGGCTTTAGGCATCATTTCTCATCCAGGATGGAGGATTTCCTTGTATTTAGTGAATTAAGAAATATTTGTTGATTACCTATTAAATTTCATGGTTATGCGAAATCATTCATGAAGAAGCATAAGGAAGGAAGAAAGTCTTTCACTGAAGAATGTGTAGGAAATCATAGTTGGATTAAGTGCCAATAATGTCTAACTTCCTAAATGTTGATTTTTTTTGCCCCAGCCAATCACATGGCATGTCAGCATCATTTTCTTTAATCAAATAAGTTACATTTCTATTATCTGGTGACAAACTTTTACCAAAACTTCATTATGAGAAATAGTAGTAATTAGAGATAAGTAGAAAGAGAGAGTGAGAGAGTAAGGAAAGAAGAAAGAGAGAAAAGAAGGAAGGAAAGAAGGGAAGGAGGAAAAGAAAAAGGAAAATAGATTATACATCATCTACTACATTTGCATTCTATAATGTTTCACGTGAGTGTGCATTATCTTAATCACTCACTAAGTTTTTGTTATGAAATTATGCTTCAATAGCATCCTATTGGCTGTTTTTGTGTGTCTTCACAATTAAATGCTGTATCTGTATCATGTGCATATATTTTTGTAAATCAACCTGTATATAAAAGTCTGTATGAAACATAACATTTAAAATTTACTATTGGGATTTTTTTTGCCCCTGAAATTGGCAGAAATCACACTGTGTAATAATTTTATTTGTTTCTTATTGGGAAACTCTGAGATATAGTTGATGATACTATACCGGCCTTCATGTTAAGCATATTTATTTCTGGGACTTTTGTTTTCATATTCATAATTTTTTAAAACTTCTCCCATGTGTTCTGTGTTATGAGCTACCTCTGATTATTTCTGTAAAGATGAGATGAATAGATGATAGGTAGGTAGATAGACCAAAGGATGGATGGATAGACAGATTAGATTAAATAGATAGAAAATAATATGTTTAGGCTTTGTGTTTCCTCCAAATCTTATCTTGAATTGTATTCTCCGTAATCATCACAAGTCAAGGGCAGGACCAGTTAGAGGTTATTAAATCACAGGGGTGGTTTCCCCCATGCTGTTCTCCTGATAGTGAGCGAGTTCTCACAAGATCTTATGGTTTTATAAGTGTCTGGCATTTCCCCTGCTTTCACTAACTCCATGCTGCCACTCTGTAAAGAAGGTACCTGCTTCTCTTTTGCCTTATGCCATCATTGTAAGTTTCTCAAAGCCTCCCCAGCAATGTAGAACAAAGCTGAGTCAATTAAATATCTTTTCTTTATAAATTACCCAGTCCTGGATATCTCTTCATAGCAGTGAGATAATGAATTAATACAGTAAATTGGTACAGCAGAGAGTGGGGTGCTGCTATGAAGATACCTGAAAATGTGAAAGCAACTTTGGAACTGGGTAAGAGGCAGAGATTGAAACAGTTTGGAGGGCTCAGAAAAAGATAGGAAGATGTGGAAAAGTTTGGAACTTCCTAGAGACTTGTTGAATGGCTTTGACCAAAATGCTGATAGTGATATGGACAATGAAATCCAAGCTAAGGTGATCTCAGATGGAGATTAAGAACTTTTTGGGAGCCACAACAAAGGTGACTCTTGCTATGCTTCAGCAAAGAGACTGGTGGCACTTTGCCCCTGCCCTAGAGACCTATGGAATTTTGAACTTGAGAGAGATAATTTAGGGTATTTGGCGAAAGAAATTTGTAAGCATCAAAGCATTCAAGAGGTGAATTGGGTGCTCTTAAAAACATTCAGTTTTATGCATTCACAAAGAGATGGTTTGGAATTGGAACTTTTGTTTAAAAGGGAAGCAGAGCATAAAAGTTTGGAAAATTTGCAGGCTGATGATGAGCTAGAAAAGAAAAACCCATTTTCTGAGGAGAAATTCAAGCCAACTGCAGAAATTTGCATGTGTAATGAGAAGCCAAATGTTAATTACCAAGGGAATGGACAAAATATCTCCAGGGCATGTCAGAGACTTTCACGGCAGCCCCTCCCATCACAGGCCCAGAGGACTAGGAGAAAAAATGGTTTCGTGGGCCAGGCCCAGGGCCTTGCTGCTTTATGCGATCTTGGGACTTGGTGCCCTGCATCCCTGCCATGGCTAAAAGAGGCCAACGTACAGCTCAGGTCATTTCTTCAGAGGGTGCAAGCCCCAACACATGGTGTTGGGCCTGTGGGTACACAGATGTCAAGAACTGAGGTTTGGGAACCTCTGTCTAGATTTCAGAGGATGTATGGAAATGCCTGCTTGTCCAGGCAAAAGTTTGATGCAGGGGCAGAGACCTCCTGAAGAACCTCTGCTAGGGCAGTGCAGAAGGCATATGTAGAGTCAGAGCCCCCACAAAGAGTCCCCACTAAGGCACTGCCTAGTGGAGCTGTGAGAAGAGAGCCACTGCCCTCCAGACCCCAGAATGGTAAAACCACAGACAGAGTGCACCTTGTGCCTGGAAAAGCCAAAGACACTCAATGCCAGTCCACGAAAGCAGCCAGGAGTGGGGCTGTACCCTGCAAAGTCACAGAGGCAGAGCTGACCAAGGCCGTGGGGGCCCACCTCTTGCATCAAAGTGATCTGCATTTAAGACATGGAGTCAAAGGAGATCCTTTTAGAGCTTTGAAATTTGCCCTGCTGGATTTCAGATTTGCATGGGGCTTGTAGCCCTTTCATTTTGGCCACTTTCTCCCATTTTGTATTTACCCAATACCTGTACACCCATTGTATATAGAAAGTAATTCACTTGCTTTCAATTTTACAGGCTCATAGGCAGAAGGGACTTGCCTTGTCCCAGATGAGACTTTCGACTTGAACTTTTGAGTAAATGCTGAAATGAATTAAGACTTTGAGGTACTGATGGAAAGCAATGATTGGTTTTGAAATGTGAAATGGACATGAGATTTGGGAGGGCCAGGGGCAGAAAGATATGGTTAGGCTTTGTGTCCCCACCCAAATCTCATCTTGAATTGTAATCCCCATAATTCCCACACGTCAAGGCAGGACCAGGTGGAGGTAGCTGAGTCATGGTGGTGGTTTCCTCCATGCTGTTCTTGTGATAGTAAGTGAGTTCTCACAAGATCTGATGGTTTTATAACCCTGCTTTTACTCACTCCATGCTGTCGCACTGTGAAGAAGGTGCCTGCTTCTCCTTTGTCTTCCACTATGATTTTAAGCTTCCTGAGGCCTCCTCAGCCATGGGGAACTATGAGTCAATTAAACCTCTTTCCTTTATAAATTACCCAGTCTTGGGTATTTCTTCATAGCAGTGTGTGAGCAGACTAATACAGATAGATAGATAGATAGATAGATAGATAGATAGATAGATAGACAGATAGATTTGTAGATACCTGATTATGATCATCAATAATTCATTCCTGAAAACCAGAATTTCTGCATGAAAACAGCAACCGGGAATTAATTTCTCCTTATTTTAAATGGAAAAAATATGTTAACATATCAACTCAAAATCTAAAACCATTTTCTTAAAATGTAACTAAAACAAACTACTGTATGTAAACCTCAAACTATGCTATTAGGATATAAGTTGCTGAAAACATCACTTTTGGGTCACCAATGAATTGATAATACTAAAATTTGCTTTTTTGTGCAGCAATATCTTTTCTTCTACTGTAATTTTCTCCTTCACTTGATTCTTTCTCCACAATTTTCTTTAAAAATATTAATATTTTTTAAATTAATTTTTGCAGGGCAGTTATTGAACAATGTCAGGCAAAAAACAAGTGTTAAGCATGAAAGGCACTGTAGAAATTCATTCAGAGCAAGATCACCATGGAAGAAAATGGCTCATACTGAGTATGACATTGTGATGTCTTTCTTAGCATCAGCAACATTGAGATGCACATCCCATTTGTTGATGATCAGAGTTCTTTTCAAAAAGTCTGCCCATGTTTCTGACATTCAATCAATTGAATCTGGAATGTAACTTATAACCTTTACTGCACATTCTCTTTGTATTGCATACTGTTTTTTCACATGTATTTAGAACTGGGAAAGTAGATATAAATTTTTCCTAGGTATATTACGGAAAAAATGGTGTGTCTAGAGATAAGTGAATTCTATAAAGTTAGGCATTAAAACACAAAAAGCATTCTAGAAGAACAAAATCAATGGAGAGAGTTTTGCCCACTATGCCTTTATAATGTGATGCAGTTTTCAGAACTGTAGTAAAGATTGTTTTAATGGAACATGTCATGGTGGACTTGGAGAATGTAGATGAATGTTGTGCTTAGTTTTGAGCAACTCAGCTCAAGCAAATCAGAAGAGGGGAAAGGGTGTATCCAATGCCAGAATAAAAAATAAAAATCTGTTTAGAGTCACCTTATATCATTAGAGTATGTACATGTCATTGGTTTTAGATGTGTTAGATATTCATCTGCTTGTTGTACATATTTTTATGTTGCCTTCTATTATAGTAAGTGCTGGTGGTTTTCCATTTACTAGCAACTTTTTATTTTAAATACATATTCATTTAAATTAAGTAAAATAATCTAAGTGACATGAGAATGAGACAAAGACTAAGAAGATATTATATGAAGAACTAAAGTTTGGTAGCCATTGGAGTTGTCTCCCACTAACTATTATGTGAACTTGATTGGGCTATTTAATGTTTTTGAGTCTTATTTTTCCATCTATAAAATTAGCATAATTACACTCACTCTAAGGTGATTTTTAAACATGTGTATTAATTGAGCTTTCCCTAAACACAGACAATGAGACAAAGTCTTGAGTGTGATCAATGGAAATGCAAGTGAGAGAGTCAAAGTGAGCTGGGGAACTAAAAGAAAGTATGTATGTGGGTTCAGGGCAACTGGGGAATAATTGCTCTGGAAACCCCTGAAGAAACCACATGAGCATATTACAAAGATGTCCCAAAAAAGGATAGGAGGTTGGGACACTTTTGCATATTATTCTATTCCCCATGCTTTTAATTCTTCCTCCCCTTTGAGTTTGCACCCTCATATATCTGAGCAATCTCCACATGGTCCCATTAAAAAATCTCTAGTAAGAGATGCCTAGAGATGCATGCACTTGAGGAAGGGCACTGTCATTATTCCAGAAACTGCTTATTACAGATGCAAGCAAACTCATTGGGATGAGTGGATTGGGCAACAGCATCAACAGTATCTAATATAGGCACTTACATCATTCCTATTTTCTTGTACCCCCCTATTGATTCCACATGTTCACTGAAGCTTAAATGTGGTGGCCAAACACAAAATATAAAAAATGTCTTTAAATATGGATAGTTGTGATAAAGACTAAAATTCCCCATACTGTACCTGGTCCTGAGGCCATAATTTATATTAATCAAGTTTCTCCATTATCATCTATTCGACATTCCCCTCACCTATGGCCAATATTTTCACCAGCCTGATTTGCTTTCCTGGTGGCATGGCCTAAACCTTCACTTTTGAACATTTGCTCCCCTGCTTACAATGTTTTTATCAGGCTATGGTTGCCACATTTTCATTTATAGCTACCACTGGTCATAGAAACATCAAGAAGCTCCCCAGAGAATACCATGAATTATAGTCATATTCCTCCATACTCACATTATGTAACAGTTAATTACATTATTCGTGCAAGCAAAGTTTTGTTATCTTTTGGAAGTGTAGTACCTTTTCTGTTCTGTTGACATGAGGAGTCTAAAATAACTAGAAATCAGTATTAGTTTTTGGTTCAGTAAACTCTTAATCTATCTCCTGATGAAGTTATCCCCAACCTGAGCAAGTGACCTTTAATCCAGCAAAAACTAACTTTGTGGTCTGTTAGTTTCCTAGGGATGCTGTAACAAAGCACCACAAAATGGTTGGTTAACAACCACAGGAATTTATTTTATCATAGTGCTGGAGGCTGGAAAAATCAAAATCAAGGTTTTGGATGGGCCATGCTTTCTTGAAGTCTTTAGGAGACAATCTGTTCCATGCTTTCCTCTTAGTTTATGGTGTTGCCGGCAGTCCTGGGCATGCTCTCGCTTGCAGCTGCATAATGCCAATCACTATATCTCTTGTCACATCGTGTTCTAATGACTTCATCTTAATTACATCTATAAAAAAAGACGTTCTTTCAAAATAAAGCCACATTCCCAGATACTGGGGCTTATGACTTTAACATATCTTTTTTGGTAACACAATTTCAGGATAGTACACTTTTTCCAAGTTAGTCACTGTGAATGACGATGAAATAGGCCAATACTACTTAATGGCTGTGGATCAAAGCATATGCTACATTCTAGTTGTATTAGAGCATTCTTCCACTGTTATAAATACCTGAGACAAGATAATTTATAAAGAAAATAGGTCTAATTGGCTCACAGTTCTGCAGGCTAAAAGGAAGCCTGGTATTAACAATTGCTTGGCTTCTGGGGAGGCCTTAGGAAACTTACAATCTTGATGGAAGCCAAAGGGGGAACAGGCATGTCAGATGGCTAGAACAGAAACAAGAGAGAGAGGACAAGTAGGAAAGTGCTACACACTTTTAAACAACCAGATCTGGTGTTTTCACCCACTACCACAAGAACAGCATCAAGAGGATGATGCTAAAACATTCATGAGAAATCCACTACCATAATCCAATCACCTCCCACCAGGCCCCACCTCCAATATTGGGATTACAATTTGACATGAGATTTGGGCAGGGACACAGATCCAAACACATCACTAGTGTTCCAGCCCTTCAGCGTATTATTCTCAAGATGATTCCTTAGCTAAGTCTTTAAAAAGGCATTCAGAAGTCCAACCAATATAACAGTGTTCAAATAATGCTGTGTATCCCACGATCTATTAACTCCATGGGCATGTGCCTTTTATTGCACCTTCTTAATCATGAAATTGTTCCATTAGTCTGAAGCGATGTTAGATGACACCAGTAATTTAAGTACTCTGAGTCTTTGGATGATACTGCTGGCCTAGGAAATGTGGACAAGGAAGGAAAGCTTATACATGAAATAAATAATAATTCCTGTAGAGCTGCAGCTCCAGGATTCATGGGACCCAAGTAAACAACTTTACCAAGCAGCTTGTTGGTCTCAAGAGATCCTATCCTATAAAGGATCATTGCATATTTTTGCTACTGACATGCCAACAGTGACAGTTCTAGATCAACCTCACTGGGTGGAAGTTCATGCTAATGGATCAAAAAATAGTCTCCATTCTTGTCACCATTGTCATTTTGTTTATTTGCCCTTGTGCAAGCATTAGCATGTTCATGGATGGAGGCTGCCTAACTCTGGATAAGCCATCTCTTCTTCAATACCTCACCTGAGGTCAATGCTTTCTGATGGGCTTTGAAACAAGATATGATCTGCACCATCTATGCTTACTCTCAAAAGCCTATCCACATTAGTTTTTCCCAAATTTTATTGTATCTCATCTTGTTTTGCTCATTCCAGAGCCCTCCATGTCATATAAGCCATTGTTTCTTACACAATTGTTATGTATGCCTAACTTGGACCACATCTTCCTCTATATTAGGTGTCAGGCTAGATAATATTTTAGGCTTTGCAGACCATATAGCTTTTTGTTGCAACTATTCAACTCTGTCACTGTAGTGTGAAAGCAGCTATAGACAATATGGAAACAAATGGTGTGACTATGTTCCAATAAAACAATTTACAAGACTGGTAGTTGACTAATTTGACCCTTGGGCCATTGTTTGCTGATCTATATGAAGAAGTTGACCAAATTTACCACTTAATGCTCTACAGATTGGGAGGATTTTCTCTCTGTAGAGCCTGTGGATGAGGCTATAAAATGAATGTAGTTAATTTTTGCTCACAGTGGTATTTCAAGCTGGCCCACCCATGAACCAAGCCTGGTTTACTTCCTGTGTCAGCTGGGCTTAGGAGACTTCCACAGGTTCATAGTGTAATATGAGGGAAAGGTGCTGATACAGTATAGGCAGGTGATAATGGCATGTAGATTCATTTTGTCTCTGGACCCGTTCAGTTCTAATGTCAAATTTACTCTTTCTATCATATCATAGATTGTTTTTGTGTTTCTGCATTCATCTGACTTTATAAATTGGTGATTCTGAAAATACTCAATACATGGCAGGTAGCTGCATTTTCTTAGCTATTTTATTTTCCATGCTGTAGCACTTAGTCTCTACTAAGGCCAAGTAGCATTCTAGGAACAAGTTTTCAAATGATAAGTTCTGCTGAAGAAGGCATTGCCTTGCTCTGGAACACTGGGGAACTTCACTTATATTTACAAGACAGACCATACATGCCATCCTTGTCTAGCACAGGCAATCTAGAACCAAGGTATTTCCTATGAATTGAGCTGTAGGACGCATTTACTACAGCATAGTTCTGATACAAAATCTGTTTTTTTCCTTTTTTTTTTTTTTTTTTTGCTTTGGAAACCACTCTGCCTCTGAAATCTGAAATGGTTCAACAAGCACTATGCCTCTTCCTTAGTGGTAGAAGATACAAGGCACAGTAACGTTTGCATTACTTTGGAAGCAATGTTCTAGCATATTTTACTTCTGTTTTAGTACAGTTTCTGCTGCTATATCAGAATATCACAGATTGAATAATTTATAAAGAGTGGAAATTTATTTGGTTCATGATTCTGGAGCCTGGGAAGCCCAAGAGCATGGCGCCAGCATGTGGGAAGACAGAAACAGGTGCGCAAAACAGAGAGAAATGGAGCCCAAACTTGTCCTTTTGTCAGGAGTCCACACTTAACGATAACCAACCCAATCCCATGATAATGACATTAATTCATTTATGAGTGCAGAACACTTATGATCTAATTACTTCTTAAAGGCCCCACCTCTCAACACTGTTGCACTGAAGATTAAGTTTCCAACACATGAAATTTCGAGGCACACATTAAAACCATAGCAATCCTAAAAGTTTCACAGTCCCTTGTGTCTCTGTAAGGTTTGTATTATATACTCCTACATGCATGTGTCATTAACAGGGCACTTTAAGTATTTGCCGTTTTTTTCTTTACTGGGTTCAAATACTATGATATTTCAGATTAAGTTCTCGAGGAAGGAGATTCTGAGATTGAAATTTAGTATGCAGGAGGTTTATTAGGAAATGCTCTTTGGAACAATAGCATAGACAGGAAATGAAGAAGGCTGATTGGTCAGAAGATGATGAGCTATGATGTAGTTTGAGATGTCATGAGACTCTGGAGCTGAAAATAACCTTATTCTTTAGAACTCTCCCCAAATTAGATGAGCTGGTTAGGCCTTCATACTCCAACACTGGTCTGTCATTGGAAACAGGCCACCTCAGGAAGAGGCATAAATCAGGCTCTGGTGGCTTTATTTAGCAGGGGCAATCCACAAGGGGACTGAGAGCTGAGGGTTATTTGTTGGCAGTACTTCAGACACTGAAAAAAAATAAATCCTTCATTCCTGCAATGGATTTGATCCATTTTTACAGTCACTTTATTAATATAGAGTACCCAGTGAGATGTTCTACTGACTATCAAAGAAATCCGAGTGCCTTTGGACATTAAGAGAGAGCTGAACAGTTAACATAGCCATTGTACAAGTGAGTAAATGTGAAATGCTGATATTTCCAAATGAATGAAAGCTGCGTTTGATCCTTGTTCCTGTTGAGGATTGAAAATAACACATTTGTCAGATCCATGACCCCATACCTAGTGCTGGAGCTTATGTTGTTCTATTAAAGATATCATATCCAACAGAGTAGATGTGATTGGGGCTGTCATTCAGTTTTTTTACGGTGATGGTGGCCTTAATATGCTATGATTCACATATTTCTTGAAGAAGCCATTCCAATGAATCAAATTAGGATATATTGGGAACCCCCAATGCCTAATCAAATACTTTAGGATAGAACTAATCTCTGCAAGTTCACCTATGCTGCATATTGTTTCTGATTTACTCACTTAAACAGTAAAGCAGTTTCAGAGACTTTCACGGGGCTCTTCCCACCAATTTAAGTACACAAGTACTAGATTAAAAAAACACAAAGTTCTATGGGCTCATTGGACTTACTGTGAGAGAGACCTGAGGCAGTGTTTTATGTATCATCTGGGATCTATAGATCTTCACTCTAACAGGGAGTTATGCTAGCATTGCAGATCTCCTGGTTGTCACTTATCAAATCAGCCCATTTCTGACAACCCTAAAATGATTTTTAAAAATTCCCTTTACGCTAGTGTACATTTACACTGCAGAATGGTCACAGGACCCCTGGGGCAATCTTTGGGAGAATACTTTATATATATGTTTGTGGTGTCATTGCAAAGTCCTCCTTCAAGAAAACCCAGGTTTTCTTCAGTAGGTGAATTCTGGGTTTCAAAATGGCACAGATCTAGAAACTTGGTGAGAGATCATCATTTTCACTGCTGGGACTGACATAGACTTCTGTTTACCAGCCCTTGATATAAATCCGGAAGCTCTTTGTTGGCTGTTCACCTATTCATCTCTAGGAATCCCATAGCTCATTAGTTATTGCAATGATTCCCCGAGTCCCAAGGTTTGCTTGTTTCCAGTTTTACTGCTTAATATAGTAATTATATTCTCCTTGTCTTAGAAGGCTAAGTGCCATCACCTTGCTTCTGTTCTCCCAGAGTCCTACCATCCCCAATGATACCAGTAAACTTAGATACATAGCAGCACCTTCTATAATTAATCCTGGTATACAAAGGACAGTCACCACGACACTTCTCAATGAATTTATCACCCTTCTCTCTACTAGTGTATTCTTATTGTTTTAATGAATGAAGTTATCTCTGAACCCTCTGAAGAAACATCATCAGTTGATAGATGTTTTGTTTCACATAATCAACCAATTTTAATATGTGCCTCTCTGATATCTCCTAAGTTCTACACCAATTTATTTGAGGGCATGTAAACCCCATTTTCTGCAGGTCACTCTCCTGTTTAAATAAGAGCCATCCCTTTTAATGTTTGAACCAGCTCCAATTGTCCTTGCCAGAATATTGAACCACAGTTATGGGAGAGCACTCCCATACTAATAAGCTCCTCCATCCAGCCTCATATTCCACATCTTTAAGACCCACTCCCCCAAGTGTCTCGCTAGTCTTATTTGTACGTACTTTCCAAATCCTGTAGTTCTTTGGGTAAATAAAACATTTGCTACCAAAGCAAAACTTTAATTATCTGTGTTATTCTGAGGGCTGATTCTAGTTATTAGTCTAGAGGCAATGAAAGAAAGCATGAATAGATGTTGAGAAAGTCATACATCATTTTGTGAGACACACACCTTATGTAAAGCTATTGCATGTTCCTAATTGGACTTTCACGTTAGCACAGGAGAGATACCAGTGTACTGTCTTCTATTTAGCTCTGCTATACTTAAGATTAAATTCTTGGCCAGACACTCCAGCTATAGGGAATGGAGATCTCTTTGAATTCTAACACAGATACCTCCTGGTTTTCACTGAGTACCTTGAGTGAATAGTTAATTGACCTATTCTTGCCATTGTCTTTCTTCAGCATTCTAGGAAAGTTAACGAAAGTCAGTTTACCTATAAATAAATAGACATGTATGTGTGTATTTACCATTTCCCCAATATCATTCAAAAATTAGAGCTATTGCACAAACTAATACATCTCTTTCTACCTTTACCTAATCCTTAATTAACCAAAAGTGGAAGTTTTAGTAATCAGCTTTCCAGATACCACCACCCCACTTAATACCAGAAATGGGGCCCATTGACTAATAATTGATTCAATTCCAGGATATCATCATAAGAATTTGCTTTTAAGAACCTTCTTAGTACCAAGAGTCAAAGTTTGAGTTCCTCTAAAAGCAGACTCTGGAATAAGGACATGGGCATATATAGTTTATTTCTGAGATGATGCTATGAAGTGTACATGTGAGAATGGGTTAAGTGAGAGAAGAAAAGGAGTAAATCCAATAAAATATGTGTTCATGTATAGATGTATTTGTTATCTACTGTCATGTAACAGATTACCCCAACACTTAGTAATTTAAAACAGCAATAAATGTTTGTCCTATTCACATGGGGTTCTCATTTGAGCTTGGATTGGTGGTTCTCGGTGGTTTTGGTTCTGAGGTTCTCATGAATTTAAATCAAGATGCGGGCCAAGGACATAGTCATCTGAAGGATTGACTAGGGATGGTGGATCTTCTTTCAGGGTAGCTTAGCCACATGGTTGGTATGCTGATGCTGGCTTTTGGGAGGAAGTCTCAGTTCTTCATCATATGTACCTCTCCATAGGACTGATTAGATAATTTCATTAAATGGCAACTGGCTTTCCCCAGAACAAGTGATACAAGAGAGGCCAATGCTGAAGCCTTGATATCTTTAATGACATATGATCAAAAGTCACACAATATCACTTCATTAGTATCCTGTTGACTACACCAATCAGCCCTAATTAACATGAGAGGGGAATATAGAGAACATATTTACCAAGAGGCAAGGGTCATTAGGAGCCATCTTCAAGGCTAGCTGGCACAGTGAGTCATCCCTACAAGAAATGATGATGCCTAAATTCGACTGGGGAATTCTGAGAAACTATGTCTCTATATCAGTCCCAAGATTTCTGGAGTGCTGGGATGCTGGGGTGTTTACTTACAATCTCCCATTTTTTTTTGTTAGCTGTCCCTGGGGCTTTAACTTGCTCACATTTCTCGGCTGCTCTCGGGTGCAGGAGAGAGACTTCGCAGGCAAGGAGGCACATGTTTCTGAGGTGGGGAGATATCAGCATATTAAAAATTATCTACAAAGACTTCAGGAAAATGTAGCCATAGGCTTAAGGGATTTGAGATGGGGCATCAACAGCATCTCGGAAAATAAATGTGACATACCTGGAACTAGAAAAAAAAAAGTATATTATTATTGCTTTTATTATTATTGTTACAGTTGATTCTTATTATTTGTGGTAGCTGCATTCTATAAAGTTACCATGAACATTCGTGAACATTGACTTAGCCAATACTGGACCATTGCTCCTAGGGTATATACAGAGTTAGTGTCCTGCAAACTTGAGCTCACATTTTTGTCAACTGATCAATACATAACCATGTTTTGTATGGTTCTCTATTGAAAGACACCCTATTTAAAATTACCGTTGACTCACTAGCATTGGACTAATGGCCAACAGCTCTATACTCATGCCTGAATGAAGCTTTTTAACACACACATATATTCTCTATGAAGTGTTACACAGCCTTCTTGCACTTAGGTACACTAGACAGCAATTAAGCACGATGCTTAATTAACCAAAAGTGGGGGTTTTAGTAGTCATGATATCATAACAGGGGGCCATTTTAAGCACCACCAACAAGGACAAAGATGTAAAAAACAAAGAACTAAATAGGCAATGGAAAGGACATATTTACAGTGTGAAAGCTGAAACAATAGGGCAGAGCACCACCTTGTTGGACCTCAGCTGGGAATGCATATCTTGGGTTATTCTGTGCTTTTTTGCTACTCTGTGCATGTTCCTGAATGCCCATTGAAGCACTGTGAGTATTGATTTGGGAGTTACAAATAAAATTCAGAGAGCAGGAGAATTTGTAAATATGGAATCAATGAATCATGAGGACCAGCTATAATAGTAGATACTTGACCCTGTTAGCCATATTTAGAAAGCCCTAGCTGTAGATATTTTATAAAAAGGCCGTGGCTATAAAGATATTTTATAAAAGTACTTACTAATTGCTTACTATAAGCTAGTCACTATTTCAGAGGCTTTATCTGTATTTTATTCTTGAAACTGTGAAGTAAGTCATATTTTATATTCATTTCCAGACGTGGTAACTAAGTCACACATCATGAATGGAAAACTAGATTTTAAATATGGACAATAAAGCTTCACACTGGTGTAGCAGGTGCTGCAGTGGCCAACTTGTGTTGCCAACTGATTGTCCACAACTGAGTAGTCCCTTTCCAGGAAGTACTATACAGCAAAAAGTGACACCTTGCCTAAGGTTATGCACCCTTCCCAAAAGCTGTTTGCATCCAATGACTGGTCAGAGTAAAGATAGAAAGGCTCAGTCCTCTTACCTCAATACAGAATATCATTGAACTTTCTAGAGCCCCTGCTCCTTCTGTGATCAGCTGAGGCCTCAGTTGCAAACACATCTGAGTTCAACTTCTCTCTGGCCCATCCATCTTCTTCCCTCACTTCCTTGTAGGTATTGTTCTTGAGAATACTCCCTAAGAAATGACCTGTGTACACAGATCTCCATTTCAGTTTCAGTTTCCTGGGGAACCAGTCAATGACAGTACAAGTGGAGAACACATCGTATTCCACTTATTACCTCCATGGGTAGATTATTTGCTAATTTTATAAAAATAAAGTTTAAAACTATCCTCAAAATTAGGATGTCCATTTCTGTCTAGACACATTCAAATGTTTTTCAACATTTTAAAATAGATTTTGCTATCTGCAGATCTCACATAATGTGCTGGGATGCTTCATAAATTCCAGTCACTTTTATGATTCTATGTCCCAGGTCTCTCAAACCTACCATAGCATCAGTACTTGGGCCAGGCATTTGAGGTTGACTAATGGAAGACAACTGTGTTTAGCTGTCCAGCTTCTGAGTGATCTGTGCAAAGCTGCCTTTTTTTTTTTTTTTTTTTTTTGAGAGAGAGAGAGTCTTGCTCTGTTGCCCAGGCTTGAGTGCTGTGGCACAATCCCAGCTCGCTGCAACCTCTGCCTCCTGGGTTCAAGTGATTTTCCTGCCTCAGCTCTGGAATAGCTTGACTACAGGTGTGCACCACCACGCCCGGCTAATTTTTGTATTTTCCATAGAGATAGGGTTTCACCATGTTGGCCAGGCTGGTCTCGAACTCCTGTCCTCAAGTGATCTGACCACCTTGGCCTCCCAAAGTACTGGGATTACAGGAGTGAACCACTGTGCCTGGCCAAAGCTGCCTCTTCATACACAAGAGGTAGTCAGTTTCTGCAGTTTAACCTATTTCTGTTTATTCATTAAATTTATGTCCTTTGTCAGGCAATCTCTATTCTTTCTCTTAGGAGGGATTTTTTTCAGTGTAGTTATCCAAAATGACTTCAGCAGTAAAAAGCCAAACTCAATACCCTAAGCAAAAGCCCTTTCCATAAAAAAGCTTCCCCTGGCCGGGTGCAGTGGCTCACAGCTATAATCCCAGCACTTTGGGAGGCCGAGGCGGGCAGATCACTCGAGGCCAGGAGTTCAAGACTAGCCTGGCAATTATGGTAAAATTCCATCTTTACTAAAATTACAAAAAGTTAGCCAGGCATGGTGACAGGAGCCTGTAATCCCAGCTACTTGGGAGGCTGAGGCAGGAGAATTGCTTGAACCCAGGAGGCAGAGGTTGCAGTGAGCCAAGATCATGCCACTGCATTCTGCCTGGGCAACAGAGCAAGACTCCGTCTCAGAAAAAAAAAAAAAAAAAAGCTTCCCCTGCCCTGCCATGGATAACTGTCTCACCACTGAAAGAATTTGGTCAAGATCTGGGTAATGACCTATATGATGTACACTTAAAATAATTTTAAGTGTTAGCTAAGAGAAGTCCATGTGTACTATAGTCATCCCTTGTGTGGCTCCCACCGGGATGATATCTCAGAAACTATTTTACTCTCCTTTCAGATGCCTGATTTGTGGACTTTTTCTCATCATCTCTTCAGTAGCTGTTCCCAGGGGGTTAGAGTTAACTACCAGAATATGATAGATGAAAGACTTCATTATTTACCACCACTAGAATATGAGGATTATTCTTGCCTTGAGATAATTTGAAACTTAAAAATGGGTTTCTAATACAGAAAAATTTCTACTTTCTGCTTTCTTCATTTTTGGTCATTAAAGAGCAGTCTCTCTCTTTAGCAATGCTTCCTATTTTCACACACTCTAATGTATCTTTATTAGTTTAAGCAAGTGCTGCTTTATTATCCCAAGTTTTATGACACACCAATAAGTATTTCTTTTTAATGTTCTAGCCCTATTAGCAGCTACTGCTTTAAGGAAGCTCTCTGTTCAATATAAACAACTATTTTTAGAGATAAACTTTTCCTAAGCTATATGAACAATTTCTATCATTCATCTATATTTTATTTTACTGCCACTGTTAACATTTAGTGTTTTATTGTTCTGGGATAATATCCAGAGAAGGGTCAAAGGACAAGTTGTTTTTTCATGCCACCCACATGCATGCCAAACATTGTAGGAATAATTGCAAACCCAATGGGAAAATTGTTAGCATATTCATATTAATTTTTTACAAGAGCATAAAGCTTGGATAAAGTATGTTTCTTTAAGGTATCAAGCAATAGAAGAGCTAAGTGGGATAAGAACAAGGAGCCACTGAAGGGGTTGATGTTTTATTTATTTGTTTTTGCATGTTTGTATTTATATGTCTGTGTGTGTGTGTGTGTGTGTGTATGTGCATTTTCTCACTCTTTAGATTTAATATTTGACACTGGGGTACTTGATTACTAGTGTTCCCAGATGAATTCTGAATATCCCATCATGATTGTTATTGAAACATACAAATGATGCCAAATAAAGATTTTTAGAAGCTTAGATCTGAAACAGATTTATAAATTCACCTTTGCATTCTAAAAAGGTACAAAACTAAGTTTCAGGGTGTCTTTAAGCAATCTACAGAATGTCACACTGTGGCAAAGCCAGGACGAAAAACATGTTTCTAATTTAAGGGTTTCTGAGACAATGGTTTGTCCTGCTACGTCACCATTTTGTGTAAAGAGAAAGATAGAAATTCTCAGCCCTTCTAGTATATGACCTCTCTGAAACACGCTAGGGAAAAAGAATGCTAGGACAAAATGCCCTAGCATAATCATGAAGTTTTGACTTGGAGTCAAGTTGACTTGGAGTTTCTGAAATGTAGTATTAGTTTTATCTTTGGTTTTCTCAGGAGGCTTATCTGAGAGTATGAATTGTTTTTGCATGATTATATCTATACTTATATTCCTGGTGTGCATTATATATTAACTAATCCTAAACCTGAGGATCTGTATTAAAATGGTAACACAAGATATTTTCTCACTACTTATTTTTCAGAGACAATAACCTTGAACTATCTATCATCTATTACTTATCAAAAATTAAGTTGAGAAAAATATTATAGAGGGGTGAATAATTCTCTCTGTATGTGTGTGTATATATATATACAAAGAGAACATGTATGTGTATGTGTGTGTGTATACACACACACACACACACACACACACACACATATATACACTCTCTGTTTATTATTGTGTAGTACATCCCTGAATAATGTAACTACCTCCCTGGGACACACTGCCTTTCTCTTTATTTTGCCATTCTGAAATTAATATATTTTTTTCAACATTTATTTACAAACACCCTCTACATCTCTGTGCTGTGTTAAGTGGTGAAAATATCTATCAGGAAATTAAGCAAAATCCTTTTAGGAAGAGGGTAAGATGGATTCCAAAAAATAACAGCACAAATAAATATTACACAAAAATATTAAATTGTATATTTTTGAAGGAAATGAACGGGGGCAATGTTTTATGAAAAAGGGGCTCTAGTCTGAGATATCAAGGAAGATTTTACTGAGATGATAGCACTTGATTTGAGAACTAACGTGATGAGAATTAATTATATAGATGAAACATGGTCATAAGAGATGGTATCTGAAAACAGAGCAGTTTTCAAATATGTAAAACCTTGTGGTGAGAAGGAGTATCTTCAGACTATTGTCTGAAGATTGAAATGACAGTGAAAGTAGCTAAAGCTTGGAGAGTTGTGGGTTGTCATAGTATGAGATGAAACTGAAGCAGTATTTAGGGTCCAGACCATGCTTAGCCCTGTTAACTATTTTGATTGTACCTCAAAAGCAAGGAACAAAGAGAATCCTTTGAAGGATTTTAAGCAAACATGTAATATATCATCAGATTTGCACCTAGAAACTACTATTCAGCTTGCAGAGAAGAGAATCAATTAAAGGGGAAAAACATGAAAGAAGAAGGGTGGGTGTTATGATAGTCCAAAAAGATGTGATCTTATCTGGACCAGGGTGGTAGTGGTGATAGAATTAGAAGTGGATGTATTCAAAGTTTATTTAGGAGATGTGGCATTCAGGATCTGTTAGTGGAGGAGAAAAAGGAGAGAGAGTTGTCAAAAATAACTCCCAGGCATTTGACATGCAGCAGAGATTAACTCTAGTGCCATTCATTGAGAGAGGATACAAAGAGAAAATACTTTTAGAGTATGGGAGAGCCAGCTATTCCAGTGTGGCTGTGTTCAGTGAAGCTGTTTGCAATGTGTCAAGAGGGTAGCTTGAAATATGCTTATTGAAGCTCAGAGGAGAATTAGCAGTCATCGACATAAAGATGGAGATTGAAACTATGGGTATAAGAGTGTTTTAACTTATTTGCTGTATTTTCAGATGAGATAGGCTTAAGAGGATTTAAATACTATTGGAAAAAAAGTGCAGTATCGAGGGCAAGACTGAATATATGGGGGTGGAGAATAGATTAATCTCCTATAAAGTCAGAAGAGGATGAGGACTGAAGCATAAAAGACCCTTTTATAGTAGTAAGGGTGCCTTTTCATTTATAACAGGAGAGAGTGAAGGGGCTCAGGGGAAAAAAAAGAAAGTAGGCTTGTAGATGATTGTAAAATGATAAAAGATTCCTTACCCTAAGGCTTACACTTTCTCTTTGTGTTATTAGGCAATGAGGGTGAGGTGAGGAGCTGGATGATCGGAGTTTTAAGGGAAGCACAAAGGTTTAAAATAATTTCTGCAGCAAGTAGACAAGATTTGTTGACCAGAGAAATGTCTGATTGCAAGTGAGTGTTAGGCCCTTTTTTAATTTGAAGATTAGGAATAAATTGTAGCGTTGGTTGGTAACAAAGTGTGTGGCAAGGGAGTGTTTGAAAGGGTGAACCAAATAACTTAAAACTGGTTAATGAGAGAATTAATAAAAGGGGATGGTTATTGTATTGGGAAAGAGTAAAGAGAATTATTAGTCTAGAGAAAAAGATCAGGGAACCATAATAGGAAGGGACTGACTAAGCAAGCTGGAGTAATAGGGGGCTATGAGCATAGAGGTTGGATTAAAGGGGCTAAGAATGGATTTTCTTTATTTCTTTATTTTTAGTTTTGGTTTTTGTAGATACGGGGTTTGGCCATGTTGCCCAGGCCAGTCTTGAACTTCTGGGCTGAAGTGATCCTTCTGCCTCAGCACCCTAAATTACTGGGATTACAGGTGTGAGCCACCTCACCCAACCAATATTGGATTTTAACTGATGAATTAGGAAGGGAGTTTCATAGTAAACAGAGAAAAAGATGATTCTATTTGGAACACAGAGAGAAATGGGATTAGCGATTTTGGAAAAAGAGCTGTTTCGAGTGATGACAGATTCTAGGATTTGACTCTGAGAAGGTTGGCTGAGGTATCATGTTGGAGAAGATCATTGGAGTTGAGGAGATTGATCAAGTTGAGGCCAGTGGTCTGGTTGGGTCTATTTATAAGTGACGATAAAGGCAGAAAGAAAGTTTTGAAAGTGCTAATGTCTGATTCAGGAGAGAGAAGAGCAGGACTACTCAGAATGACGGTACAGGAAAGGGAAAAATGTTAGCATCAAATGGCAATAGCTTTCAAGGAGAAGAATTTTTACGAAGGACTAGGGAAAAGTTTCAGGCTCACTTACCAATCCTTTTATTCTTCTTGGCTTCATAAGAAGATCACACTTCTCATTCTCCCTTGCAGTTAGATTGGGTTCATGGGACAGATCTGGCCATTGCCATGCAAAAGAAAGTGATGTCATCAATCTTTTCATAAAGTGCTTAAATAACTGGTGTATTTTACCTTTGGCTTTATTCCCTCCATCTCCCTCAGCTGGTGGATTTTCGAGTGGGCTTAAAACTGTGAGATGTAAGGACCATAACATGGAAACAGACTGATCTTTGAGTCACTTCTCAGAGAAGAAATGTTCCAACTGTGCTTACCGGACTCGGCAGTGGCATAAGAATAAGGAGACTCCCAAAGGAACAGCCCAGGGCCCATGAACACTAATGGACAAAAAAATCCTCCCAGGGAGCCAGAATCATAAACCCAAGTGCAGAGACTTTCACTGTGTCTTCCGAGCAGCATTTCAGAGTTGTTCCAGCCAGTAGCTGGGGTGAGCTTTTCATTCTTCACCCTTTCAAATGAGAGCATTTACTGCTAATATCCTGTTCCTGATTCACTACTATATGTGGTATGTGCATTTTTGTGGGTAGGAGGAAGATAACTATCATTTTAGTCCAGAAGTTACAGGACAAAGAGAAGCCATATCTACAGATGGCAGAGATGGCTTGGGTATCAGTCCTTGATCCCAGAAATTTATACAGAGACAGTGGCCAAATGGAAACTTTGGATTGTTCTCTATATGTAAGGGGTGAAAGTTTCACATATTTGGAAGAAATACTGAGGCAGATATTTGTGGACTAGAAGGCTGAATGGTGGCAGAAAATGGCTGGATCCCATCAATCCTGTTTCCTTTTCAAAGGAATGCTAGAAGACTAGATTTCCCTAACTCCTTTGAAATTAGATAGGGGTCATTTGATTAGTAATGGCCAAATAAATCTGGGCAGACATGATATAGGCTATTTCCAGACCTGAATTCTCAAACAACTGAATACATCTTGGTCCATTTTCTATCTTTGCAGTTTTGTGGATGGAAAAAAGGAATCCAAAATGATGGAGACATATGATTAAAAAGCAAGCAAACAAACAGGATCTATGAGTCACCACTTATAGGAAAGCTACCAGAAAACCTTTTGACCTTTCATAGCTGAGTATGGCATGAGTGAGAACTAAACTTTGTATTGTGTTAAGTCACCAAGAATTTCAATAGTTATTCAGGAGCTGTCAGGTTTGACCTTGAGCAGAAGTAAATTGGTAGCATAAAAAATTTCTGCAAATATACGGCACTAGCTTAATAGTAGAAAAACAAGAAGGGAAGACATAATAGTGGAAATTTAGAAAAAGGCAATTCATGTTATGTTAAAGCAAAATATTTTAAAACTGTCACCTCTGCTGACATTTTTGGGGTAGACTATTTGTCTAAACTAGCAAGCCTAGTGGAAAAGATTTGAAAATAATCACATAATTAATATGTGGTTAAAAATTTTTGAGTGTCAAAGTCTAATTCAGCTTTCTATTTTACCAAAGTGTTCCGTGGTGAAGATGAGATAGAGTTTTTAGGGTTAGCATCCCTATTTATGTCAGGAGGACATCAAGTTAACAGTCACTAAACATGAAAATTACAGCTCAAAAATTTTTGGGTTATTAGATCATGAACTGATTAGAAAAATGCAAAGCTCAAGTTACTAAGTTATAAGGAAAAACACATACAGTTGACCATTAAAATACATTTAAATTGCATGTGCCCACTTGTATGCAGATTTTGTTCTGCCTCCTCCACTCTAAGACAGAGAAACCAACCCCTTCTTTCCCCTCCTCCTCATCGTACTCAACCTGAAGTCACTGAGGATAAAGACTTTTATGATGATCCATTCCCATGTAATAAATAGTGAATATACTTTCTCTTTCTTATGATTTTCTTAACATTTTCTTTTCTCTAGTTTACTTTATCATAACAGTACAATATATAACATATAAACCATACAAAATATGTATCAATTCTATTTATGTTACTGATGAGTCTTCTGGTTAATAATAGGCTATTAGTTAAGCTTTGGAGGAGACAAATTTCTATCTGAATGCACATGGGTTGATGCCCCTAACCCCTGCATTGTTCAAGGATGAATTATGTTGCCAGAGGAACCTCAAGACCACACTAAAAATCGCTTACGCCATTCTAGCTATTAAACAACTCCAGTGCTAATTGTTCTACAGTCAAGAGGCAGCCTTCGAGGAAGCCACACTGACAAATGCTCATTTTCACTGTGGCCATGTAGGATAATGGGAAAGAGAACTCTTCCAAAAAGAAGAGCTTGAGGTCATGGGAAGCTATGTACCAATATCTTCCAAAGAATAGAGCTAGTTCACGGAATCTCTTTTACCTCTGAGACAAGAAAGGGTTCTCAGTGCCTGGCCCACTGGATTTTAAATGGCCCATGATTTTATGTGTTTTCCATTCTCCTCGTACCATTTTCTTTCTTAATGGGAGTGTCTAATGTGGATATCCTTTTCTCTGACACTGTATACTGAAATGAAACATACGTTTTGTTGATATGACAAAGAGCCACAGGTAGACTTGATGTAGAGGACTGAGAATCACCTGGAGAGCTTGATTTTGAGTTAGAAACAGTGACCAGATGGTAATTTGGGCTTTCCTTCTTAAAAAGAGAGCATGTGTTCTATGTGCCTGAGAAAGAATAAAATGGATAATTTGTTAACCAGAAGGTTGAGTTGTGGCAAATACCTACCAGTTTCATTTCCTCTTCCTGGAACCCCCAAAAGTCTATATTTCCAAGGCACTATTTTAGTGAGGTTGGTGACATATGATTGAGCTATGGCTGATGAGATGGATGTAAGGAGAAATGACATTTTTTTTGGCTGAAGTGAGTAAGTAAATTGTGTGTCTTCCTCTCAATTGTTTTTTCACTGTTTGCTGACTGAATTGTGCCAAGATGATCTTAATGCCAAAAGATGGTAGAAAAATCACAAAGAAGTAACTAGTTGGAGGAAAACCACTTCACCTTCTCATTAGACTACTTTATGAGTAAGAAATAAACTTTTGTGTCACACTAAAACTTCAGAATTTGTTACCGTGGCTTACTCCAGCCTTTCCTGACTAAGATGGGGGATTAATGCTCCATGAATGTCAAGGCCTTAGGAGAAAGAAAATTAACTCCTACCTCAAACCTAAAATCTATGGACTTTGAGAGAAGACACAACTGTCATGGAAACTATATCTTCAGTTATAATGTTTTCATTAAAGCAAGAACATGAAGTAAAAACGAAGAGGTTAAAGATAAAACTGAGCCTGTTCATGGGCCGGGCACGGTGGCTCACACCTGTAATCCCAGCACTTTGGGAGGCCGAGGTGGGTGGATCACGAGGTCAGGAGATCGAGACCATCCTAGCTAACATGGTGAAACCCCATCTCTACTAAAAATACAGAAAAATTAGCTAGGCGTAGTGGCAGGCACCTGTGGTCCCAGCTACTCGGTAGGCTGGGGCAGGAGAATGGTGTAAATCTGGGAGGCAGAGCTTGCAGTGAGCTGAGATCGTGCCACTGTACCCCAGCCTGGGCGACAGAGCAAGACTCCGTCTCAAAAAAAAAAATAATAATAATAATAAAGAGAGCCTGTTCATGATTTTACAGGGTAGTGTTTCAAGATAGAAGAGTGACAAGTTTAGAAAGGTAGGCATTTGCTAGTTAGAATCAAGGAAATACAGAGCATCTTCATGATAGCAACCCCACCGACCAGAAGGCCATGGGGGTTTGGGAGGGCTTGCAAAACAGGAATCAAAGGATGTGTAGGCTCAGCCTACAGCAGTTGATCTAATTAAATAGTGTGAGTACTGGGCCTAATTGCTGGTGGAATTGCGTTACTCCCTCTGGGGTGGATGATTGCCAGCTGTTTATTTTTCAGTATCCCTGAAACTCAAAATGGTGGCAGTCTCTGCAGCCATCTTGTTTGGGCAGCAGTTGATGATAGTGACAATTATTTTGATCCTTGTATTTTCTTTTCCTCAATTCTTGAATTGGCTGCTCCTAACCCTCTTCCAGAGGCTGTCCAAAGGTGTCATTGGAATGGTCACCAGTTTCTTGAAGTATCTTCAGGTCAATTGTATACAGTATTCAAATGTCATTAGAGATTCTTGATTCTGACAACTATTTCCTGGAGATATTGTTTGTAGTATTCTGAAACTGGGGAACATTTTCAAAGGAGACTAGATTCTTATCAAGTTTGTTTTGCTCTGAAGACCTTAATCTTGATTTCCCTTTGGCTTTATAAACTTCTATTTCTCTGTAAAGTTTGAGAATGGCATTGTTTACAGCACTGCACACTGCTTTCATTACGAAGGGCTGATGTAGACAGTGTCTCTAATCTTTGTATCAGTGAAAAGTACTTTTCCTAGAAAACTGAATTGTCATAATGCTGTCATGGATAACATAAATGGGTGAATCATGTTTGCCTCATGGGGTTGGTGGTAAACATGATACAGTGATACATGTATCATGATATTATACAAAGCAAGAGCTTTTGTGTAAAACTGTGGTTCATCTCTTACATGAGAAATATTTTGGGTACTAGCTCGATCTCAGGTTCATATATATTTTTTAATTTTTATTTTTTCATTGTCATGATTTCCTCAGCTTTATTTTTTTAAATGCTCTTTGAATATCTCAATATAAATTTAAAAGCTCTTATTGTGATGCAAGAGACAAAGAGCAAGCAAGCAAGAAGGAAATAGAAGAAAAAAAGGAAGGATATTTAACGTCAGTCTTCTGTCCATATTTCCTCAGACTCTGCAGTTTTAGTGGGACCTGGCTAACTACCAACTGCTAGTGTCTGCATCTGGGCTGAGTTTGTTTCCTGAATGTGCAGATGGCCATGATGCACATGCGCATGGAAGGAGGAAGTGCCCGGAAATTAACTCCCCTTGTGAACAATCAGAAGTCTCTATCAGGGACTCTCAGGTTAGCATTTAAATGCCCCAGCTCCCTCACTGCTCAGTTGGGATAATTATGAGTTGTTTTGCATCATTTCCCAGTTTATCCACTGGGCTGAGCTCTGGTCACTCACTGGTTATTGAGCTACCATTCTTCCAGGTATCACTTCTCCATTCTTGTATCTCTGTTCCCTGCACTGCCCAAAGACACCCTTGTGTCATGTCTACCCCTAGGCAGATCTAACAAGGAGAAAGAGACAAGGAGAAGGGGGTGAAGAGAAAGAAAGTGAGAGGGAGAAAGATTAGAGGGAGAGGGAGGAGAGAAAGAGAGAGATAAAGAGAACATGCCTACTATATGAATAATATATATTTATATTTGGTACTTGAAGGATTCTCACTTGTACATTTTGAACTAACTAAAAGGGTATAATTGGAATGTCTGTTATCCAAAGAAAGAATAAATGTTTGAGATGATGGATACCTCATTTATCCCGATATGAGTATTGCACATTGTATGCCTGTATCAGAATATCTCATGTACTCCATAAATATATACACCTACGATGTACCCACAAAAATTAAAAATTACAAATATCATATAGATTTATTCATTTATTTTTCAAGTAACAAAACACTGAATTAGATGCTGTAAGAAACACAAAAGTATACCAGACACTGTAAAACCACTAGAAATGGGTGACATATGTACATCTAAAAATCTACCCAAGAAAACAGCACTATTTGTAATATCCCAGAAGTGGAGACAAGCCATACAGAAGAATGAGTAAACATGAAGTACAGTACGTTCATGCAATGAAATATAATACAGTAATGAGATTATGGAAACTCAAAGTACGTGAAGTGATCTGGATGGATTCCCATAAATGTTAATTAGAGCCAAATAAATTAAACATAAAATGGTACATTCATTTGATCCCATTTATATAAAGCTTAAAAACAGGCAATGATGTTACAAATGACTGTAGATTTCCTTGACAGGGTAGAGACTAAAAAGAAACATGAGGTGGCTCTTCGTGTTCTGCTAATTTATTTATTTCATGATGGAGGTGCTAGCTACATGGGCATGTTAGCATTGTGAATATTTATTTACCAAGCCGTACACTTGGGATTTATGTACTTTCTATATATATATGATATTAAGACATGTCTATGTATATAGATATAAATCAGACCTATATGCGTGCTGAGAGAATTAAGGCATATGAACACATGCCTTTCATTTCATGGTGAAAATATTGGCCAGGCGTGGTGGCACACGCCTGTAATCCCAGCACTTTGGGAGGTCATGGTGGGTGGATCATGAGGTCAAGAGATCGAGACCATCCTGGCCAACATGGTGAAACCTTGTCTCTACTAAAAATACAAAAACTAGCTGGGCGTGGTGGCGCGTGCCTGTAGTCCCAGCTACTCAGGAGACTGAGGCAGGAGAATAGCTTAAACCCAGGAGGCAGAGGTTGCAGTGAGCCGAGATCGCGCCACTGCCCTCCAGCTTGGTGACAGAGTGAAACTCCATCTCAAAAAAAAAAAAAAAGAAAGAAAGAAAGAAAGAAAATATTAAGACCCATAATACAGGTAAAGAATTCTGAATTAAAGAATTAAGACCCATAATACAGGTAAAGAATTCTGAATTAAAGATGAGTGAGAACGGCTATTCTACGTGGAAAGAATCAGAGATGCTTAATAGAAGTAATGAATACATTTTAAAATCTGCCTGAAAGGGTAAGTGGGGGCTTACATGAGTGTGAAGAATGGAACAGCCTAGGTGGAAGAGCAGTGAGGAGAAATGTACTGGCATGTTCTACAAAGTTCCCGTGTCCTAGGTGCTAGGAATTCTGGAAGATAAGCTGGAGAGAAGTTGTTTATGGATGTTGGGGGACTTCCAACATTAGGCTAAAGAGTTTGGATACTTTTGATTGAGTGACAGTGATTTTCTGCACAGTTGACATGATCAAAAACATATGTAGAATGTGAAGGCAATAAGATATAGAACAGGTTGGTGTGAGGGAATACTGGATGAAGGATGTCAGAAAGGACATATGGGAAGTGTGCCAGTCACTATACTTGACAGCTGGTTTACATGACAACAGGGAACCAAAATTGAACCTGTATTTTTGTGGTTGAATGATGGGGCCTGGAGACAAGAAAATGACGACTCCGTTTGGGGAAGGTTGAGTTTGAGTGCTCAGCATGTTCTTAAGAGATTCAGCAAGTACTTTGTAAACACAGGACAGGAGCTCATGAGAAAGGATGGGACTATAGATTTGGATTTGGGAGTCACCTGCAAAAACATGAGCGGGGTGATCAAAGATCAAAGTAAAGAAAAAGAAAACTAGCATGATGCTGCCTCATAAGCTTACATTTTGTAAAGGATCAAAGACAAATTACTGGAAATATAACTAAGAGTACAACAATAGCAACAGCAATAATACTGTGTAAATTTATTTTGCTGTGGGGGGCGGGTGGTAGATTTTGTCTTGTCAATCAGTACATCTCCAGTCCCTTCACAGTTTCTGAAACATAGGCCATTGATAAATAGGTTTTTTAAATGAATTAATTATATTCACACAGTGCTTTACCATTTTTAAGTTTCATTATCAATATTCTTAGCATCTCAACAACTTTTTCATTTATGTGATAAGAATACTATTTAACATCTTACATTTTTATACTTACAAAGATTTTTCTTTTGTATGTAGCAAGAGGGAATCATATTTTCCTCATATACTTTCCCGCAGTTAATGAACAATCTCCTCCCATTTATCCTGTGTCTAGTATAGAGCTGATCCCTTCAGAGTAGTCATCACAGGGGAAACCTTGAGAGAGAAGGAGAAGGAGGCATACATAGCTGGCGTCACTTTAAAGAGTGTGTGTTTGGTCACAATGCAGAAAGACATCTGTTAAAAATCAGTGCCAGAATGCAGTTTGCACTTTCATGGTTGTGTTAAAGAGGTTCCTGCATGGTGTTACAGCACAGATTCCTCAGAAAAGTAGCTGCAATTATATGAACTTCAGAGGGAAATTGTGAGAGGTCAATAGGGTGATGCTCGTAAATACAAAGTGCAAATTGCAAGCACCCAGGAGCAGTGATACAAATGCTAGTTTTCTCATCACCATTAGCAAGTTCATCAGTCACCTGGGTGGCAGCAGTAAAACATTTCTAAAAATATTCCAGGTAAATCCCTTAATGGAGAAACATAAAGTTACCTCCAACCTACAGACATGAGGCCCTAATTGGATCATAGCTTTAGTGTTAAAAGTTCTCAACCTTCCTTGCATTGGTAACAGGCAGGGTGCAGCTCTTTACACCTGTGGCTTGTTAGGATCTCAATGATAGACATGTTTCCTGAGCAGAAGTCTGTTCTCTTAAATGCCAAATCCACAAGAACAGTGTCAATAGTATGCATCTGATAATCTGATGACAAACATATTCACAATAAACACTGGTCATATTCCAAAGCCTTATTAGAAATATTATAGCAATCTTGTTCTATTCTATTTGTAAGCCACTGAATGAGTCTTACATACTTAGCCTTACATCTTCTTGCATTACAACACATAAATTGAGTAAATATCATGAGACTCTTCTAATTTTCACATTCATCCAGTCAAACTAAAATGATTGTTATGAAGAAGACACAACTTTGATGTTAAGAATTATGCTCATATCTACTGTTTGCCCTTTTGCATTCTCTTAACCATCACTGAAGATGGTTTGCTCTTCACTGAAGATTGCTCTCCCTCTGGACTGCCGCTTATTCTGCGTGGCTGTCCTGTATCCTAACTGACAAAGATACAGATAGATGAATAGATAGATAGATGCATGTGATATGTAATGTATGCAAAAATATTACTTTTGTAGTTTTTAATTTGCTAAACAAAAACATAAAATCTATTCTTAGATACATTAATTTTATGTAGCGTATTATTTGCAAAACAATCTCTGAAGTTTATAGGACATATATTATTAACACTTGACAAGTAAAAAGCTGAGGTTTATCGACTTCAAGTGTTTTGGTGAAGATCACATAGTTAGTCCTGGTATCAATTAGAATGTTTTTGTTGCCAGCAAAACAAATCTACCTAAATGAAAAAATTGAATTTGTTAGACAGTCTTAGAGATGCATTATAAAAGAAATGACAGAAAATTTGAAGATTCAAGCTCATAAAATACTTAGAATGTCCAGTCTCACACTCATCTCAAGAGCACTCCTGAAGCAAATGATTTCTTACTGTTTTAAGTCTGCTTTATTTATCTCTCAAGATTCAAATTGATTCAAATTCTATGGAGAAGGATCTTGTTGGTCTTGTTTGGGTGATGTATCTGCTTTTTCCACAGATGTGTTCTTGACACATTGATTTTAGTCCCACCAGACTGTGTCAAGTGAGAGGAAGAGAATCCTTCCAAGAGGTAGAGTAGATACTGGGTAGTCACAAAGCCACAAGTGGCCCTATAGGTCTATATCCTAGATTTGCTGTTCTCAATTCAAATACCTTTGCTGTGATAGGAATAGATTTTTGCCTGCTGCAGTCAGCATTTATAATAGCTACAGACATACTAACAGCCAGTTGAAACATTCTGGGATGTGAGCTACAGAGTTAGAACTGTTTTAGAATTATGTTAGGATGCATGCACCCTGCTTTCTCAGTCAGCTTCACTGCCAATTCTTGACTACTTTTTCATGTGTGTGAGGATCAATCAAATTGCTTTGGGTGATTCCACTCTAGATGGAATAAAATATAAGATAATTGGTAAAAGTAATAATACCACCATTACTGGTAACGATAATTTATACATAAATAATAAGCTGTATTCTAACGAGATAGTATTTTCTCCAGGTTTAGTTAGCTTGGAATGTGAGTTATAACCTCTTTGTGAAGGAGGAAATCAATTAAATTATTTGCAGAAGGAGAAAAAGCAGTCTGAATATTTTCAACCCAAAAAGGTAATAACTTTTCCATATTAATTAAAGCCAATTCTCATTATCTAAACATAAATCATGGTTACTACTCTTGATTTCTGCAACAAAAGGACAAGGCAAATGTAAAGGGGAAAAGCATAAAAGAAAACTGAAAAGGATAAGGAAACATGGAAGATTCAATAAATTTTAAGTTTCTGGCAGGGATCTCTATAGCACATTATCTATTTCGTCATAACTGCCAATAAACAAGTTTTGTAAGCCAAGACAGATAAATTGTCAATACACACATTAGTCTGAAGCTACCTAATTTATTTTACTCATTAATTTATTAAATAGAAAGTTTGTTTCTTCCAAGGATTGGTCGTCAGAGTAGATATACTGAATTTGTTTATTGAGTACTTATCTACTTGCCTAGACCCATGGATTATAATAGAATGGTAAAACAACATGCTTTGAAGTAACATGTTTGGGTTCGTATTTGGTCCCTGACACATAAAAGTTTGGGGAATTTTTTTTAACCTCTGAACCCTAATGAAATCCTCTGTAAAGTAGTGACAATAATTCCTTTCTCATAAGCTTATTGAAATAAAACAGCTATGTGAAATTTCTCATGCATATTTGACAATTGCAAACATTTGTGCAAATGTGCTTATGGTATCATAGGGAAGACAAAGGTTTTTAAGGGCATAGCAGTAATTTAAGTTCTAACTGGAAAGTAAAATAACACAAAGAATTGGTCAAGCCAGCTTCACAAACATTCAAAACCTTATTTAATTGGAAGCTTCACAAACAATTTTAAGACCAGAAGTCATCATAAGGTGCAGGGAAAACAAAACCTGGGGCCATCAACATGGTTTCCCGGGTTCTTGTTTGCTTCTTCAGAGACACTGTAACCCAGAGGAACATGAGATTCTTAAGCACTGTGTGTGGTTTGATCATTGACCTAGAGGAGATTTATCTCAGACAAGAAACATTTCCATGTTATACCCAGGTAAATGGCTTACATGACACTTTCTAAGAAAACATGTCTCATAATCAACAGATTCCAGATTTTTTTACAACAAGTAATCTTAGACCAGGTGCATCCTTTTGAAAGCATCCATAGGTAAGGACCCTCCTGCTAGCATATGCCATTGGTGTGTTTGTCAAAAGGACTCTCGCTAGGGGCTAGACAAGTCAATGGTGACTAACTTCTTTCTTTTGGAGAGGAGTGATGGCAGACCTGCTTCTTAACCCTTTATTTTCTCAAAGGCATCAGACAATAAAATATGACAATTAAAAGGAGTGTAAATATATGCATGTTAGGTATAATCTAACTTTGCACCTTTTAACTTATTTCTTACAACTTTATTCTCAAACCCATATTGGTAATGGTAAACACAGACTGCTCTCAAAACACATAATGTACTCATCATTTTATCCTGGTTCCCAGAACAGGGCCTGACACACATTGGATGCTGAATTAATGATTTTGTTTTGTTTTGTTTTGAGACAGGGTCTTGCTCTGTCACCCAGGATGGAGTGCAGTGGCATGATCTTGGCTCACTGCAGCCTCAACCTCCTGGACTAAAGTGATCTTCCCACTTCAGCCTCTCAAGTAGCTGGGAATACAGGCACACACCACCATGCCTGGCTAATTTTTCAATTTTTTGTAGAGAGAGTGTCTCACTATGTTGCTCAGACTGGTCTCAAATTCCTGGGATCAAGTGATCCTCC
Source organism: Homo sapiens (assembly GCF_000001405.40). Lineage (NCBI taxonomy): Eukaryota > Metazoa > Chordata > Mammalia > Primates > Hominidae > Homo > Homo sapiens. The sequence goes on along the minus strand of NC_000011.10, from coordinate 42,304,992 downwards.
TGCCTCAGGCTCCCAAAGTACTGGCATTACAGATGTGAGCCACCACGCCCAGCCTTATTTATTTATTTATATTAATTTCAATTTTTATTATAAACGGTACATATGCAGGTTTGTTAACAGGGGTAAATTGTGTGATGCTGAGGCTTGCAGTCCCAATGATCCCATCAGGGAGTAAGCATAGTACCCAACAGGTGTTTCTTCACCCACGTACCCTTCTCTCCCTCTCCTGTCTAGTGGTCCGCAGTATCTATTGTTCCCATCTTTACATTCATGTGTATTCAATGTTTAGCTCCCACTTGTAAGTGAGAACATGTGGTATTTGGTTTTCTCTTTTGGCATTAGGCTGCTTACGATAATGGCCTCCAGCTTTATCCATGTTACTATAATGGACAAGACTTCATTCTGTTCTATGAATGCATAATATTCCATAGTGTATATGTACCACAGTTTCTTAATCCAATCCATTGTTGATGAGCACCTAGGTTGATTACATGTCTTTGCTGTTGTGAATAATGTTGCAATGAACATATAGGTGCAAATGTCTTTTTGATAGAATGAGTTATTTTTCTTTGTGTATATATCTAGTAGTGGAATTGGTAGATCAAATGGTAGTTCTATTTGAGATTATTTGAGAAATCTCCAAACTGCTATTCACAGTGGCTGAACTAGTTTGCATTCCTACCAACAGGTCCTTATAAGCATTCCCCTTTCTCCATAGCCTCGCTGACATCTGTTGTTTTTTGACTTTTTAATAATCACCATTCTGACTGATGTGAGATGATATCTCATTGTGGTTTAGATTTGCATTTCTCTGCTGATTAGTAATGCAGAGCACTTTTTCATATATGTTACCTGCTTATATGCGTTCTTTAGAGAAGTGCCTATTCATGTTCTTTACTTATTTGTAATTGGATTTTTTTGTTTGTTTTTTGCTTGTTGATTTAGTTTTAAGATCCTTGTAGGTTCTGGATATTAGACCTTTGTCAAATGAATAGTTTGAGAATATTTTTTCCCATTGTGTAAGTTGTCTGTTCACTCTGTTGGTAGTTTCTTTTTCTATGCAGAGGCTTTTTAGATATAATTAAGTCCCATTTGTAAATTTTTGTTTTGGTTGCAACTGCTATTAGGGATTTAGTCATAAATTATTTGCCAAGGCCTATGTCAAGAAGGGTATTTCTAGCTTTTCTTCTAGGATTTCTATAGTTTGATGTCTTACATTTAAATATTTAATCCATCTTGAGTTAATTTTCATATATCGTGAGAGATAGGGGTCCAGTTTCATCTTCTGCATATGGCTAGCCAGTTATTCCAGCACCATTTATTGAGTAGGGAGTCCTTTCCCCTTTGCTTATTTTTGTTGGCTTTCTAAGAAATCAGGTGGTTGTAGGTGTGAGTTTATTTCTGGGCTCTCTATTTTGTTCCGCTAATCTATGTGTCTGTTTTTGTGCCAGAACAATGCTATTTTGATTACTGTAGGCTTATAGTATAGTTTGAAGGTTGGGTAATATGACACCTGCAGCTCTGTTCTTTTTGCTTAGGATTGTTTTGGCTATTTGAGCTCTTTTTTTGGTCCCAAATGAATTCAATATAGTTTTTTTTAATTCTGTGTGAAATGATTCTACAGATAGAAAACCCTAAAAACTCTTCCAAGAGGGTCTTAGAACTGATAAATGAATTCAGGAGAGTTTTGGGATATAAAATCAATGTACAAAAATTAGTAACATTTTTATATACAAATAGTGTTCTAGCTGAAAACTAAATCAAGAACATAATCCCATTTACAATAGCTACAAAGAAAATGAAATACTTAGGAATTCATCTAACCAAGGAAGGGAAAGATCTCTACAAGGAAAAGTACAAAACACTGCAAAAGAAATCAGAGACGACACAAGTAAATGGAAAAATATTCCATGTTCATGGATTGGAAGAATCAATATAGTTAAAATGGCTATACTGCCCAAAGCAATTTATAGATGTAAAGCTATTCTTCTCAAAATATCAATGAATCAATTAATTAATATTACTTTCAGGAGACTTTTAGGTGCTTAAACATAATAGACTGTGCTTTCTATCTAAAGCATTTAACAGTAGCTAACACATAGTAGGTGTTCAATATAAGTTTGTTGATACAAATTAAAGAACCGCATATGTCACAGTCACTAGTGACTTCGTATGGATATTAGGAAGTGCAGAAAGGGTGGATTTTGCATACTTACATTGAAATCTCAATGCATTTTATTGAATACCAGAGTATACTAAAGAAAGTTAACTTTTAGAAACACGTGAGACTTCTGTGCATATTGATATTTGGAAATTTGGGCTCTCAGCAAGGTTGCCATTTCTTATTTATTTACTTAACTCATCAGAAACAACAACAAAAACATCTTCAGTAAAAGCCATTTGCCTAACCTGCACAAACCCAGAAGGTTTATATTAGTTTCCTAGGACTGCTGTAGCCAAGTACCTCATACTGGGTCTCTTGAAACAACAGAAATTTACTCTTATAATTCTGGATGCTGGCTATCCAAAATCAGTGTGTTGGCAGGGCTATGCACCCTCTGAAGTTTCTAGAGGAGCATCATTCCTTGTGTCTTCTGGCTTCTGCTAGTGCCATGTGTTCCTTAGCTTGAAGCAGATTGACTCCAATCTCTCTGGATTAGATCATCATATGACTGCCTTCTTCCTGTGTGTCTCTGTGTCATCTCCCTACTCTGTGAGTTTTTCTCAGGGTCCAAATTCCTTCTTTTTATAAGGACACGAGTTAAGTGGCGTATAGGCCCACCTTAATGACCTCATCTTAACTTGATTATATATGAAAATATCCTATTTCCAAATAAAGTCATATTCACAGGTACTGGGGGCTAGGGATTTGGCATATCTTTATCTGGGACACAATTCGACCCATAACAAGGATTATATTTGTGTATGTGTGGCTATAATGTATATATATTATTTTATATATGAAAATTATATAATACTATATATTCTCAATATATAATGTAAATATAAATTATATATTAAATATAATGTAAATATAAATTATATATTAAATATAATGTATATTATATTTATGAAAGAAAGAAAAAAATGACACTCGAAGAAACAAAAGCTTCTGGAACTGATAGCTTCAGTTCCAGATAGTAAAATATATTATATATATATATCTATATAAATTCCAACTTTCCAGTTTGACTTTGGACACTCTATCCTGACAACTTGAATTATTCCAAGACAATTCTGATAAAAATCTGTTCTTTTTTATTCTATACAAAGTAATGGATTCTACATCAACATGTACCTTTATTTGGCTAGACTACATATTAAGCCTTGAATCAACAGGCCTCAGAACTTTATATTCACCTCAGATTTTTTCTAATCTAACAATATTCCCTAATTCTTTTTTTCTTTATTTACTTATCATTCCTTCAGTGCCTTCTATTTTTCAAAAACTGTAAGTCATTTAATAGATCAAAGAACCAATAGACTAAGTAGCTTAATGAGGGTAGTTTTTAACCAATGTAAGAACATGCACTTGAAAAGATAGATTTCGATTTTCAATTAAGGCCTTATCTGAATAATAGGAATAATAAAAATATGTGGCCTTATTTCTGATTTTAATTCTTACATTTAAAGATCTTGGAAGTCATCACCCCCCCTTCTTCCAACAAGAAAAACCTGAACAAATTGAAAATCAATGACTTTTATTAAAGGCATCAGTGATTTCAAGTAACAGGGCAAACTATCCCCTTAAGTGTGGAAAGACAGTCAAATTTATCAAATCACAGCTGGGATCCACCTACCTGGTGCAGAAGCTACTGGAGCCATTAACTGATAGGGACACCAGTTTATTTCATTATCCAGTAGAAAGACTGAAATGGTAATTTGACTACTTTTTGGAGGATCAATGTGGAATATTTTGACAGTGAGAAATTCCTTGAAACCTAGTGTTAGGGAAGTCTCACATTTTCATGGATTTTACCTCCAGGAATAGTACCAGGCTCTTGCAGTAAAGATCATGGGTTGAAGGGGTGTAAAAGTAATAACCATTTTGAGATATCCCCAAAACTTTTCCTGTTAAAAATGCGTAGTCAACGACAACAACAAAAATGGCTTTACGAGAGCCTGATCTGCTATGGGAGAAGGGCAAATAGCCAACTTGAGTATCCCCAGTTTTTTGGTCTCATCTAAGGAAAGAAAAAACTGCTGAAAAACACTTTTGAAGGTCACTGGCCAGGAACTTAGACTACTAAAAGCCTGATACTTAATTATAAGATTATAGAACACTTCTCCAACTTCATACTTTATAACCACAGCAACGGAGTGCCATTATAACAACAGCATATTAAAAAAGAAAGAGCTGTAATGTATAGACTATTTCAAAGGTATTCTTAGGGAACTCCAAAGATAACAATAAAGAAAGAAAGAAAGAAAGAAAAAATGACACTCCAAGAAACCAGAGCTTCTGGAACTGACAGCTTCAGCAAACATTAAACACAGCCCAGCACTTAGTTAAATTAACATAAAACCTCACACTATAGGAATATTTACATCAGTTCCTATTACACAATATATTATGTCTTTCAACAAAAAATTACAAGGTATGATAAAAGGCAGGAAAAGACAGCCTAAAGAAACACGTAAGCATCAGAACCAGACTAATATATAACACATATTTTTCTATTATCCTATAGGAATTTAAAATAACTATGATTAATATGTTAAAGAATCTAATGGAAGAGTGGACAATATTGAAGGACAGATGGGTAATACATTCAGAGAGAAGGAAACTGAGAATCAAAAGAAAATGCTAGAAAAAAAATGTGCTTCAACAGAATTGGAGAGTACCTTTGAATAAATTTCCTGTAGACTAGACACAGCCAAGAAAATAATCAGTGAGTTTGAACATGTCAATAGAAACTTTCCAAACTAAAATGCAAAGAGAAGAAAAAGAATGTAAAAAAAACCAGAACATAATATCCAAAAACTGTGGGACAATCATGAAATGTGCAACATATGCATAATTTAAACACCTGAAAGGGAAAAATAAGAGAAAGGAACCAAAGAAATATTTGAGATAGTAATAGCCAAGCTTTTTCAAAGTCAATGATGGACAACTAATTACAGATTCAGGAAGCTCAGGTAGCACCGATCAGGATAAATACCAAAAATCTAGGCATGACATATTCAAACTGCAGAAGACCAAAGATAAAGACAAAATTATGAAAGAAGCCAGAAAGAAAAAATCAAGTGAACAAAGAACCAAAACTTTATACCTACAGATTAAGGCTAACAGTTATACCAGACATTGTGCAAGCAAGAATAGTTGAGTGAAATATTTAAAGTGATGAAAGAAAATTACCACAAAACTAGAATTCAATATCAAGTAAAAATTAGATGGATGGTGGTGATGGTTGTACAATGTGAATGTACTTAATACCTCTGAACTATATACTTGGAAATAGTTAAGATAATAAATTTTATGTTATGTGCATTTTTACCACAATAAAAACAATTGGAAAAAAAGCTAGGAAGAAATAAAAAGACTTTCTTAGATAAATAAAATCTGAGGAAATCCAGCACCTGGAGAACTACGCTGCAAGAAATATTGAAAGTAGATCTTCAAAGAGAATAAAGGTAAGTCACAAAATCAGATCACATGATAAAAGGGTGCCAGAGAAAAAAATAAAGTTAAAATTAAAAAATCTTTTATGTTTCTTATTCTTAAGACATCTAAGAAAACTCTTCATTTAAAGTAGTAATAGCAACAACACAATGGATAATTAGTGTATATGGATAATGATGTAAAGGACAGTAATGTTATAATGGACAAGAGGGAGAAATTGGTAATACTTGGTTGTGAGATACCTGTACTACCTGTGAAACCATATAGTGTTATTTGAAGGTGGACTTAGATTAGTTGCAAAGGTACATTAAAACTCTAAGTAACCACTAACTTTTTTGAAGGAAGTAAAATACATGCTAACAGTGGAGATAAGATGGAATCATATGAAAGCTCAATTAAAACCAAAGAAGGCAGAAATTCCAAGAAAATATATTTAACATGTATGTACCTGACAGCAGACCATCAAAACATGTAAGGCAAACACTAACGGAACTACAAGGAAAAGGAGACAAATTCACTATTAGAGTTGATGATCTTAACATCCCTCTTCAGTAATTTATAGATCAAGCAGGCAGAAAATCAGTAAGGATTTAGTTAACCTAAACAGGGTATAGTGGTGCATGCCTGTAGCCCAAAAATACGTGGCCTTATGTCTGGTATCAACTCTTACATGTAAAGATCTTGGAAGTCATCACCCCACTTCTTCCAACAAGAAAAACCTGAATAAATTGAAAATCAATGACTTTTATTAATGGCATCAGTGATTTCAAGGAACAGGTCGAACAATCACCTTAAGTGTGGAAACACAGTCAAATTTAGCAAATCACACCTGAGATCCACCTACCCGCAGAAGCTGCTGGAGCCATTAACTCATAAGTACATGAGTTTATTTCATTATCCAGTAGAATCAATGGAATGGTAATTTGACTAGTTTTTGGAGGATCATTGTGGAATATTTTGACAGTGAGGCTGAAGTGGGAGGATCTATTGAGCCCAGGAATTTGAGCCAGACTGACTAACTCAGTGAGTTCCTATCTCTAAAGACTAAATAAATAACAATAGAAAATTTTAAAAAAGATTACTGGAACAGTACTATCAATCCACTTGATCTAAATGACATTTAGTGAATAACAGTCTCCACCAGTAGAATACACAGTCTCTTCAAGCTCACAGGGAAGTAAGATAGATCACATTCTGGGCCATAAAACTCACCTGGGAAAAGTTTAAAAAATAGAAATAATGTCAAATATATTCTCAGACCACAAGAGAATTGAGGTTGATGTCAATAACAGATGATAGCTGGAAAATCCCCAAGTATCTGAAAATTAAACAATATACTTCTTTGATACATGAAACAAAAAAAAGATCTTACAAGAAGTTTAAAATTTACTGAAATAAAAAGTGAAATACAACTTTAAAAAATTTGGGTTTCTGTGAAATCAGTGCTTAAGGGAAAACTTATAGTATCCAATTGTGTGTGTGTGCGTGTATGTGTGTAGTATTAAAATCATATATATGTATTAAATATATATTAGATTATATACATTACATATATATTACATGTATTATTATATTATATATAAGATATATATTACATATATTAAATAGATATTAGATACATATTATATATATTAAATATTATGTATATTAGATATATTACATATATGTATTATATATTAGATATATATCATATATGTATTAAATATTTATTAAATTATTGGTTTATATCCTTATTTTAATATCTATGTATTAAAATAGCAGTAAATATTAAAATACATATAAATGTACTTAATACATATGTAAGTATTAAAATGAAGATATAAAACCTATCATCTAGGCTTCTACTTTTAGAAAACTGAAGGGAAAAAAAGTGGAATTTAATCATAAAGCAAACAATAAAAGAAAAATACAAATTAGAGTGGAAATTAATTACATTGAAAATAAATTATTAATTAAAAAAACAACAATACCAGAAATAATTATTTGAAAAGATCAATAAATTCATAAACTTCGAGGAAGGCTAGCCAAGGAAAAGAAAATGATGCACATTTCCAATATCAGAAATTAAAGAGGTATCATTAAAATTTATATCAGAAACATCAAAAGGAAAATTTAAAAATATATTTTCAATAATTATATACTGCTAAATTTGAGAACTTAGATGAATGAATCGATTCCTTGAAAGACACAAACTGCCACCTCAGAGAAGGAGAAATAATCTGAATAAAATTGTATCTATTAAGATGATTAAATTTATTAAATATTAAATTAATATTTAATAAACTTATAATAAATTATATTTAATAAACTTCCAAAAAAGAAAGAAGCAGGTTTAGATGGTTTTGCTTTTGAATTCTACCAAAAATTAAGAAAGAAGACATAACAAATTTTTGCAGTCTTTTCCAGAAAATAAAATTAGAAGGACTGTTGCTTAATTCATTCTGTAAGAACAGAATAACCCTAATACTAAAACTGAATTAAGATGTTATGAGAAAGGAAAACTACAAAATGATAACTGTTGTGATCGTAGATGCAAAAATCCTCAGGAAAGTAATAGCAAATAAATCTAGCAATGTATAAAACGAAATATGTACCATGAAAACGTGGGATTTATTTCAGATGTTATGGACTGAAAATTTGTGTTCCCCAAAAATTCATATATTGAATCCCTAAACCCCAATGTCATGATATCTGCAGATGGGGCATCTGGAAAACAATTAGGATTAGATTAGGTTATGAGGGTGGGGCTCTTATAATGCAGTTAGTGGCCTTATAGGAAGAGGAAGGAAGAAATATTTCTCTTTCTTGGTATCTTTCTCTCTCTCTCCATGCATGCAACCAATGAAAGACAATGTCAGGACATCTGCAAGTCAGGAAAAGAGCCCTCACCAGCAACTGAATTGGCCAGCATCTTGATCTTGGACTCTCCAGCCTCCAAAGCTGTGAGAAATAAATTTCTGTTGCTTAAGATATTCAGTCTATGATATTTTGTTAAGGCATCCTAAGCTGAGTAATACACCACATATGCAATGTTGGCTTAATGTTGGAAAAACTGATTAGTGTAATACACTGTATTGACAAGGCTAAAGAAGAAAAATATTGCAAATATATCAATTGATGTAGAAAAAACACTTGACAAAATCCGATACTCATTCATAACAATTCTCAGAAAATTAGAAATACATGGGAACTTATCCAACTTGATAAAGAACATCTGGAAAAACTCTACAACTGATATCATACTTAACTGTAAGTAACAGGAATACTTGCTATGATCAGCAACCAGCAAAGTTGTGCCCTCTAACAACTTTTATTCAACATTAAAATGGAAGTGTTAACTAGTGCAACAAGATAAGAAGAGGAAATTAAAAGGAGTAGATTAAGAAAAAACTAAAACTAACTTTGTTTGTAGATGACATGATTGTTTATATAGAAATTCTGACAGAATTTTAAAAATCTTAGAAATATTAAGCAGTAATTATGTCACAGAATACAAAATTAATATACCACATTCAGTTGATTTTTATATGCCACCAATAAAAGAAATAGAAATTATAATGAAAAAATAAATACCATTTATAATAATGCCAAAATAATAAAATACTTAGGTATAAAGCTATAAAAATAGGTGCAGGATCCCTATGACAAAAACTCTCTGATGAAAGATATAAAAAATGGTATCAGTTAATGTAGCAGATTTTATGCACATGGATTGAAATATAATCAATGTTAAGATTTCAAAGTATGACCGGGTGCAGTGGCTCATTCCTATAATCCCACAACCTTGGGAAGCCAAGGTAGGTGGATCACTTGAGGCCAGAAGTTTGAGACCAACCTGAGCAACATTGTGAAACCCCATCTCTACTAAAAACACAAAAATTATTTGGGAGTGGTGTTGCATGCCTGTAATCCCAGCTACTTGGGAAGCTGAGACATGAGAATCACTTGAACCTGGGAGGCAGAGGTTGCAGTGAAGCAAAATTATGCCACTGCACTCCAGCCTGGGCAACAGAGCAAGACCGTGTCTCAAAAATAAAAAGATTTCAAATCTTGCGCCTTGATCTGTACATTCAGTGTAATCCCTGTTAATATTTTAGCAAGCTATTTTGTGGATATCAATCAAATGATTCTAAAATTTATTTTGAAAGCCAAGCCTCAAAATGGCCAACTAAATACTAAAGAAGAAGAAATTGGAGGACTGATAATAGCCAAATTCTAGACTTACTATTAAAGATACAGTCATTAAGCCAACATGATATTAGCAAAATATATATATATTTAAAAAAAACAGAATAGAGATTCTAGAAATTAACCCATACAAAAATAGCCAATTGAACTTTGAAAAAGAAACGAAAGCAATTCTTGAAGAAAGGATCCTCTTTTCAGCAAATGGTGCTGTAACAATTGGATGTCCATATGTAAAAGGATGAATGTAGAAATAGAACTTATATTTTTCACAAATATTAACCCAAATTGGATCATAGACTTAAATATATAATACAAAACTGGAAAATGTCTAGAAGAAAACTAAAGAGAAAATCTAGATGACTTTGGATTTGGTACAACATCAAAAGTACAATCTATGAAAAAATTTATAACTTGAAGTTTATTAATATTAAAACTTTTGCTCTGTAAAAAAGACTTAAGATAATGAAAAGCAAGCCATAGACTTGGAGGAATTATTTGGAAAACACATATCTGATATAGGATTTGTGTTAAAGATATACAAAGAAGTCTTAAAACTCAAGAATAATAAAATAATGCAATTTAAAAATGAGCAAAGGATCTGAATAGACACCTCTCGAAAGAAGATATACAGTGGCAAATGTATATGAAACTATGTTCAATATCATAATTCATTTGAGAATTTCCAATTAAAATAAAAAGGAGATACTAGTATACATTTATTAGAATGGCTAAAATCCTAAGCAGGGGAAGCACCAAATATGCACCAGAATGTGGAGCAACAGAAACTAATTTATTGCTGGTGGGAATGCAATATGATACAATCACAGTAAGACAACTATGCACAATGGTTAGGCAGTTCTTTGCAATGCTAAACATAGTCTTATCATATGTCCTAGTAGTTTTGCTCCTAGGTATTCTAAGTGAATTCTACACAAACACACAAAACCTGCACATGATTGCTTGTTGCAACTTTTATGTAATTGCCTAAAACTAGAAGCAGCCAAGAAGTTTTTCAATGGGTAAATAGATTAACAAACTGTAGCATGTCCCTATGATGAAATATTATTCAACAATAAAAATTAATGAGCTACCAAGCCTAAAAGACATGGAGGAAGCTCAAAGCACATCTCTACTTGAATGAAACAAATTTGAAAAGGCTACGTATTGTATGATTTCAATTATATGACATCCTGAAAAAGGCGAAACTTTGGGTACAGTAAGAAGATCAGAGTTTCAGAGTCCAGGACAAGGGATGAGTAGGTAAACAACAGGGAGCTTTTGGGTGGTGAAACTATACTTTGTTATACTTTTTTTTTCTTCCACTTTTGTTTTAGGTTCAGGAATATATGTGCAGGATGTGCAGGTTTGTTACATAGGTAAATGTGTGCCATGGTGGTTTGCTACTCAGATCATCCTATCACCTACGTATTAAGCCCAGTGTCCATTAGCTATTCTTCCTGATGCTCTCCCTCCCCTCACCATCCCCACTTTGGCAGGCTCCAGTGCGTGTTGTTCCCTCCCTCCATGTATTCATGTGTTCTCATCATTCAACTTCCACTTATAAGTGAGAACAGGCAGTATTTGGTTTTCTGTTCTGCATTAGTTTGCTGAGGATAATGGCTTCCAATTCCAATCATGTCCCTGCAAATGGGATGATCTTGTTCTTTTTTAAGGCTGCATAGTATTCCCATGCTATATATGTACCACATTTTCTTTATCTAGTCTACCATTGATAGACATTTAGGTTGATTTCATGTCTTAACTTTTGTGAATAGTATTTCAATTAACATATATGTGCATGCATTTTTATAACAGAATGAATTCTAATTCTTTGGCTATATACCCAGTAGTCAGGTCAAATGGTATTTCTGTCTCTAGGTCTTTAAGGAATCTCCACACTGTGTTCTATAATGGTTAAACTAATTTACACTCCCACCAACTGTGTAAAAGTGTTCTTTTTTTCTCTGCAAGCTTGACAGCATCTGTTGTTTTTTGACTTTTTGGTAATAGCTATTCTGACAGGTATAAGATTATATCTCATTATGGTTTTGACTTGCATTTCTCTAATGAACAGTGATGATGAGCTTTTTTCCATATGTTTATTAACCACATGTATGTCTTCTTTTGAGAAGCATCTGTTCATGTCCTTTACCCACTTTTTAATGGAGTTGTTTGTTTTTTTCTTGAAAATTTGCCTAAGTTCCTTGCAGACTCTGGGTATTAGACATTTGGCAGAAGTATAGATGGCAAAAATATTCCCCCATTCTTTAGGTTGTCTGTTCACTCTGATCATAGTTTCTTTTGCTGTGCAGAAGCTCTTTCATTTAATTAGATCCCATTTATCAATTTTTGTTTTTATTGCAATTGCTTTTGACATTTTTTCATGAAATCTTTGCCTGTGCCTATGTCCTGAATGGTATGGCCTAGATTTTCTTCTAGGGATTTTATAGTTTTGGGCTTTACATTTAAGTCTTTAATCCATCTTGTGTTAATTTTTGTATCAGGTATAAGGAAGGGGTCCAGTTTCAATTTTCTGCATATGGCTAGCCAGTTCTCCCAGCACAATTTATTAAGGAATCCTTTCCCAATTGCTTGTTTTCATCAAGTTTGTTGAAGATCAGGTGTGCGGTTTTACTTCTGAGTTCTCTATTCTGTTCCATTGGTCTATGTGTCTGTTTTTGTACCAGTACCATGCTGTTTTGGTTAGTCTTGTAGTATAGTCTGAAGTTGGGTAGTGTGATGCCTCCAGCTGTCTTCTTTTTGCTTAGAATTGTCTTGGCTATTTGGGCTCTTTTATGGTTCCATATGAATTTTAAAATAGTTTATTTTTTATTATTTTTATTTCTTTTTCATTCTGTAAAGAATGCCAATGATAGTCTAATGAGAATAGCATTGAATTTATAAATTACTTTGGGCAGTATGGCCATTTTAACAATATTGATTCTTCCTATCCATGAGCATAAGGTGTTTTCCATTTGTTTGTGTCCTCTCTGATTTCTTATAGCTCTCCTTGAAGAGGTCCTTCACTTCACTTGTTAGCTGTATTCCTAGGTATTTTATTCTTTTTTGTAGCAATTATGAGTAGGAGTTCATTCATGATTTGGCTCTCTGCTTGCCTGTTGTTGGCAAGCAGAGAAATCCTATAGAAATGCTAGCAATTTTTGCGCATTGATTTTATATCCTGAGACTTTGCTGAAGTTGCTTCTCACCTTAATAAGTTTTTGGACTGAAACGATGGGGTTTTCTAGATGTAAGATCATGTCATCTGCAAAGATGATTTGACTTCCTCTCTTCCTATTTGAATACGCTTTCTTTCTTTCTCTTGCCTGATTGCCCTGGCCAGAACTTGCAATACTATGTTGAATAGGAGTGTACAAAAATTAATTCAGGATGGATTAAAGACATAAATGTCAGACCTAAAACCATAAGAACCCTAGAAGAAAACCTAGGCAATACCATTCAGGACACAGGCATGGGCAAGGACTTCATGCCTAAAACACCAAAAGCAATGGCAACAAAAGCCAAAATTGAGAAATAGGATCTAATTAAACTAAAGAGCTTCTGCACAGCAAAAGAAACTACCATCAGAATGAACAGGCAACCTACCGAATGGGAGAAAATTTTTGCAATCTAGCCATCTGACAAAGGGCTAATATCCACAATCTACAAAGAACTCAGACATATTTACAAGAAAAAAATCAAACAACCCCCTCAAGTGGGCAAAGGATATGAACAGACACTTCTCAAAAGAAGACATTTATGCAGCCAAGAGACACATGAAAAAATGCTCATCATCACTGGCCATCAGAGAAATGCAAATCAAAACCACAATGAGATACCATCTCACACCAGTTAGAATGGCGATCATTAAAAAGTCAGGAAACAACAGGTGCTAGAGAGGATGTGGAGAAATAGGAACACTTTTACACTGTTTGTGGGACTGTAAACTAGTTCAACCATTGTGGAAGACAGTGTGGTGATTCCTCAAGGATCTAGAACTAGAAATACCATTTGACCCGGCCATCCCATTACTGGGTATATACCCAAAGGATTATAAATCCTGCTGCTATAAAGACATGTGCACACGTATGTTTATTGCAGCACTATTCACAATAGCAAAGACTTGGAACCAACCCAAATGTCTATCGATGATAGACTGGATTAAGAAAATGTGGCACATATACACCATGGAATACTATGCAGCCATAAAAAAAGGATGAGTTCATGTCCTTTGTAGGGACATGGATGAAACTGGAAGCCATCATTCTCAGCAAACTATTGCAAGGACAGAAAACCCAACACTGCATGTTCTCACTCATAGGTGGGAATTGAGCAATGAGAACACTTGGACACAGGGTGGAGAACACCACACACTGGGGCCTGTCTTGGGGTGGGGGGAGGGGGACGGGATAGCATTAGGAGATATAACTAATGTAAATGACGAGTTAATGGGTGCAGCACACCAACATGGCACATGTATACATATGTAACAAACCTGCACGTTGTGCACATGTACCTTAGAACTTAAAGTATAATAATAAAAAAAAATCTCAAAACTTAAAAAAAAAAAAGAATAAGAGTGGTGAGAGAGGGCAACCTTGTCTTGTGACGGTTTTCAGGGGGAATGCTTCTAGCTTTTGCCCATTCAGTATGATACTGGCTGTGGATTTGGCATATATGGCTCTCATTATCTTAAGATATAGTCCTTTAATACTTAGTTTATTGAGAGTTTTTAACATGAAGTGATATTGAATTTTATCGAAAGCCTTTTCTGAATCTATTGAGGTAATCGTGGTTTTTGTCATTGTTCCTGTTTATGTGATAAATCACATTTATTGATATGCATATGTTGAACCAATCTTGCTTCGTGGGGATGAATACAACTTGATTGTGGTGGGTAAACTTTTTGATGTGCTGCTGGATTTAGTTTGCCAGTGTTTTGTTGAGGATTTTTGCACTGAGATTTATTATAAGCTATTTGCTCACATGAGGCTGAGAAATCCCACAATCTGCTGTATATAAGCTCAAGACCCAGGAAAGCCAGTGGTGTAAATTCCATTTAGAGTCTGAAGGCCTTTGAATCAGGAGTGTCAATGGTGTAAGCCCCAGTCCAAGGACAGGGGCCAATATCTTAGCTCAATGAGTCTGGCAAAAAAGGAAAATTGAATTGGTTTTATCTTTTTTTTTTTTTTTGAGCTCTCAAGAGGTTGGATGATGCCCACCCACATTGGAGATGGCAATCTCCTTGACAGTGTCCCCCAATTCAAATGCTAATGCCTTCCAGAAGCACCCTTTCAGACATACACAGAAATAACATTTAATCACATAGCTGGGTACTGTGGCCCTGCCAAATTGACATAGAAAATTAAACATTATGGCCTGTAATCACAAAGGCCAAAGGAATTACACATCGTTACTGTACTGTGGCTGATAAAGTTACTTTCCTTGGGTATAGGGGTTAAGAATTCTGATATTTCTCTATGCGTATACTGGAATTGAACAATTAAGTAAATACATGGTGAATGCTGGGAGCCAGACTTCTCACTGTAAGAGTGGGAATTTGCACACAGTGGGAGGGGGAAGCTAGAATAACACATGTGGTAATAGGTTAGACCTAGAGACATTGCTAAGAACTGATGTTCACCGTCATATAAATGTGTATATTTAGATATAGAAATATTTTTAAATATGTATATATACATGGGTTAGTATGACGTGCATTTATTTGTACTGTCTGCTGAGGGGGTCCTAAAAGAAATTACACCTCAGTAGCAATGATCATTTCTAGAACACAGATCTTGTTTCTAACACTATGCACTAGTGAAAGGACCCAGGGCTTGTTAGAGAAATATCTGATTCTTTGACTAGGATAGGCAATGTACAATCTGAGCCTGGAGCATCTTGTAGTACAAGAAAATATAGAAGTGCTTAAATAAATAAACAAACAAAAAAACACATTGAAATGTGTCAACAAATCTGTGCAGAATAATTCTAAATAAATTATGTAGGTTCTCCGCACTCAGGAAGAGGGAGCTAAATCCCAACTCTTTAAATATGGACTGTGCATAGTGACTTTTTTCCAAAGAGTACAGTATGGGAAAGGGGGAAACTAAAGTAACTTTATGGTGCAGACAAATGATAACACTACTTCAGCCAGATGATGGAAGTCAACATCAACCATCATAAAACATGCTGATAGTATATACCCTTGCAATGGTAAAAATGAATGAATGAAAATACAGACAATATCTAAGTCCCTGATAGTGTTAGCCAGTAAATGTGTCTTTATCTGTGTATCTCAGAAATTTTTGTTTCTCAAATGTGTGTGTGTGTGTGTGTGTGTGTGTATATATATATATATATATATATATATATATATATAAAGTTCATTTATATAATATATAAAACAATTTATTTTTAGTTAACACATTATAATTATACATGTTTAAGGGATACAATTGGATGTTTTGACACATGTATATTGTAGAATGATCAAATCAGGGCATATTTATCACCTCATGTATTTATCGTTTTTTCGTGATGAGAACATTCAAAAACTTCTCTTCTGGCTATTTTGTAATGTAGAATACCTTACTGTTAACCATCATTGTCCTACTGTACAATAGAACACCAGAACTTATTCTTCTTATGTAATCATAGCTTCATTCAAGTTGACTGAACTCTCCCTGCCCTCCTTCCTCTCCCCAGTCTCTAGTAACCACTGTTTTACTCTCTGCTCTCATGATATTAACTATTTAAAGAGTTTTTTAGGTTCAGCATATGAATGAGATCATGTAGTGTTTGTCTTTCTGTGTCTGGCTTACTACACTTAATGTGATGTCATCCAGGTCCATCCATGTTGTCTCAATTGACAGGATTCCATTTTATATGAATGAATAGAATTTCATTGCATGTACCATATTTTCTTTATCCATTCATCTGTTGCTGAACACTTGGGTTGATTCCATGTCTTGGCTATTATAAATAGTGCAAATAATGCAAATAGTTCTGTAATTCGACATACTGTTTTCATTTTCTTTGCATATATACCCAGTAATGTGATTGTTGGATTATATGGTAGTTCTCTTTTTAATTTTTTGAGCAACTTGCCTACTGGTTTCCATATTCTGGCTATACTAACGTACAATTCTAGCAATACACTACATTAAAAAAAGAGAGAAATGAAAGCTATATGATCATTTCAATAGACACAGAAAAAGTATTTGACAACATTTCACATCTCTTTTTAACAAATTAGGCATATAATGTATATACCTCAAAACAACAAAGGCCATATATGACAAATTCACAGCTAACATCATACTGAATGGGGAAAAGTTGAAGCCTTTTCCTGCAAGATCAGGAGTATTTATGTGTTTTTTTATGTAAGAAATAAAAAAAGTCCTACTAGACTGGATTAAGTCACTGTTTCATTGAATTTTCTTTTACTTGTGTCTTAATACTTTAAAATCCATTTTTTTTGCTTTTTATGAGCATGGCATTGAAAAATGTAAGCTGAAATGATCATTTTTGAAATTTTTAAATGCACAATTTTAATACCTGTTTTCCTCTGCCATAAGATTTTTATTACCCTTCTTTTTTGTTTTTCTTTTTACTAGAAAAATTATCTTTTCAGAGAAGAAGCTCATTTTCCCTTTCATCACTAAGAAATAAGATTCTATGAGTGCATGCATTTCTGCTCATTTTTGTTGTTGTGTTACCATCATATAAAACAGGAACTATCAAATAGTAAATGTGCAATAAATATTTGATAAAAGAGTATATCACTATATTGTCTTCATTTGCCTTTAAAACTCTTCACTTTACCTGAGGAGATACTAACTGAAATCATAGAAGTGGCTGGATTATGTTAAAACAGATTCTTGGTGTATGTCTACACACTAGGTTAAATGAAAAAGAAAGGGGATAAAATGGGAACAGACAGTATCAAAGAGATGGGAGAAAGCTCAGATGATGTTATGTCATGACATTCAAAAGAGGTCGAAATTTCAAAAATGAAGTTCTCAGTAATTAATATTTCAGAGAGCAATGAGGAGCAAAGCTGCTGGATTTGTTGATGTGGAACACAATGATACAATTTTGAAAGGAAAAGTGGTTGGTAGGAAATTGAAGCAGTCAGGAAAGTTTTTTCCTATGACTTTATGGTTGTGTATATATGTGTAAGGTCAGACAGGCTGTGCTTAGAGTATTTCCTGCCACATGATAAATGTTGTTGCTGTTCCTTTTATATTATAACAATTATATTTCAGAATGTTTTATTTATAGTTTAAGTTTAAAAGGGAGAAAGTGCATATTATATATTGTTTAAGTAGCTTTTGCGATCCTTCACAGCCTTAAGCATATTGCTGAGTACGCATCAAACTATTAATAAACACCATTCATTTCACTTATATTAATGGTTCTATGTTCCTATTCCCTTTTTTTTTGAGACGGAGTTTCCCTCTTGTTGCCCAGGCTGGAGTGCAATGGTGCGATCTCGGCTCACTGCAACCTCAGTCTCCCAGGTTCAAGCAATTTTTCTTGCTTCTGCCTCCCAACTAGCTGGGATTATAGGCGTGTGCCACCACGCCTGGTTAATTTTGTGGTTTTTTGTTTTTTTGTTTTTTTTAGTAGAGATGGGGTTTCACCATGTTTGTCAGGCTGGTCTTGAACTCCTGACCTCAAGTGATCCACCCACCTTGGCCTCCCAGAGTGTTGGGATTACAGGCGTGAGCCACTGCTCCCGGCCCCTATTCCCTTTTTCTTGACATTGATGATAGCTTGCAAAACAATGGAAATTTATACTTAATGATTAACTTATACTTAAAATGTATTGTAAGTTTGATGCTTGTAGTCAATAAATGGTTAGAAAAATACCTGCAATATTTTGGAAATAATAAATAGTAATACAAAACTCATTTGTGAATGTCTATATAATTTTCAGAGTACCTTAACTTCCATTGTTTTAACCAACTTTACAGCAACCTCAGAAGAAATCATGATATGATATCATTATTTTCAGAAAAGGTAATAAAACTTATGATTAGGTTTGGGTTTAAATAACTGTCTTTGCCATTGACTATTTGTGTGACCATAGGAAATTCACTTAATCATTTCTAACTTCAGTTTCTTAAACAGTAAAATAAAGTTATGTCTACTTCATACACTTATTGAGACTACTTAGATAAACAAGTTCTCAAAAATATTTTCTTGCCATCTTCCTTTCTGTTACCTTGCTATGCACAAGCAGACATAGCCATAAACCAGTTCTGCATTAGTTAAAAAAAGAAACAAATAGAATATGTGTCTGACAGCAAGTATCATGGCTGAGATTAAACTCAGTCCTTTGGATACGCAAAGGCTTTTTTTGTAGCTTTAGACATACTAATATTTGGAAGTGCTAACCTTTGGTGTATTCCTTATTGGTTACATAGTGCACTTGATTTTTAAGTTTCTAAATTTATTCAAGAATATTTTAATTATAATTTTGCTGAAAATTAAATGCAAAGTTTAAGTATCTCTAAAGGTAAATTTCCATTCCCTTAATAATAGCATAGAGAAATTATTCAGAAGTTCCTTTTATTCCAAAATCTCAGAAATTGAGTGTGGTAATGACAATGTATTCTCAGCCTTAATGTGGTAATCCCCAGTGGAGATCTTCACATTTTTAATTATTTAACGATGTCATTTAAATATTGTCTGTCCTCTATGAATATTTCATGTTCATCAAAAATTCCCTGAGAAAGTAAAAATAACCTGTACATTTGTTAAAGAAGACAGTGTCACTAATAGCATCCAAATGGTATTTCATTGCCTTGGACATGGGGAACAGTTTTTAATCCACTGGTTTCAATCAATCACCTAAATTTTTTTAAGAGTATACAGACTAAGGCCATATTAACCAAAAGAGCCTTGGAAACAGGGCATTAATAATAAACTAGAACTAGAAATAAGCTCTGTCTCAAGGTCAGATGTTATTCAGGAACATGTGGAAGAATCTCTAAAAGTGAAAGTTGAGCCATCCTTTTTTTTGAGACAGTCTCACCCTGTCGCCCAGGCTGGAGTACAGTGGCGTGATCTTGGCTCACTGCAACCTCCCCACCACCGAGTTCAAGCGATTCTCCTGTCTCAGCCTCCCAAGTAGCCGGGATTACAGGTGCCTGCCACTGCACCCTGCTAATTTTTGTATTTTTAGTACAGACGGGGTTTCACCATCTTGGCCAGGCTGGTCTTGAACTCCTGACCTTGTGATCCATGCACCTCGACCTCCCAAAGTGCTGGGATTACAGGCGTGAGCCACCGCGCCTGGCCGAGCCATCTTTATTGATATGAGCAGTTTGACCAACATGGGTTATGGACTGAATTCCCCCAAAATCATATGTTGAAGCCCTAACCCCCACTTTGACCGTATTTGGAATAGGTACTTTAAAAAATGACTTAAGGTGACATGAAGTCATGAGTGGGACCTTAATTCATTATGATGGGTGTCCTTACAAGAAGATGAAGGGACACCAAGGATGTGTGTACACAGAGAAATGGCCATATGAGGACCCTACAAGAGGCAGGCATCCGCAGGACAAGGAGAGAGACCTCAGAAAAACAAACTCTGCCAACACCTTGATTCTGGATTCTAGGCTGTAGAACTGTAAGAAAATAACTTTCTATTGTTTAAGCCACATGCCACATGGTCTGAGGTCTTGCTATGGCAGCCCTAGCAAACTAATACATTAGGAGGGATCATGATCTACGGAATACCAAGAGCAAAGGTTCATAGTTAGACAATTATGGGAAATATAGTTAAATGAATTGCCACATATAGAACAACTAGTAGGTGTCAAGTGATTGAGACAGATATCTTTCCAAAGCACACCCCTAATGATGGCATTATTAGCTTCAGTATCAGATAAAGAAATTAAAATTTGGAGGAATTAAGTAACTTCCCCAAATTAAAGTAATAAAATAATTAATTAAAAATTAGAACCTAGGGTTTTTTTTTTTTAACTTAAAGTGATGACCTTGCCATTATGCCATAATGTGCTTTTTAAAAGTGACATAGTGGCCGGGCAGGGTGGCTCACGCCTGTAATCCCAGCACTTTGGGTGGCCGAGGTGGGCAGATCATGAGGTGAGGAGATCGAGGCCATCCGGGCTAACACAGGGAACCCCTGTCTCTACTGAAAATACAAAAAACATTAGCCGGGCATGGTGGCGTGTGCCTGTAGTCCCAGCTTCTCTACTCGGGAGCTGAGGCAAGAGAATCGCTTGAACCCGGTAGGCAGAGCTTGCAGTGAGCCAAGATCACACCACTGCATTCCAGCCTGGGCGACAGAGTGAGACTCCCTTTCAAAAAAAAAATGGACATAATTTCTGCTTTGAATGTTCAATTTAATATTAAGTCTAAACATCCAACCTGAAAAGAATACATGGAAAGGGAAATAAATTCTGTTTGATGATTCTAAGTTCGATTTTTCACATGGCCCCATGTAGCCCCATTGGTCCCATTTCCTAGTGCTCTAGTGGCCATTGTAAGAGTGGGGATGTGGATCAAGGCCCCACTCCCGTCTGAGAAGTTGCTGAACTGATTTTCCGAAGTGAAGTGACACACACTACTCATTTAACCAGTCGGCCAGGAGCATGTATTCTCCTCTACACTCCATCATTCAGCTTCCAAGTGATAACCTTGCAAAAGAGGAAGGCTGCAATTTTCAATCAGTTCTGCTTACAGCAGGGCAGGGTGGCTACACCAGTCAAGCCAGAGAAAAGCATTAGAAAGCCTGTATTTTTTTCCGAGATCCATTCCACATAAATCAATCTCGCTTTGTTAGGTGGGCAAAATTGTGTGTGAATCAACTAAATCAGAGCCCTTTTGAGAGGAAAAACATCAGCAAAGAACAAGTTACTGGGAAAACAGGAGAACAGTGAGGCTTTCCCTGGCATATAAGGATCTTTAATTGTTCCCCATACAGACGCATGCATGTAAAGGTAAAGTAAATCGAGCAAAGGCACCCAGTTATTTTTTAGCTTTATTGAGGTATAATTGGCAAATACAAATTGCACATATTTAAGGTATACAATATAATGTTTTGATACACATATACATTGTGGAATAATTACTTCAGTCAAGCTAATTAACATATCCTTCTCCTCACATGTTTACCACTTTTTTGGTGTGTGTTGAGAACATTTAAAATCTACTCTCAGAAAATTTCAAGAATACAATGCAGTGTTAACTACAGCTACCAGGGTGTGCATTATATTACAGAACTTGTTCATTGTGCATAACTGAAACTTTGTACCTTTGAGCAACATCTTCCCATTTTCCCCAGCACCCACTCTCTGACAACCACCATTCTACTCCATGTTTCTATGAGTTCAACACACACACACATAAGTGAGATCATGCAGTATTTGTCTGTCTGTGCCTGACAAGTTCACTTAGCGTAATGTTCTTCAAAGTGCACCCATGTTTTTAAAAATGACAAAATGTTCTTAGTTTTTAAGGCCGAAATAAATTCCATCATATATATAAACACAATGAATGGATAAAGAAAATGTGATATGTATGTGATATATATTTTCCATTATATATCACATATTATTATAGATATCACATAAATGTGATATATATATTCCATTATATATGTGATATATATTCCATTATATATAACATTTACTATATATATTACATATATAACTTTTTATATATATTTCTTTATATATATATATCATGCAATATTTGTCTATCTGTACCTAACTAGTTCATTTAGCATAATGTTCTTCAAAGTGCACCCATGTTTTTAAAAATGACAAAATGTTCTTATTTTTTAAGGCCGAAATAAATTCCATCATATATATTAACATAATGAATGGATAAAGAAAATGTGATATGTATGTGATATATATTTTCCATTATATATCACATATTATTATATATATCACATATATGTGATATATATTCCATTATATATAAGGTTTTCTATATATATTACATATATATAACATTTTATATATATTTCTTTATGTATATATATCATGCAGTATTTGTCTATCTGTACCTGACTAGTTCACTTAGCGTAATGTTCTTCAAAGTGCACCCATGTTTTTAAAAACGTCAAAATGTTCTTATTTTTTAAGGCTGAAATAAATTCCATTATATATATATTAATATAATGAATAGATAAAGAAAATGTGATATATATGTGATATATATATATTCCATTATATATAATATTTTCTATATATATTACATATATAACATTTTATATATATTCCTTTATGTATATATATCTCATATATATGTATCACATTTTCTTTATCCATTCATCTGTCAGTGGACACTCAGCTTGGTTCTATATTATATCTTGAATAATGCTGCAGTGTCATTGGAATACAGATATCTCTCTGAGATTCTGATTTTATTTCCCTTGGATATATACCCAGAAGTGGGATTGTTGGATCATGTGGTAGTTCTATTTTTATATTTTCGTTTTGTATTTATTTTTTGAGACAAGGTCTTTCTCTGTCACCCAGGCTGGAGTGCAGTGACATGACCACGGCTTACTGAGCCTCAGCCTCCCAGGCTAAAGCAATCTTCCCACCTCAGCCTCCCTAGTAGCTGGGACTATAGGCACACACCATCATGCCCAACTAATTTTGTTCGTATTTTTTTTAGAGAAAAGATTTCGCCATGTTGCCCAGGCTGGTTTTGAACTCCTGAGCTCAAGCAATCCACCTGCCCTGGCCCCCAAGTTGCTGGGATTACAGGAGACATTCTATTTTTATTTTTTTGAAAAAAAATATACTATTTTTTATAATAGCTATATCAATTTATCTTTTTCCCAACAGTGCATCAGGGTTTCCCTTTCTCTGCATACTCCCCAAACTTATTTCTCTCTTTTTAAATTAAAGCTATTAACAGGTGTGAGATAATGTCTCATTGTGGTTTTGATTTGCACTTCCCTGATAATTAGTGATGTTGAGCATTTCTTTGTATACATGTTGGACATTTGTATGACTTCTTTGGAGAAATGTTTATCTAGGTCCTTTGCCTTATGTGATGGTTAATACTGTCAACTTGATTGGATTGAAGGATGCGAAGTATCAATCCTGGGTGTGTCTGTGAGGGTGTTGCAAAACACATTAACATTTGAGTCAGTGGGCTGGGGAAGACAGACCCACCCTTAATCTGGTGAGCACAATCTAATCAGCTGCCAGCAAATATGAAGCAGGCAGAAAAACGTGAAAAGGCTAGACTGGCCTAGCCTCCCAGCCTACACCTTTCTCCTGTGCTGGATGCTTCCTGCCCTCGAACATCGGACTACAATTTCTCCAGTTTTCAGACTTGAACTGGCTCTCCTTGCTCCTCAACCTTGCAGACAGCCGATTGTGGGACCTTGTGATCGTGTAAGTTAATACTTCATAAACTCCTATACATCTATCATCTATCTATCTATATCTATCTATCTATCTATCTATCTATCTATCTATCTATCTATCATCTATATCTATCTAATCTATCTCTCTCTCTATCTATCAATCTATATCTTATTAGTTCTGTCCCTCTAGAGAATCCTAATACACCTCATATGTAATAGGGTTATTTATTTTCTTACTATTTAGTTTTTGAGGTCCTTATATATCTTGGATATCAATCCCTTATCATATATGTGGTTTGCAAATTTTTCTCCCATTTTGTATGTTCTCTCTTTACTCTGTTGATTGTTTCTTTTACTGTGCAGAAGCTTTTCAATTTGATGCAATCTCATTTGTCATTTTTACTCTGTTGACTGTGCTTTTGAGATTATATTAAAAAAATCATTGTCCAGACTGATGTCAAAAACTTTCCCCTGCTTTCTTCTAGTAGCTTTACAGTTTCAGGTCTTATGTTTAAGTCTTTAAATTATTTTGAGTTGATTTTTCTATGTGGTATGAGCTAAGGATCCAAGTTTATTCTTCTGTGTGTGGATATTCAATTTTTTCAATACAATTTGTTAAAAAAAATATCATTTGCCTATTGTTTGTTCTTGGCACCTTTGTTGAAAATCAATCAACTGCAAATGTATGAGGATTTATTTCTGGGCTCTGTATTCTGTCCCATTGGTTGACATGGCTGTTGTTATGCCAGTGCCATAATATTTTGTTTATAATATCTCTGTGGTATAATTTGAAATCAAATAGTGTGATGCCTCTAGCTTTGTTCTTTTTTATTCAATATTTCTTTGGCTATTTGGGCATTTTTGTGGTTCCATTCAAATTTTAGGATTTTTTTTGTGAAAAATGTTATTGTAATTTTAGTACAGATTGTATTGAACCTGTAGATTGCTTTTGACAGTAATGATATTTTAGCAATATTGATTCTCCTAATCCATGAACACAGATAGCTTTCCATTTATTTGTATTTTATTTAATTTATTTCATTAATGCTTTGTAGATTTCAGAGTATACTTCTTTTACCACCTTGGTAAATTTATTCCTAAGAATATTTCAATGCTTTTTCAAAACGTAATTATTTTCTTAATTTTTTTCTTGAGAGCTCATTGTTGACATACGGAAACATGACTTATTTTTGTATGCTGATTTTGTATCCTGCAACTTTACTGAATTTGTTTATTAGCTCTAACAGTTTTTGATTCTTTAGAGTTTTCTATATGTAAGATCATGTCATTTACAAACAGAGACAATTTTACTTCTTGGTTTCTGATTTGAATACTTTTATTATTTTTGCTTGCCTGTTTCTCTGGCTAGGACTTCCAACGCTATGCTGAACAGAAGTGGTAAGAATGAGCATACTTGTCTTGTTTCCAATCCATTGTCGAGTATGCTGTAAGCTTGTCGTATATGTCCTTTATTATGTTGAGATATATTCTCCCTATACCTAATTGGTTAAGACTTAAAAAAAAAGAGTGTGGAATTTTTTCAAATACTTTTTCTACGTCTACTGACATAATCATAAGATTTTTATTTTTTCATTGTTAATATGGTCTAATCATACTAATTGATTTGTATGTATTGAAACATCCCTGTATCCCAGGGATATACACTACTCAATTGTGGCAAATGATCCTTTTAACAGGCTGTTCAATTTAATTTGCTATTATTTTGCTGAAGATTTTTACATCTGTGTTTGTCAGGGTATTAGTCTGTAATTTTCTTTTCTTGTAGTGTACTTATCTGGCTTGGTATTAAGGTAATTCTGGCCTCAGAAAATGAGTTTGGATGTGTTCCTGCCCTTTCAATTTTTGAAAGTGTTTGAGGATTGCCCTTCATTCTTTTTTAAATGTTTGGTAGAATTCAGCAGTGAAGCTATCAGGTCCTGGGTTTCCTTTTGTTGGTAGGTTTTTGATTACTGAGTCAACTTCCTTACTCATTAATGATCTGTTCAGATTTTCAATTTCTGCATGACTCAATCTTGGTAGTTTACTTGTTTTTAGGAATTTATTCATTTTATTCTAAGTTATTTAACTTGGTGATGTAAAATTGTTCTCTCTCTCTCTCTCCCTAAATATATATATATATATATATATATATATATATATATATATATATATATATACACATATATTTTTTTTGAGACAGGGTCTCATTCTCATTCTGTCACCCAGGCTGGAGTGCAGTGGTACAACCTCAGCTCACTGTAACCTCTGCCTCCTGGGTTCAAGTGATTCTTGTGCCTCAGCCTCCCAAGTAGCTGAGAGGACAGGCGTGTGCCACTACACCTGGCTACTTTTTTTATTTTTAGGAGAGACAGGATTTTGCTGTGTCTCCCAGGCTGGTGTCGGACCCCTGAGTTCAAGTGATCTGCCTGTCTCGGCCTCCCAAAGTGCTGGGATTACAGCCATGAGCCACCATGCCCAGACATGATAAATTTTTGATTATTTATGTTTTATTGTATCAGTTTTAATGTCTAATTATTCATTTATATTTGTCTGTTTTCTCTTTTTTTCTTGGTCTCCCTAAAAATTTAGCAATTTTGTTTATCTTTTCATAAACTCTTATTTAAATTGACTTTCTATTTTTTTGTAGTCCCTTTGTCACTTATTTCTGCTCTAATCTTTATCATTTCCTTCCTTCTACCAAATATGGGCTTAGTTTCTTTTGTCTTTTTCTTCTTCCTTAATGTGTAAAGTTAAGTTATTAGAGAGCTTTCTTTTTTCTTAAGAATATGCTTATTGCTATAAACTTCCCTGTCAGAACTGTTTTTGTTGCATCCTATAAGTTTTGGATATTATGTGTTTTCATTTTTCTTTATATCAAGATATTTTTTATTTCATTTTTTCTTTGACCCATTGATTCTTCAGAGGCGTGTTTTTTAAATTTTACATACATGTGAATTTCCCAATTTTCCACCTGTTATTTCTAGTTTTATATTATTGTAGTTGAAAAAGATACTTGATAGAAATACAGTCTTTTAAATTTTGTTAAGAATTATTTTGTGGCTTATCTATTCTGGAGAATGATCATTCAGCACTTAGAATGTGTATTCTGCTGCTATTGTACATAATGCTGTGTATATGTCTGTTATGATACTTTTGTTCTATTATGTTCATCAGATTTACTGTTTTCTTATAAATTTCTTTCTTTATGATCTAGTCATTGTTGAAAGTGAAATTTTGAAGTCTTTAGTTATTGATGTATTGATGGCTGTTTTTTTCTATTTCTTTTCTTTTTTTTTTAGAGATGGAGTCTGGCTCTGTCACCCAGGCTGGAGTGCAGTGGCATGATCTCGGCTCACTGCAACCTCAGCCTCCTGGGTTCAAGCAATTCTCTTGCCTCAGCCTCCTGAGTAGCTGGGACTACAGGTGCACCCCACCATGCCCAGCTAATTTTTTGTATTTTAGTAGAGACAGGGTTTCACCATGTTGCCCAGGCTGGTCTTGAACTCCTGAGCTCAGGCAATCCTCCTGCCTCGACCTCCCAAAGTGCTAGGATTACAGGCGTGAGCCACCATGCCCAGCCTTCTATTTCTTTTAAAATTTGCTTTATATATTTAGGTGCTCCAATATTGAGTGCATGCATATATTTATAGTTGTTATATCCTCTTGATGAATTGATCCCTCTATAATTATATAATGACCCTCTTTGTCTTTTATGACAGTTTTTGAATACAAATTTGTTTTGTCTGTTATAAATATAACCTCCTCTGATCCCTTTTGTTTGCCATATGCATGGAACAAGTATTTCTCATCCCTTTACTTTTAGCCTATGTGTATACTAAAAATTAAAGTGAATCTCTTATAGGAAGCATATGGATCTTCTTCTTTTTAATCCATTCAGCAATGCTGATATAGTTTAGATATTTATCCCTGCCAGAATCTCATGTTGAAATGTAATCCCCAGTGTTGGAGGTGAGCCCTGGTGGGAGGTGACTGTGTTATAGGGGTGGATCCCTTATGAATGACTTGGGACATCCTTTTGGTGATAAGTAAGCTCTCACTCTTAATTCACACAAAGTTTGGTCATTTAAAAGTGTGGTACCTCCCCTACGACACTCTCTTGCTCTCATTCTTGCCATGTGATGTGCCTCCTCCTCCATTGCCTTCTTGAAGTCTCCCGAGAAGCAGATGCTGCTATGCTTCCTGTACAGCCTGCAGAACCATAAGCCAATTAAAGTTTTTGTATAAAGTCATAATAAATACCCAATCTCAGATATTTCCTTATAGAGTGCAGCAACAGCCTAATACAAATGCTTTGTCTTTTGATAGAAGAATTTTTATCCCTTTAAAGTAATTATTGATAAATAAGTCTCTATTATTGCCATTTGGTTAATCGTTCAATGTTTTCTAGGTTTTTTTTTCCTTTTTGTTCTCTTGTTTTCATTTGTGATTTGACGATTTTCTGTAGTGGTAGACTTTGATTAACAATCCCTTTCTCTTGCATGTATCAATTACAGGTTTTTTTGTTTATGGGTTATCATGGGACTTACATAAACCATTTGATATCAGTCAATTTTAAGCTGATAATAGCTTTATTTTAGCCACATACAAAACTCTACACTATTACTTTTTTCCTCCGCATATTTTGTTATTGATATTATTTACATATTTTTACATATTTGCATACTACAACATTTACATATTTTTATATTATGTACTCCTTAACAAATTATTTTAGCTATAGTTATTTTTAATAATTTTGTCTTCTGACTCTTATACTAGAGTTAAAATTGGCTTAAACACCACCATTATAGTATTAGAGTGTTCTGACTTTGACTATACTTTTATCTTTACAGTTAGTTTTTACTCTCATGTTTTCATATTGTTAATTATTGTCCTTTTATTTCAAGTTGAAGAACTCTCATTAGCATTTCTTATAAGATAGGTCTAGTGATAATAAACTCCTACAGCTTGGGTTTGTCTGGAAAAGTGCATGCTCTACTTTATTTCTGAAGGACAAGTTTGATGCATATAGTAATCTTGGTTGGCAGTATTTTTTTTTTCTTTCAGCACTTCGCTTTGAATATATCATATCTCTCTCTCCAAAACTGCGAAGTTTTTGCTGAGAAATATGCTTATACTTTCATGGAAGTTCCCTTGAATGACGAATTGCTTT
Organism: Homo sapiens; assembly: GCF_000001405.40. Classification (NCBI taxonomy): domain Eukaryota; kingdom Metazoa; phylum Chordata; class Mammalia; order Primates; family Hominidae; genus Homo; species Homo sapiens. The sequence continues at coordinate 42,275,634 of NC_000011.10, read as the reverse complement.
TTCTCTTTTTGATTTAAAAATTATTATTTTGCCTGAGACTTTAGAGAATTTGATTATAATATGTCTTGAGTATCTCTTTATTTTTAGTCTATTTGGGATTCTTTGCATATATTTGATCTGGATGTTTTGTCCGTCTCCAGATTTTAGAATTTTTCAACTATTATTGTTTTTATAAAGAAGCTATCTGGCCTTTTCACTTTTTCTGGAATTCACATAAGTTGGTTTGCTTGATGGTTTCCCATCATTCCCACAGGTTTTTTACACTCTACTTTATTATTTTTTTCTCTTGTTATTTTGATTGGATAATTTCAAATAAACTGTCTTTAAGCTTTCTGATTCTTTCGTCTGCTTGAGCAAGTCTGCTCTTTAAGTTCTAAATCAAATTTTTCAGTTCAGTTATCTTTTTCCTCAACTTTAGAATTCCTGTTTAGTTCTTTATTATTGTTTATGTCTCATTGTTAAACTTCTCATTTTGTTCATGTATTCATTTCCTCATTTTATTTAGTGTTCTATCTGTGTTTTCTTGTAGCATACTGAGTTTCTTCAAGACAATTATTTTGAATTCTTTGTCAGGTGGTTTGTAGATTTCCCACTATTTAGGGTTAGTTATCGTGCTTCATTTTGCGTTTTTTGGTTGTGTCATGTTTGTGATCCTTGTAGCCTTGTGTTGGTGTCTGCACATTTGAGGAAGTAACCACTTTTTCTTGTTTTTATAAACCACTTTCAGCAGGAAAAGGCATTCAATTGTCAACATATCAACAAATTCTGGGTAAACCAGTTTGCACAGTAAATGGGAGAGCATGTTACTGGAGTTCTTTAGTGGGCTGGCCTGGAACTTGAATGCATGGAGGTGGGCCTGGAACCTGAATGTATGGGGATAGGCTTTGAACCTGAGTCCACAGGGGCTGGCCTAAAGCCCGAGTACATTGGAATTGGCCTTGTGGCTGGAGAAGTGGGGGCAAGCTGGGGATTGGGGTGGACATCTGGGTCTGCAAGGGTGGATTCAGAGGATGGTGGTATGGGAGCCAGCCTGGTTCTGGAGCAGCCCTGGAGCCTGGATCCATGGAGACTGCCTTAGTGCTAAGGCAAGCCAGGAAACTAGGTCTACATAGTCCAACCTGGACCCTGGGACCATTCAGGTTGGCCTACGTCTGGGGTTCACTGGTGTGGGAGTGCTGGGATCCACCATGATGCTCACTTCATCTCCTTCCCCATGTGTTAGTTACCACTTCATGCCATGCTATATGGGCCTGGGGGAGGGGAAATACAGGTAATATAAAGCTGTCCTTCCGACTCTGTTCAATACATCTTTTCTGATTTTTGTGCTTCATTCAGGTGCTGTAATCTCATCTACATTCCCTAGCTTTGGTGACGATATTTTTGTGGATGGTTGTCCAAAGCGATGTTTCTATGAGGGGATGCATGCTTGAAATGCCTATTCTGTATTTTTGCTGACGTTTTCACCTTGCTATTAAGTGATGATGCTGATATTTGAACATGGGTAGCCTACTTTGAAAACTATAATATTGTTTTGTGTGTTTCAAAAAATAATGTGCATTAATAGCATCATACTATGCTTGTCCTTTTGCCATATGCTTTCATTTTCAAGTTCGCATTATGTTTTCGAGAATTATCTAGTTTGGTACCTCTATTTTAATTTTATTCCTTTTATAATGACTCAAAGTATTCCACTGTATAACTAAATCACAATTATGTTTTATTTATCTACTATAATATAAAATTTATAAATTGTTTTCATTTAATGAGTATCATAAATAATACTACATTAACTATTATTACTTATATTTTCTGAGATGTGTGAATTTCCCTAGATGAGAAATTGCCGCTTACCAATGCATGCTTAAGGGTGTAAAATTAGCAGAAATAACAATATCTTACTCATAGGGTTGTCATGTGCATTTTATTTTGTCTATCTACCTATATATCATCTATCTAAATATAATTTCTCAGAGAAGGCTTGGAATACAGTGAGGACTTAATACATGCTATGCTAAAATTATTATTATAAGTGATTTATTTTCCACTTGTATTTTAGTCTCAGCTTATTATATTTTATAGAAAAACTTCTAGATTTTTAAATTCTTATTAAAATTATTAAAATTATGGATAATTCAGGAGAATCACCATCTTCCTGATACAATCTACTTGCTTATATTTTGTGCTATGTCTTTTAACGAAGTTTAGTGTATTCCAAATAAAAATTTTTCTTTGCACAAAATCATTTTAGATTTATTTCTAAAGTGGTTACATATTTTCTGTTGCTATTTTAAATGAGCTTTTTTCATTTATTATTAAAATATTTAAACATATATCAAAGTTGAAATACTTTTTACACATAAACACCTGCATATATGCCACCCAAAATTACTATCAATATTTTCCTACACTTGTTTTATCACAGATCCAACTATTAAACTCTGTACATACGAATGTATCTATCAACCTATCCTATTTTATTGATTAACTTCACAGTGGACTGCAGACATCACTACACTCCTCACTAACATAAATTACAGGCATAAATATATTCATTTAGCATTTAAATTATTAACTAGTTCAGCATCTGTTTACAAATTTGTAGCTGTAAAATTTACATAAAATTAAATACACAAATTTTAGATGTATATTCACGAAGTTTTGACAACTGAATATATGTGTGTAAACTAAATATTTATCAAGATATCTTAGAACATTACCATCCACCCAGGAAACCCCTTCATGCCCATGCGTTTTCCTGGCCCCAGCAGCACAGCAGCCGCTCTTGACTTCTTTCCGCTACAGTTTTTGCTGTTGAAAACACCTCTGTGCAACCAAACTGTCTGCAATGATGCAAATGTTCTATAAGTACGCTCTCTAATATAGTAGCTACTAGCCACGTGTGGGTATTGAGCACTTGAAAGGTGGCTGGTAGTTCTGAGTAATTGAATTATAAATTACATTTAATAAAAATTTAAATTTAATTAGCCAGATGTTGCTACGGTCAAAACTGTGAAAAGTCCGAAATTTTTGCCAATACTGGCAAGCTAACAATTTAACCTGCCACAGTTTCAGGGATGCTGGTTAGAGACACACGATTCCTGAGTTAAAGAAAAAGATTTTTATTGTTCAAGGCACAACAAGTATCGTAAACATCTTATTTATGTTATTTGGTTCCCTTTGTTCCCAAATGTGCAGAAATGCAAGAAGCTATAGACAAAAGGCTCCAACAGCCACTGTATTGTGTATGAATATCAAAGATATTATGTAGTCCTTAGTGTAAGGTTTTTTCCATTCAGTATCATATTATGAGATAGATTATTGATATTTTGTTTGTATTAGTATTTTCTAATGGCCTCTCTTTCTTTTGTAAGGCTTCATATTATTCCATTGTATAAGTATAACAAACTTTTTTAAAAATGCATTTGTGGTAGGCCGAGGTGGGTGGATCACAAGGTCAGGAGATCGAGACCATCCTGGCTAACACGGTGAAACCCCATCTCTACTAAAAAAATACAAAAAATTAGCCGGGCGTGGTGGCGGGCTCCTGTAGTCCCAGCTACTCAGAAGGCTGAGGCAGGAGAATGGCCTGAATCTGGGAGGCGGAGCTTGCAGTGAGCCGAGATCGCCTCCACTGCACTCCAGCTTGGGCGACAGAGCGAGACTCCATCTCAAAAAAATAAAATAAAAGAATAAAAATGCATTTGCCCATATATGGACACTTGAGCTATTTCTAATTCTGGCTTATTATGAATAAATCTGCCTGAAACATTCTTGTCCAGTTTTTGTTAAGCATATATTTTGATATATTTTTTATAGAGGCATATGTGTAGAATTGCTGGGTCACAGGATTAATATGTGCATAGTTTTATAAGAACTTGCAGGACAACTTCTTCCAAAGTAGTTACACCATTTTACATCTGCACCAACTGTTTGTAAGACTTCGAGTTGCTCCATATCCTTTCCAGCTTTTGGTTTTGTCACTCTTCTAAATTTAGAAATTTAGAAGATAATTAAACAAAAATGTCAGAAATGTGTGTTGTGTATGCTTGTATTTTTATAGTCTGAGTAGCAAAATCCAAACGTGAAATACTTCCTGCATACCTGTGTTTGAATCTCAATTCAAATGTGATAGTAGTATCACATTATGGTTTTAATCGCATTTCCCAAGAGTCTAATGAGGTTGAGATATTTTTCATTTATTTGTATTTTTCTTGTGAAATGCTTACTCACATATGTCATCTATTTCTGAGTTGTTTGTCTTTTAATTTTGAGTCATAGGAGGTATTTCCAGATATCAGATTTAGTGACACACATATTTTGCAAATATATTCTCCCAGTATGTGGCTTATTTATTCATTTTCTTAATTATGCCCTAGATGGAAAAATGTTTATTTTTGATGAAGTCTAATTTATCGATTTGTTATTGTATGGTTATTGCTTTAAATGACCTGTTTTTGCCTAGTCCCAAGTTGTGAAGACATTTCCTTATGTTTTATTTTAAAAGCTTTATATTATTTATTTTACATGTGGATCTTTTATCCATCTCTAACTCACTTTTGTATACATTAGTTCATCCCTATGTATGGTTTTGCTTTCTACGGTTTTAGTTATACAGGGTCAACTGTGATCTGAAAATATTACATGCAATAAGATATTTTGAGGAGGGGCACATTAACATAACTTTTATTATAGCATATTATATAATTTATTTTATTATTATTTTGTTAATCTCTTACTATGCCTGATTTTAAAAATTAAACTTTTTCATAGATATGTATGTATAGGAAAAAAATATGTATATTGTTCGGTACTAACCATGGTTTCAGGCATCCACTGAGGGTCTTGGAATATTCCCCGTGAATAAAGGAAGACTGTTGTATGAGGTAGGAGTCAAGATTTATTTTTTTAAAAACAAATAGTTATTCCCATATTATATTTTGTTTTAGTGCCTTCATTTAAAACAATGGATGTATATATGTAGGTCTATGTTTGAAATTTATATTCAAATCTATTGATTTATATGCCCAATGCCATATTGTTTGTGATAACTTTAAAGTAAGTTTTGAAATCATATAGTATAATTTCTTCAATTTTGTTCATCTTTTTCAATATTGCTTATGATATTCTTTGCACTTTGCATGCCTATATAGCTTTTATATTCAATTTGTAATCTTTTCCAAAAAAAACCAATTGGAATTAGTAGAATCTACATTAATAATGTTGAGTCTTCTAATTCATGAATATTATGTAAATCTCCATAAATTGTGCTTTTTTTGCTCTCAGCAAAATTTTATAGTTTCCCGTGTAGGTCCAAACATTTTTGTGAAAATTGTTTTTTAAATATTCTCTTTTTTGAGATTATTGTGTATGGAATTATATTTTGTTTTCCAATTCTTTGCTGCTAGCATATAAAATAATGATTGATTCTGTACATTAACTTTGTGTCTGCAAACTTGTTAACTTAATCTTCAATTTTATTTTCTCAGTATCTTTTCAATGTCTATACAATCTATGTAATACCCACTCTTTCATGCCTGATATTAATATATGGTGTCATTTTCTTGACATGCCTAGTGATGGGTTAATCAATTTTGTTGATCTTTGTAAATAACCAACTTCAACTCTTAATTTTTCCTGTTGTTTATTTAACATTTGTAAATTTTTAAGGATATTCTATATAAAAATTTATATTTTCTGCAAGTAAAGACAGTTTTAATTGTCTCTTTGCTGTATTTTTTCAGCTACTTCTGTTTTTTTGTCGTATTACAAAGACTAGATCATCCAGTGTAATACTGAATAGAAATGCCTTATTCTAGATTTTAGACAAAATATTTTAGGATTTCAACACTAAGTTGATATTATCTAAGTTTGTTGTAGATATCCTTTATCAGATAGATGAATTTCCATTCTATTCTAGCTTTTAAAAATATTTTTTACTAAGAATATTGCTATTTACTAGGAATATCGCTAGACCATAAGTAATGGAATGTAAATCTATAGTGTTCTTTTTTTGTCATGTAGTTTGGTACCAATTTTATGTGACTTTACATAATGAGTTTGGAAGTATTTCCTTCTTTTATGTTTCATGACAGAGTTTTTTAAGATTGATGTTATTTCTTCTTTAATGTTTGATACATCCTAGCAGTAAAATGATCTGGGTTTATTGTTTTACCTGTTTTGGAGTTGTCAAAATGAAACTCACATTCAGAGGACTATTCAAATTTTCTGTTTTGCCTCCTATCAGTTTTGGCCAGTGATGTTTCTCAAAAAATTTGTCTGAGCTACGCAGGTGTAATGTTTTTTTGCATAGAGTTACAAGTAATATTATCTTAGAATCTTTTTAGTGTCTGTACAATCTAGTAATAATCTCTCTTTCATGGCTGATATTTATATATTGTGTCCCTTTATTTGTTTTGCTAGAGGTTTATCAATTATGTTTATTTTTGTAACAACTAACTTTTGACACTTAATTTTCTCTGTTGTTTTCCTCTGTTTATTATGCTGAACTCTGCTCTCATCTTTATTTCTTTCGTATTGCTTTTTTATTTTCCCACATATTAAAGTGAAAACTTAGGTCACTGACATTTTGTCTTTTCTTGTGTTAGCATTCGAAGCTATATATTTCATTTAAGTTTTTTTAGCTCATCTCCAAAATTTTGATATGCTTTTATCATTCATAACATCCCTTATTTTTCCTTGCAATTTTTCTTTGATCCTTTAATTACTAGAATGTGTTTGTTTAATTCTAAATATTTGGTGTTTTCTCGGATACATTTTACCTATTGTGCCGTGCACACGTGATGAATACCTATGAGTATACAAGGATATTAATGAGTTTAAAAAGAAGGTAATTAAACAAAAAAGTCAGAAATGTGTGTTGTGTATGCATATATTTTTATAGTCTGAGTAGCAAAATCCAAGAAAAATAAGTTACAATTCATATTCCTGCATACCTGTGTTTGAATCTCAATTCAAATTCTTATTAGCTGAATAGTCCTAGGCAAATCACTTAACTACTCTGAGTCTGTGTTTCTGTATATAATTGTACTTACATAATAGGCTTGTTAAAAGGATTAAATTGGTTAATATTTGGAAAGCATGTAGAACAATAACTGGCAAATAATAAGTCTGCATCACTGTTTGTTAAACAGAGTAGAAACAAAATTGTGTTGTGTTCATTCTTTTTTTCCCAAGAGCCTAGCATACATTAGGTGCTCATTAGCTAATTTAAAAAAATTCTTATGTGAAAAGCTTTGTTTAGGAAGTAAACAAATTATCTGTCCACGCATTCACCCTTTCATTCACTCAGGACATTCTTATGGCATTTATTGAGCACATGCCTGGAATATGGGAGGAGACCACAACTCATACTTTCTTATGCCCAATTTCTGCCTCCAAAGAAAGAAGAAGTCAAAACTAAAAGGCAGAAATGAAATCCACAGGCAGACAGCCTGTTGCCACACCCTGGGCCTGGTAGTTAAAGACTGACCCCGACCTAACTGGTTATGTTAACTATAGATTCCAGACATTGTATGGAAAAGCACTGTGAAAATCCCTGTCCGGTTCTTTTCTGTTCTGATTACCAGTGCATGCAGCCCCCAGTCATGTACCCACTGCTTGCTTAATTGATCACGACCCTCTCATGCAGACCCCCTTAGAGTTGTAAGCCCTTAAAAAGAACAGGAATTGCTCACTAGGGGAGCTCGGTTTTTGGAGACTTGAGTCTTGCCGATGCTCCCAGCTGAATAAAGCCCTTTCCTTCCACAACTAGGTGTCTGAGGGGTACTTGTCTGCTGCTTGTCCTGCTACAGTATTAGATAACATATATGAAGACAGGATGCACATAGCCTGGCACTATAGAAGCAAAATAAGTGTAAAGGACACAAAACAAAATAGACACATTGTGTGCTCAAATTAATGAGAAAAATATTATTTAGGTAAATCAAAAATTTTAAGGTCACAACAAATGATAAACATTGTGAATGAGAGAGAAGTTCTGATAGGACCAGAATAGGATTGGTTTGTGGATAGAATTGTTGATGTTAATATAGATGAGAATAAAAAACTCACATACTACCTTTTCTATTAAAAATGTTGATAAACTTCCATAATAGAATAAGTAAGTAGAATCCTCAGCTGAGCCAGTATGTGTCCCTGTCTCTGTGTCTGTCTGCCTCTGCTTCTGGCTTTGGCTCTATCTTCTTACCCTCTCTTTCTCTCTGCCTCACTCTCTCACTCTTTCTGTCATACTCATATTTTTTTTCATTCTTTCTCTCTTGTCTCATCCACTGTGCTATAGTTCATGTTCATACATTACCTATGCTGAAGAAATACAGTGTCCTACACTAAATATCTTTTTCTAGTTTACAACGTAGGAGAAAACAAGAAGCAGAGAACAGGATCAGGAAAGACTTTGTTATTCCTTTTTGATTATTTACTGAGGACAGCATGGTGTCAGTTCAACCTGTAACCTGATTTGCCTGCTTCTAACCATTTTGTTTTCAATTAGTATTCTACCTAAGCAACAAAGTCAGAAACTTAAAATGCATTAGTTATCACTAATCTAATTAAAATACAGCTTATAATTACATCAGGAAATCAACTGCTTCTCCCTGCTCTGAGGTACTTAGAAACAAGTGGAAAACTACTGAAAAGTGAATTATTGGGAGAGTTTTTAAAGATTATCAGGAAAGACAAAGGGTTTCAGGGTTCTGCTTTATAAATAGAAAATAAAACAATTAATAGTGTGTATGTTGGCCTTCTTTCTTTCTTTCTTTCTACTCTATTCTCTTCTCCACTCTCTTTATTCCTTCTTCATTTACCCTCCTCTTCTCTTTCTCCTCATCTCTCATAATGGTATTGTATGTTTGAAAACCTATTTAGCTGGTTTCTAAAAGAGTCTCTGAAAGAGCATAAACTCTATCAATTAATGATATGCCATCTTGGCATTTTTTTTCAAACTTTTATGTTGTTTGAAATAGAGAAATTTTGATGTGAATGGATCAAGGTACTTCCACTCATTGATACAGTTATAAGTTATGACATATATTATCTCTTTTAATATTTGTGATAACCCAAAAGGATAGCTGCCTGGATTATTCCCATCTTTCAGTTGTACAAATTGTGTCATGGAGAAGTTAAATTACTTGTCAGAGACCACACAGCCTGTAAAGGTGGAACTTAGTAGTCTAAATCTATTGCCTATAGTTCTTATCACTTCTTTATGTTAAACATTGAGTGCCTGTATATTATACAATTCACAAGGTACATATTAGAAAATGAGGGAAGTAACAAGCCCCCTCTCAAATTTTCAATAAGCAAAACACTTTTCATATGTTAAACTCTGTTTGAAATATAATTTATTTATTTGCTTCTTAAGACTGGTAATCCTAACCTCTTAGATATGGGTGAATGAATTCTTTACCAAACCCAGATATGTGAGAGGCAATATGAATATTAGACTACAAGATATAAAATAACATGATCAATTTATTCCTCTTGTTAGTACTTGACCCGTGTTTTATAATCATGTCTCTGTGTGCATGTGTGTGTTTTCTTTTCAGGGACGGACTGGGAAAAATTATGACTGATAATTCAGAGTGTGACCTTTGGAATAAACCTGTGTAAATTAAGACAGTATTAAACATTACATCTTGAACAAGTTACTTACCCATTTAGGTCTCAGTTTCTTAATTTGAAAATGGGAGAAATAATAGTCCTATTTTATTGCAATGTTATGAAATTAAATATACATAAACATATTCAGGTCCTTGTCACATTACAATCAATCTTAAGAGCTGTTTTTCTTTCCATATCACTTTATTGCTGGGTTTATTTATTTCATGGGAAGGGATGATAAAAAGATACGTTCTCACAGCAATAAAAGATCATCATGCTGAAGGTATATGTAGCCTTCATATACACTGAAATCAGTAACGTTACTAATGTCTTTAGATTGTCAGCAATTGGTTGCCAGAAATTAGCAGTTCTTTACAAAGGACGTTTCAAAACTTGGATGTCAAGAGTTGGAAGATAATCAGAGCTCTGGTCATGTTTATTCTTGAGTAAGAAAGAAAAGTACTGCAGGGGAGAAAAGATTTCTCACCCATTGTGAGGTTCAGGGCTGAGACCTTTATCACTAAGACAAATTAACAAGAGAAAAGCACAGCCATTTATTTAATGTAAGTTTTATGTGACATGGGAATATTTTAAAAAATGAAGACTCAATGAACAGAAAAATCTCTGTATTTTTATGGTCAGTCATACAGAAGTATGAGCAAAGCCTGTTTATTCCAATTCTTAGTGTACTTGTGCCACATTCCCTTTCTCTAGTGTTGCGAAGGGTTCGCTGGAATGAGAGTCACGTGACTTACCTTAGAGGAAGGTCAGAGAATTCTTTCACGGCTTGCTTCAAGGCAGAAGGCTAGAGATCAGAGAGAATTTTCTGCTTCTGCTGTTTCATAAAATGCATCATATTTTGGGGTAGCATGTTCTGAACTCCGCCATTTCAGAGTAACACATGCAGCATTTCACGGTGGTTCCCAATAACGCAGGATAATATTCTACCTGGGGAGCCATAACACACAGTCTTCCCAAGTGTTTCCCCAAGATGTCTCCTGAACTTCCACCCCTGTCTATACCCACCTGCACCCGGAGTATGTAAACATGTTAATATAAAGGATATATTTTCTCTATTTGGCTAAATAACACTTACAGTTTCTGATTATAAAACTCTATTAAATTGTATTATTCTGTATATTACAAATGTTCTAGGAGTTTACTCATTCACTATTCTGTATATTACAAATGATGTGAATGGTTCACAGTACTTCCACTCATTGATACAGTTATAAGTTATAACATATATTTTCTCTTTTAATATTTGTGATAACCCAAAAGGATGGTTGCATGGATTATTCCCATCTTTCAGTCGTACAAATTGTGTTATGGAGAAGTTAGATTACTTGTCAGAGACCACACAGACTGTAAAGGTGGAACTTAGTCTAAATCTATTGCCTATAGTTCGTATCACTTCTTTATGTTAAACATTGAGTAAGCAAACTCACTAGAACATTTGTAATATACAGAATAAAATTTTCAAAAAATTATTCATAAACTCACCATCCAGAATTTTTTTCATTGAGGAAGTAAACAACAGCCACTCAAATGAGAACAAAAAATGCTACTTATTCAAAACTTGCCATAGTGAGGGAGGTGGCCACTATCACTTGATTTTAGAGCCTCAAAAGCAGGTATAGGAGTGGGAAAGCTTAATCATCAAAAGTAAAGAAGCCTTCAGGTGTGCTCTGATTGGAAGCTGTTAGTCTGGAGAAGCTGTTAGTCTTATGTTGGAAGTAGGAACAAAAATTAGGGAAGCTGTCAGTTATTAATCAAGTATTGATCACTGGGGCCCAATCATTACAGGGGCTATCATTTGGCTTTCTGGATTTCTTGTTAGAGACAGTGGTCTGACTTCTTATAGGTATTTCCTTTAGATGGTAGGCTAGCTTCCTGGGCTGGTTACTGAAGATAATGGGTTGAGTTTTTAGGCAGATTAATGCCAATTGTGGGTCAGAGTTTTAATTTTTATACAGGTTGGTGCAAAAGTCATTACTTTTAATGGCAAAAATCATAATGACTTTTGCACCATCCTATACAATCTGATCATTGTCTATTTATATATTCAGTTTCTCACCATATTTAGCAATGTCTTTTCTTTCCAAGTCCCTCAGTCCCACCACTAAGACACATGTTTATTGGTTGAAAAACGGCTTAATGTTTTACAGGTAGGAAAGTGTGTATGAACTAGTACGTACCAAATTCTCCCAAGAATAATATCCATGGTTCCATTTACTGCGTATAGAGAGCACATATTATGTGGTAGATACTGATGGGTGCAATAAGTTGATGATGGCATGGTTTCCTATTCCAGAGAAACTAAAATTTTCTGCAAGTAGTCGCAATGTGGATCTAGATGTCCTGTTTACTTAACTATTTCCCATGAATGGTGTCAAGTAGTTATAGCTGAAGTAATTATATGTTAATTCATAGTCTTTGACCCATGAACCGTAGAGGGTCATTATGCAAAAGGAAAAATAGCATCTAAAATGTGTAATGCTCTAAGTTAAACAAGTGTCTAATAAATGAAAGTAATTCTGTATTTCCAACTGAAGTAATTAGCTGTCTGAAAAGTCTGTAATTAGTGTATCATTTGAATTTAGAATTAATATTGCAGACATTAAATTACTGCTTATTTCAGATGAATTTTAGTGGCTAAATCAAATGCAATTGAATGCAGTTGGATATTCTCAATGCACTATATTGTTTTTATTAATGAAAATTAATTTAAACTTGGATTGTATAATTTGTCTGTGTATACAAAGTTAAATTTATAATTGCTATTAAACACTAACTCAAGAAGCATCACAAATGCAAAAGTTTAAGTGAATTTCATTTATACAGTCACCAAAAGAGAAGCATTCATGTATTTTAAATATGTATAAATATTTCCGGCATTTATGATCTGTTATATGTGGAGATCATTCATATTTACTGTTAGTTACTGACGACATTCATTTCCTGGGAGTTGATTTTTCTAACATAAAAGTGTTTGGAATTCTGCCCTAGTCTAAGAAGTCAGTGAATCCTGAATTGACTTATTTGCTTTGTGGATTTTATAATATTAAAGTAATTTTTCCCCCACAGGTTACTATATTGGAACTAAATTGTGAGTGAGTATGTGTGTGTGCATGCTCACAAAAATCATTGCATATATTTGGTTTATATTTTATGATGACAAATTCTTTTACCACCCACAAAAGGTCAAGTATAATTTAGGGCTGTATTAATAAAAGCCACTGATTAACTTTGGAATCAGGCCATTCTGGAAACCAAGACATTGACTACACCTTTTGTTAAAATTTCTATCTGTAACAAACTAAAGTGGTTTTTTAAGGATCTTAACTCTGTAGAGAGATTAAAAATATGTCTTACTCTGGAATGGCTCATGATTATGTTTGTCTTAGTTCTGATCTCTCATGTATCTCTGAACCGTGTCCTGGTTTGAAATAATCTTTTGATACCTCTTTCAGCACTCTTTCCCAGTCCTAAATGATACAACCCCTTACTAATACCAATGTTAATATGTCAATTTCACGTTATTCTTTGTCTCCCTCTGTAACTTTTCAAAGCTGAGATATTCTGGTATAGAAATAATGAACTACATTTTTATTAGTTATTTTGCTGTTTATGTTATTTGCTACCACACTGATTTATATAAATGTTAAAATCTTTCCAGTTGTTAACATTTTCTTTTTATAGCTTTGGCAACTGCTTGGGGAGTCCTTGTCTCTCTGAGCTCTGCAATGGACGGCCATCGTATTATAGCCACTCACTTTCTGGAAACAAACAATTTATTATCTAAATGCTAGTAATTTTTTTATTATTTAGAAGTGCTATATGGATTACTTTTTTGTGTTATCAGATTGTAGCCATCCCCAGGGTTGATATCTAGAGTTTATCTATCTTCTAATTAATTTGAGCTTTGTGGTGTAACAATCTTATATATATATTCATGCATATTCACAAACTAACCCATGACAAATGGCCATTCTCTACTGAAACATAATAACTTATGGGAATATCTTTTTATCAAAGATTAAGTTAGAAGAAATTAAAGAGCACTAAAATCTTTTGAGTGTTTATGGTTTTACAGACACTGTGTTAACTTACACAATTTTACATTTTTTTTTAGAACAAACCTATGAGGTAGCTGTCATTGAATTCATTCTGCAAGTGAAAAAAAAAAACAGCAGCTTAGAGAGGTAAAAACTGATCACGTTTTCCAAGATTTTACATTATAGACTAAAAATGAATATCCCAAACTGACTAATCCCAAAGCTTATGATCTTTCCAAAACATTATATTATGGATAAGGGCAGGATTATTGAGTCTCATTGTTGTAAATACCTTGAAGGAAAGGGATATGGGAGTTTAGAAAGACAGTTCCCAGTGTTAACAAATCACACGCTTAGAAGGGAATTTTGGAGGCCATTCCTTTCACTTCTAGTAGGAACTCAGTAAATGACCTGAAGTGGCTGAAAATGAATCTTATTTATAAATATCTCCTGAAAGGGGATTTGATGGCATCTTCTTGGCAATATATCCCATTGCGGGAAAATCCCTGTTTTATCAAATCTGCAATTAATCTGTCAACAGGATTCTATTAAGTGCTGACTCTATGCCAGGCTCTATATATGCAGTACCTCTAATATCTTTCTTCAAAAATAATTCAGCACAGTTAGGCTTACAAGGCAAACAAATACAGTGAGAACTAGTGATTCGGTATAAACAGTAAGTCTCAAATAAGCAATAAAGGATTTCAGAAGATGAAGAGCTACCTGTGGAGTAGATGAATCTTAGGGGAATTTTAGAAATGATAGTTTAAAATGAGATTTAAGAGAGACACATGAATTTCTTTCTGCAAATTCAAAGGCAATTCCTTTGAATATAAGACACAGTCTGCCATGCATAACAGTACTTGCTAGTATAGAAATCACTGGCCACTGGGATGTATTTTCCTAGACTGTGGGGCTCTAATACCTGCCTGAGTTTAACTTTTGGAACCACCCTTAACTATCCTGGAAACTAGAGCAAATTATATAAGAACTCTGTGCTTTAGCTTCCTTTTCTGTAAAATTGGGTCTGTACACCACCTTTCTGGTATCAATGTTGTAAAGATTAAATCAGTTATTATATGCGAAGTGTTTACAACAGTACTTGGCACATGGCAAGAGCTCAATAAATTTTGATGATGATCATCATCATTAGGAGGGAGGAGGGGGATGAAAAGAAGGAGAAGAAAAGGAGGAGGAGGAAGAGGAGAAGGAGAAGGAGGAAGAAGATGCTAGAACCTATTAGAATCCTGTACAGTTGGGCACTGCCACCTCTTCCTCATGACCAGTGGGATCTGTACATACTTCAAAAGTCTCTACCCTGCATCACTTGCCTGGGTGAAAGCAGAGAGGGGTTCACTATATCAATCCTTAACACAGTGGAGAATTGCAATGCAGTCTCTTTACTAATTTCACTGTGTGCCATATTAGTCAACATCCGTGGGTCTCTGCTGCCTGATTTTTATTCAATAATCTGCAAGCTGTTTCTGAATCTGAATCCATCATCTTATCTATGCTAGCTTCTTTTCCAGGGACTCATATTCTGGGTTTGATTACTCTCACATGAATTACTATCAAATGATAATTTTGATTCTTATTCAATACCAAGATTTGCTGCTTAAAACCCCAGTGCGGCACTCTGTAGATCACCCAGCTTCCACCCAAACCAGACTTTCCTGTACAGTTCTCCAGACTGAATGTTATTTTATACCATGCCCTAGAGATTGCAATTTTTGACTTAGATTTTGTTATATCTAAGGTTTGAACTTGATGGATGGGGTCAACCCTGTGGTCAAAGTTGGTCTTTCTCTGCCCTTCCCAATGACCCTTACTTAATCCGTTTAGCATAGGATCAGCATTATTGGCAAAGTGTCTGGCTTGTAGTAAAATTGAACTTATTCCTTACCCTGATAAGATTTGACTATATTTTGAGTGGTGATTATTAGGCCACAACAGTCCTTGTGTCAAACAAAATTATGTGGAGGTGGCACATCTATCATTGTATGACAGGTAGAATAAGTATGTTGTTGAGTTATGATAAGCTATTACTTCAGAGTTGAAGTATCTTGTTAGGTAGGTTTACAAAGGAGAATATTCCAACAGAGTTAAGGTTAACAGTTGTGAGTCTTGCTCAAGCAGTAAGTACACATCTTTTGCTTTTACCTAGTTTCACATTCATATTTTCTTGGCATAGAAAAGGAAACCTGCCTATACTTTGTATTACTTTCAGATGGGTTACAGACCTTTTATGTGATTTGGGCAAAAAATGTAGTTTTCTCTTTACCTATGTACAACACAATATTTATATAACTCAGATCCAAAATTATTGGAAATACTCTTATGTGTTTGGAATTCAGCAGTGCCAATTGGCATTGTTGTCAAGAAAATGTTGGAAGGTTCACAAGGAGAAAATGAGGATGTAAATCATACAACCAAGAACAAATATCTTCATCCTAGGAGGACATGTTTTACTTGTAAGCTGCCTCCTCCCAACTATCTCTTGATATCCTGATTGGGTATTATGGAATGTGAGTTGTTGTGGTAATGGAAATTGTTGGACATAAAAAGAGTGTTAAACTAGGAGAAAATTGTGATATGCTGTGTGTGTGTGTGTGTGTGTGTGTATAATCTGACACATTTGAATATGTGAGCTCTCATAGAGCTTGCACCTAAGATGACAGCTAATGTCATAAAGTAATCATTACTTCTCACTGATACTGAAGTCACTATTCTCTATTTTCTTTGTGCCTGGTGGATGCCTGTTTTTTGCACATTGTTGTAATACTCTAGGGAAATTTGAATACAATTGGGAAGTTAAATAATAGCTAAGGGAGTTAAAATAGTGCCCTCCTTTATGATCATTTGTTAACAGGATCTTACTTCTTTTTCTCAAAAAAGTTGCTGATACACTTTTGCTTGAAGTTAGTTTTCCAGAAGCAGACTCTATGATTAGGATTTGTGACAATTGATTTATTTTAAAAAAATCATACACCCAGGACAAACCTTTAAGATACTAAGGTAAGCTGGGCAAGGAAGAAAATCATAAGTTCTGGCCTCAAATGGATCCTGAAGGGGAGTTCTGGAATGTAAATCACTCTGAAGAATTTTTCCTAAGTCAAGAAGAGCTGAGCTTCATAAGCTTACATCCATCAGTCATTGTCTATGGGATACCTCAGGGGGACTTCAACTCCTAGCCCTTTTTGCCAAATGGTACCAGTAGTGCAAGGGCAGATTCTGTTACAAAGCATTACAGTAACACCCCACTGGATGCAAAGCACACACAGAATCCTGCCAAGGGAAGCACAGACACAGAAAAGGAACTGAAAGAATTGCTAGAGGCTTATAGGTGTTTCTCTGCTATTTGTACATAAAACCAGGGAGCGGGCCACAGCATCTGAGGGAGACAACGTATAATAAATTAAAGTTTAAAGATAGGAAGGATTCTGGTCTCTGGGCTCTTTCATTACTAGCTGGCATTGCCATCTATTGGTTTAGAAGACTTCCATTGCTAAAAATAATGTTAGGAAAAAAGAAGATTCCTTTGTCTCAGTAGTTGGTGGAAAGATACTTTAGGTTCAACAGTCTTCCTGCAAAAATACCTCTTAAGTCAGCTCCAGATTGTGATTCACCTCCTTTATTCAATTTTCACAGGCTTCACTTTCTGTAATAAATGAATAGTTTAGTTTTCTTGCTTATGTGAATAATGACTGTCCTCAGGGAGAATTGGGTAAAGAAAGGATAAGTTCACTTAGGAGAATGGCTCTTTCTACTCTCTAACTACAGTTCTCATTCTCCTTTTATTGAACAGATGTTCATTGCTTGCTATTAGTGCCAGGACCAGTGCTTAGGGCAAACAATACAAAGATGAATAAGACTTGATCTTTGGCCTAATGAAGCTTATTGGAGAAAACAGACACTGTAAGAAATAGTTACAGCAGTGTTTCCTCATCTGCAATGTGTAAATATTAGTTACCCACTCTATTACTCTATTAGTTATCTGTTTTTGCATTATAAATTACCATACCATTCTCACAGTTTCTGTGGGTCAGGAATTTATACAGGGCACAGGAGGGATGCTCCATGGTTTCTAGGGTCTCAGCTGCAGAACTCCAAGGCTGAGACGCTAGTATCTGAAGGCTCATTGGTACACATGCCTGAAGTTGACGTTGTTTGCTGGCTGGGGCCTCAGCTGGAGCTGTTGGCTGAAATACTCACATGTGGCCTCTGCATGTGGCCTGAGCTTTCTCACAACATGGTGGCTGGGTTCCAAGAGTGAGCATCCCAAATGAGAGATAACTATCTTATAATGCTGACTGTGGAGATTAAATGACTTAATCAACAAAAGTGCTAAGATCATCATCAGGCACATAGCTATTATTATTTAATAGTATTATTAATAGTAAACATGCATGCAGAATATATTAGTAATAATATTTTATATAGACCCAGGGTAATGTAATTCCAATGCACCCTTTCAAGGGGACACTTATCACCCTTTTTGGACACCATCCAAGCAAATCAGTTGTTTATTTGGAAGCTGCATTCCTATTCTTTGCTAGGGGTTCACAAGCTTCAGTGAGATATTTAAGCTGACATTTTAAAATTTGAACAGTATATTCCAAAGGGTCATCATAATTTTTGACTTGCAGTGAAAGAAGGCTGCCAGGAAGGATGATCAAGAGCTCTGTCATAATCAGAGAAAAAAGATACTTTGGGAAGGCTTGGAACTATGTCTCCAAGTGTTAATGTGGTGATTGGATCATAGAGGTGCACTAATGCCTTCACTTGATAGCACTTTTTAGTTGTATTTGTGATTATCATTTTATTATTCTTTGTAAGGAAGTTGTTATGGAAGGATATATGAATAATTCTTATTTAATTGGAGGTTTTGTGTGTATAGTAGTAGTAAAGAGAAATATAGTCAGAAAAGAGAAGAGGGAAGTTAGAAGAGATACCATTTGATATCATCCGTTAAATTTTACGTGCATATTATGACTTAATTTAAATGACCAATCCCTTTCCAAAGGGCTCTTACGGTGACTAGACTGTATTTTCTGTACTGTTTGCTAAGAAAGACAGTATAGCTTATAGTGATTCTGATGAGAAAACCCCTTTTCTCCTGAAAAAAATCTGAAGTCATCAGGATGTCTTTTTATCTTTGTATAATATATTATGCTAATATTCATCTTAGTGATTGTCTTCCTTCAGAGTACAGATTAGAGCCCGAATTACTTTAAAATGTCACTCACTTCATCTTGCACTATTTCTTGTCACCCCTCCCTGTCCCCAATACTCAAGCCATGTTTGACTTCTCTTTTTTTTTTTTTTTTTCTTTTTTGAGGCAGAGTCTCACACTGTCGCCCAGGGGCTGAAGTGCAGTGGCGCGATCTCTGCTCACTGCAACCTCTGCCTCCCAGGTTCATGCTATTCTCCTGCCTCAGCCTCCCGAGTAGCTAGGATTACAGGCGCCGGCCACCATGCCCGGCTAATTTTTTGCATTTTTAGTAGAGACGGGGTTTCACCATGTTAGTCAGGAGCCATGATTGACTTCTTACAGGCCCTGGATAAACCACATAATTTAACACTTATGTACTTGTATATATACTTGTTGTTCCTTTTTACTGGAAATTCTCCTCCCTATTTTCCACATTTCAAAATGAATTCCTCCTTTTATTTTGAAAATCTCTTCCTTTTCTTGTCTCTACATAGAATCTCACTTCCTCCTTTGTGCTCCCATGACATTGAGCATGCACCACCATTCTTGTAGGACACATGCTCTTTTACTGTTGCTTGCCTTCGGTATGGTCTGTTCTCCTCCTTGGGTACTGACTGTCTCTGAAGCAGGGACTATTTTGTGCTCATGTTTGTTTTTTTAGTGTCTGTGACTTGGCCTTGTGCATGTTAGATAAAATGCCTAGTGAATGAATAACTTGAATTTATAAACAACTCTACTCAAGCCTTGTATGAAATCTACTTCTCTCTGCATAATCCAACCTTACTTCTACAGTATGATTATGGAGTTTTTGTTTTGTTTCTGTTTTTCATTTATCTACTACTGTGTGACAGAATGCCCCCAAACTCAGCAGCTTAAAGCAAAAACAATCATTTCTTTATTTATCTCTGATAGGTTTGGGGATTTACTGATTTCAGTCAGGTGGTTCTTAATCAGCATCACACAGTTAAGAGATTATGGCTTGGTCAGAAATCATCATGAAAACTTCTTTACTCACCTGCTTAACAATTGACACTGGCTGTTATCTGAGATCTCAGCTGGGGCTGTTGGAACACCTACATAGAATTGTTTTCAAACATAATGTAGGGAGTTACTGAAAAGCAGCTAAAGTCACCTACTATTCTTATATCATGCTTACATAGGCCTATGAGGGTTTGATCATGTTGTTCCTTCTACATCTAAAGTAATTCTCATTTCTCTTCTATCTAATTATAAATCAACTCATCCTTTAATTTTAGTTTTCCTGATCAATCATTCATTATTCTTTTCATCTTTTATTTTGTTTTACCCAGAATCTTATTTATGAGAAAGGACATATAACAAAATCCATCAGACTTTTATGATAAAATGCTCAACAAACTAGGAGTAGAGATAACTTCCTCAACCTGATAAAAGTCATTTATGAAGAATCAACAACCACAATCATATTCAATGGTTAAAGACTGAAAGCTCTCCCGCTAACATCAGGAGAAAGAAAAGTTAGAATGCTAACTTTGATCCTTCTGTTTAACACTGTACTGGAAGTTCTCAGTGAAGCAATTAGCAAAAATAAATAAATAATGTCCAAATTAAAAAGGAAGAGGTAAAACTATCTCTATTTACAGATTACAAAATCCCAGATATAGAAAATTCACAATGGATAGCACTTCACACCTACTAGAATTTTAAAAAATGAAAAAAAAAAGTGTTGGCAAGGATAGGGTGAAAGTAGAACAGTTGTACATTGCTGGCGGGAATGTAACATGATATCCACTGTAGAACATGGTTCAGCAATCATCTAAAAAATTTAAACATAGAGTTACCATATGACACAGCAATTTCAATCCTAGGTAGGTATATATACCCTCCCAAAACTGAAAACAAATAATTTCACATCAATGTTCATAACACTGCTATTCATAATAACCAAAGGTAGAAAAACCCAAATGTCGATCAATGGATAAACACAAAAAATGTGTTTTTTTTGTATTTTTATATATATGGAAAGAAATATAAATTATATATGCATTTTATATATGTGCTTTATTTATATTATAAATGTGTATATGTGTATATATGTGTATATGTGTACAAAATATCACATATTGTATGTTTTTATTTATATAAAATATTGATAATAGGTAACTTCATATAGACAGAAAAGAGAGGTTGAGTGTTATATTAGTTCATTTTCATGCTGCTGATAAAGACATACCTGAGACTGGGTAATTTACAAAAGAACTAGGTTTAATTGCACTTACAGTTCCACGTGGCTGCAGAAGCCTCATAATCATGGTGGAAGGCAAGAAAGAGCAAGTCACATCTTACATGGATGGCAACAGGCAAAGTGATGGGGTTTTGTCATGTTGACCAGGCTGATCTTGAACTCTGGCCTCAAGTGATCTGCCTGCCTTAGCCTCCCAAAGTGCTGTGATTACAGGCTTTAGCCACCTCACCTGACCAGAAAATGGTTCTTTAAGATAGCAATAACATATAACAAGTGATGGCTGTTTTTTCCTGGAGTTTTTGCCCTCTGGCTCTCTGCTAATAACCCTGTAAACCTTACCCTGTGAGCTCGTTCAGCTCTGTACTACTACATATGCCATGTCTCACATTGTCTCTTTCTGAATAGCATGACCATATAATGTATTATCCCTGCTGAGATAATTTTGAGAGTAAAGGGACTTTCTTATTAAGCAAACTTGGACAATAGACATAAACCTGGACTATTCTGGGCAAACTGGAATATGAGGTCTTCTGGTTTTGAAGATGTGGACAAGGATTGTATCAAGGTTTTCATTGATCTAATTTTACAAAAGCCAGTAGTTCTGAACTTGTGACTCCCATGGGGAGGCAGTCAAGTTCAGGTTTTAAGACCTGAATCACAGGATTTGATTCAAAAGGCTTGTGATTCCTGCTGCATTGTCAGGAGTTCCGAAAATTTGCCGTTGGTCAAAACCAGGCTCAGTATCCAGGTTACTGGCAACAGAATGCCCTACTGATTGTGATGTTGCACATTGAATGCAGATTTTTTTTTTCCTCAGATGATCACACCCACTTTGCTTCACTTTCATGTCCAGAGCTGCTTAGACTGATTTCTGCAAAGTGCACAGGCATTTTCATGCTGAGGATAAAGGTATTTTGGTATTTAGACAGGTACTTAGACAAAAATTAGCTGGGTGTGGTGGTGCACACGTGTATTCCCAGCTACTCGGGAGGCTGAGGCTGGAGAATCACTTGAAACCAGGAGGTGGAGGTTGTGGTGAGCCAAGATCACGCCACTGCACTCCAGCCTGGCAACAGAGCAAGACTCTGTCTAAAAAAATAAAAAATAAAAAGAATAAGGAAATATGCCTAAAAATGACATGCACAAATTAGTTCCCCTTTTAGTCATCTCACTTCCTTATCTGTAAAAATAGAAAACTATAGCTACAAGTCTTTGGTAAGCATCAAAGGAAACCATGTAGGTAGAATTGGGTGTAATGCTAATTATTTTACAATCAGATCTATCAGATTGGGCTGGATAAAATATTCCCTCTGCCATTCACAAAGTATGTTACTTTATATACATTATCTCACTAATGTTAGGTTAAATTCTTCCTTCTTCCTTCTTTAAACAGTGACAGCTGCTAAAAAGGGTTGGAAGAAAATTTCTTAAAGCTTACATAGCAGAATAAATGTCTGGGAATAGGTAAGAGAAGGAGTTGGGGGGAAAATAAAAGATTAGTGAGAGGTATTTGTCATCTAGCTATTAATACATTATCAAGCCTTGTGATAGTCAATGTGCTATTGGTAGAGGGATAGATCAACATGTCACCGGAACCTGAAAGATAATTCAGATCATGTATCTGTGTATATAAGAAGGTAGTATATGTAAAATTAAGAGTCCAGTCAAATAAGTGGGATAGGATGCAATATTTAGTAAGTGGTGATGACATACTGGATAAAAATAAAATTCAACATCGATTTTAATGTATACAAAATAAATTCCAAAAGGAATAAAAAATTAAAAGAACAAAAGAGCAACAAAAAACTTGCAAGAAAATCTAGTAGAAATTAACCAAATCTGCATACTCTGGAGTAATAAGATTAAAGATAAAGATGAAAAATTAAGAATAATTTAATGAGGAAAAATTTTCATATATAAAGACAGTAGTCAAAGATTTGGAACAAATATATTTCTGATAACAAAAATATTTTACCTATCATATACAAATAGTTCCTATAAACTGACAAAAAGATAGCCAAATAGAAAAATAGATAAAATATATCAATAGGAAAATCCTTAAAAAAAACCTAATGACATATAAATATAGACAAGGTATTCAAAAATCAGTTAAAGTATAGCCAACTTCAAAAAGAATCATAATATCTATTTCTGTTATGATTGTAAGAAAAAATATTTTCACACACTGCTAAAATAAGTTAGAGTCTTTTCATCCTTCAGGAAAGCAAACTGGCAAGGTCTATCAGATTTTATATTGGATACATGTCTTAGTCAATTTGTGCTGTTATAACAGAACACCTCAGACTGAGTCACTTATAAAGAATATAAATTTATTTTCCCACGGTTCTGGTGGTTGGGAAGTCCCAGAACAATGTATTAATACCAGCAGGTTTGGTTGCCTGGTGAGGGCTCATTCTCTGCTTCCAAGATGCTGCCTTGACACTTTATCCTCTGGAGGGTAGGAACACTGTGTCTTCACTTGGCAAAATGCAGAAGGGCAAACGATAGCCTAATGCTATGTGGGGCTTATAAGGGTTTTAATCCCATCAATGAAGGAGGAACAACCATGACCTCTTACAGGCACCAGCTTTTAATATTAACACATTGGCAATACCTGATTTTGGAGGGCACATATTCAAACTATAGCCATACTCATCTTGACCCAACAATCCCATTTCTGTAAATCTATTGCAAATAAACAAATCTACAGTATGTAAAGACACATTTATAAGCATATTTATTATACCATTGTTTATAGTGGAAACAAAGCAGAATAAAGTGAATGCCTATCAATAGAGGAATGCAATAATGAATTCATTGGGAAATATTTAGCCAATAAAATAGATTAATTTGAGATATATTATTTAGATTTGGAGAAATTTCCATAAGATAGCATTGAGAAAAACAATGTAATATTAAACTATATAAACTATGATTCTATTTTCATAAAAAAGATAAAAAATTCATATGTATGCATATGTGTTTATGTACTATATTTTATTGAACCTAAGGTATCATTGATTGCAAAACCCACTATCATTTCATATAAGAAAACATGCTGAGATTAAACCATAACAGAAGGTTTTCACTGGGGGGTGGAGGGGGACAGGGTCCTGCTTTGTCACCCAGTGTGGAGTGCAGTGGTGCAATCATGGCTCACTGCAGCCTTCATTTCCTGGGCTCGAGCAATCCTCCTATTTCAGCCTCTCGAGTAGCTTGGACCACAGGCATGCACCAGCATGCCCATCTAATTTTTGTAGTTTTTGTAGAGATGGGGTTTCACCATATTGCCCAGGCTGGTCTTGAACTGGAAGACTTTTTTATAACTTAAAAAATTAACTCTCATTTGAAGTGCTCATTTAGATTCTACTAAGTATCGAAGCTTATCTTATATAACTTTATTCATACCTAAAAATGAACATGTAAAAAAAATTGATCAAATTTCATTAAAACTTATTCATATCCATGGCAGAACTCTTCTGAGTCCCTTTTCAGCTTGATGTCCTAGATATTTTAGGTTTCTATAGAATGTCTTCTGAAATCAAGATCACTGAGGTGTCTTTATTTTTATTTTTTTTATTTTTTGAGATGGGCTCTCACTCTATCACCCAGGCTGGAGTGCAGTGGCGTGATCTAGGCTCACTGCAACCTCTGCCTCCTGAGTTCAAGCAATTCTCCTGCCTCAGCCTCTCAAGTAGCTGGGACTACAGGCATGTGCCACCACACCCGGCGAATTTTTTATATTTTTAGTAGAGACGAGGTTTCACTCCGTTAGCCAGGATGGTCTCAATCTCCTGACCTCGTGATCATCCTGTCTCGGCCTCCCAAAATGCTGGGATTACAAGTGTGAGCTACCGTGCCTGGCCCACTGATGTTTCTTAAATGAGAATTCCAGCTGTGTCTACAGGCTTTAAAGATGTACAGGCATATGTATGTAATCATATGATCATGGAAAAAACTATGGTATATAAGCCTAACATGCGGTATCTATTATGGGGATGGTATATCTAAAAGAAAAAACATATTGCACTTAAAACACACAGTCATAATATGTATAATATGATACCTTTTTGCATGACTATGATACTGTATTTGTGTATTCATAGATACAGATTTTTAAAACATATTCTTATGCAAGGAAGGAAAAAGTGTCGGTGAATGACTTCATATTTCTATTGTGACTTCTATGTGCTCTGCACGGTTGCTGGAGTTCAGAAAACATTGGAAAGAGTTAAATGAGAATGCATATGAGGTAGTTACGATAACTATTAGTGTTATTATATCATAGTGTATGACAAGTAAGATAATGTTTATCATATTGTGTATTGTTTTCCTTTCCTTCCTAGACACTTTTCCATTCCTACACCATTTCTCATAGGATTGCTGATAACATTGCTGGTATTCAAAATTGGTTGACTGAATGATGAATAACAGAAGTTGGCTGCAATTAACATTTCCTAGGGTGAACTTTGTAAAATGTCAGTCATTCAAGATATTCAGTGGAAAAATGGTTCCATGAATTTAGCTTGAGGAAAACTATAAAATTACAATTTTTTTCTGAAGATTCAGATTGATTTATGGAATCTGCAGTAAAAGATTTTGTTGTACTGGTTGTTTTCTATAACACTTGATGGAGGAAATTGTGTTGTGTGTGTAAAACATATTATCATCCTCTAGAATTTGTGTTCTACGGAGCAAAGAGAAAGTGGTTTAGAAACACTTGTTTTGATTACTAACAGGAACTGAAAAGGTGTGGACACATCACTTCATACATCTCTAGCGCAGACAGCTATAATTTCTTTTGATATTTTAGCACAATGATTTAGGAGGGAATTAGTGTACATTCTTAAAAAGCAGCTTTTTCTCCTTTGTTTCGTCTTGACATAGGGAACATAGTAATTGAAAAAAATGGAGACCATGATGTCAGTAATAAGGAATGCATGCATTTATATCCATGCTACAAAGCCCTAACATGAATTTCTGCTGTTACTTTTATTATTTTTAAGAAGACTCAGAGATTCATTTGGTGATCCTGGGAAGAGTGAATTGTATTGCAGACCCGGCATGAATGACCCTCTCAGGAAAACATCTTTAGTGGTTTTAAAGTCTCGACCTTTTAAAAGACAATTAAGCTCTATTGGAAAGAAGGAATAGTATAATCATCCTTTGTAATAAAGAATGAAAAGTTTCCAGAGATAAGGTAGAGGAAATACTGGGAACTTTTCACAAATGGGCGTGTCTTAATTCAGAGGTCTATGTCCACTGGAAGCCGTCAAGCTCTCTTGACTGAGAAAGGGAGTAGAAGGCACTACTTTGCTTTTGAATTGAGGGCAGGATATGGAGGCCACATTAGACATAACTCCTAGGGAGACTTAGGTGGATAGCTGTGTTGAGGATGAAAATTGGAGTTGAAGTACTGAGCAGATTTCCATGCTCAGTCTCAAATGATTGACATCACTTTTCTTCAATGTTCAGGAGGTCTAATCTAAAAAGACTGACATTTTGTTTGTTTGTCTGTTTGTTTTTGAGATGGAGTCTCACTCTTGTCACCCAGGCTGGAGTGCAATACCGGGATCTCGGTTCACTGCAACCTCCGCCTCCCGGGTTCAAACAATTCTCATGCGTCAGCCTTTTGAGTAGCTGGGATTACAGGTGCCTGCCACCATGCCCAGCTAATTTTTGTACTTTTAGTAGAGATGTGGTTTTGCCATGTTGGCCAGGCTGGCCTTGAACTCCTGACCTCAGGTGATCCTCCCGCCTCGGCCTCCCAAAGTGCTGGGATTACAGGCGTGAGCCACTGCACCTGGCCAAAGACTGACTTTTAATGGCAATGATGTGGCAGGAAGAGAAACAGAAGCAATAACAAATCAGTAAAACACTTATAGTCCAGGACTTTCCCTGTTTTGTCCTAGGAATAGAATCCATTTTGCATAAATCTTTATTTTTTGATTTTTTGGTTTGTTTTCTCAACAACAGTGGTGAGAAGTCCAGTCCCCTCTAAAAGAACAGTACTGAACTTGCTACTATTCCAGTTGAGGTTTTGACCTTTTAATAATCAGCTTTAGTAATAAAGGGCATGAGATATACTTCTACTCCATATATAGTATAGTATTTCATATAGAAGTAGTTCTCATAGTGGTTTTAGACTGAAATGACCTAGGCAAATGGATTAAAATCGGACTCCTCAGGCTTTTTTTTTTTTTTTATCTCCTAGAAATGCTAATTCAATAGAGGGTAGAAAATCTCATTTTACTTTATTTTATTTTTATTTTATTTTATTTTAGACAGGGTCTCACTCTGTCACCCAGGCTGGAGTGTAGTGGCATGATCTCGGCTCACTGCAACCTCTGCCTCCTGGGCTTAAATGATTCTTGTGCCTCAGCCTTCTGAGTAGCTGGAATTGCAGGCACGCACCACCACATCTGGCTAGTTTTTGTGTTTTTAATAGAGACGAAGTTTCACCATGTTGCACAGGATGGTCTGGAACTACTTAACTCAGGCGGTCCACCCACCTCGGCCTCCCAAAGTGCTGGGATTATAGGCGTGAGCCACCGTGCCTGGCCAGAATCTTTATTTTTTAATAAGCTTCCATGATGAGGATGAAGTAGTCGATCAGGGGACAGAATTTAGAAAAGACAGTTGATATGGTTTGTATTTGTGTCTCTGTCCAAATCTCATGTTGAATTCTAATTCCCGGTGTTGGAGGAGGGGCCTGATGCAAGATGATCAGATCATGATGGCAGATTTCCGCTTTGCTGTTCTCATGATAAGGAGTGAGTTCTTATGAGATCTGGTTGTTTAAAAGTGTGTAGCACCTTCCCCTTCTCTCTCTCTCTTCCTTCATTTCCCGCCATGTGAGAATGAGACTTGCCTGCTTTCCCTTGGCCTTCCGCAATGATTGTAAGTTTCCTGAGGCCTCCTCAGCCATGCTTTCTATACAGCCTGTGGAACTGTGAGTCAATTAAACCTCTTCTTCTTTATAAATTACCCAGTCTCAGGCAGTTCTTTATAGCAATGTGAGAACGTACTAATACAACAGCTCTACACCATTAATTGTTTGAAATGGGGGTATAAATGGAACATGGTGATTCTTCCTAATTACTTTTGCAAGCCTAATGGTGATAAACCTGAGATGTAAAAAGTTAGAGGGAATCCTATGGTTTCTGAAATGAGTGATTACCATTATCATATGTAATATTAGACTATATTCAAAGTTAAGATTATCGTGTTTTCTAGAGAGTGTAAAATTATCTATGAAACCAGTCTAAGTTGAAAAAAGATTGAGAAGCAATTAATAAGTAATTAGTTGTTTATCTTTAATATGTCTGGACTGAGAGGAATCCAAGTATAGCGAAAATAATTAGACTTCAAAATAAAAAAGGCTTGAGTTCATGTTACGACTCCAACACTTCCTACATATGTGATCATAGACAAATTACTTCACCTCCTTGAATTTGGTTTGCACATTTGTAAAATGAAGAAGACAAGATCTACCTACAGAGGCTGCTGTGAGGATTGTATAAAACTAAGTGATGCCGCAAATGCCAAGAAATTGAATCTTTCTTGTTTATTACTGAACCCCCAACCCAAGCACCATGCTGAGCGTGTAATAGGGGCTGAAAACCTCCACCTTCTAATTAATATAATTTAGAGGTAGAAGATTGTACTTTCAGCTATCAAAACAGCATCAATTTCACTCTGTAATTAAATGTTTTCTCCTTCTCTGGTTTGAAGATACCATAATATTTTTTTTTTAATTTCTGTATGTGCTCTCTTAACCACTTACCCATTTATCCATGGAGCATAAACACAGTCAAGTAAATGTTAAAATGTAAACCTCTGTAGTACTAAAGAGAATTATGTCACTCATGTTTTCAGCTTAATGTGCACGTTTTTCTGCTTAATAATGAAATGGAAATTGAAATGAAAATTACCAAAACAAAATCAATGCTTCTTCCCCTTCGTCCCCACTCTCTGTAAACCACGGTTCAATATATACATATCAATTGAACAGTGGTGTATGTAAATATATATACTTATATTTTATATATATATATATATAAATACACACACACACATGAATAAATAAATACTTCAGGTTAATACCATTCTTTAGTAATTGGGATCAGAAAGCTAACAGAAAATAATTAAAATAATTGCTTCCTTGCTTTTTCCTGCCTTGGAAATTGACATATCAATATGACTAAAATATTAGGGAAATCCCAGAATGTGAAGAGAAAACACTGACAGTTTTTAACTCGATATGTATATCTGTGTGCATATCTATGTCATTATCTATACAAATAACATCTATATATTTTGAGTTAGAGATTTAAATACTCTTTAATAATAACAGTAGCTAATACGAGTATTTAATATTGAATAACATTAAGGACAATTGTAGGCCCTAAAAATCTATGAATATCAGTACTTTTGTGTGTTTTTAGTGGTACTAAACACAAAGTTTCCTTAGATTCTTTAACCTTTAGTTAGGTTAGAGCATTATGTTTAGGTAAGAGTTTTTATGGATTCTATGTTTCCTTCAACCACTTACACATAGTTAACGCTCTGAAAACAAATTTTTAAAAATAGGGGAAAAAGAACAGTTAATGGCTATAAATGGTTCTCAAAAAATTGTTCAGCTTTTTAGTTATGTCACTTGAGTAAATCATGTTATCACCTTATCTCTTTGAGACTTAGTTCCTTTATCTACTTATGTTTACCTAAAATAATGCTATCTGTGTTATTCTAATGTTAAACCAGTTCACTTAAAATCATCAGATTTTAATTGAGCCTTAAAAATATCTCAAGCTCTAAACTATGGGTGACAAATATATGGATTAGAAATTCTCTACACACTAGGTGCTAAAAACTGTTTGTGTGAGTAGTAAATTAGTAGAAGCACAGAAGATATGAGGAGTGGTGTCTGTTTTAGTATAAGTTACAAAATAGGACAAAAAAAATCCCCTTTTATTGATCCTGGCACAATGAAACTGCATCTCCTTTTGTGTCTCCAATTATATATATATATATCTCTCTCATACACACACACACACACACACACACACACACACACACAGTTTTTAGCATCCAGTGTGTAGAGAATTTCTAATCCATATATTTGTCACCCATAGTTTAGTGCTTGAGACATTTTTAAGGCTCAATGAAAATCTGATGATTTTAAGTGACCTGGGTTGACAGAATAACACAGATAACATTATTTTATGTAAACATAAGTAGATAAAAGAACTAAATCCCAATAAGATAAGGTGATAACATGATTTACTCAAATAACTTAACTAAAAAAAAAATCTGGGTGTCAGAGGGGAGTTATCTATACCTGGAATTTATTGGAATCTCAAACTGAACCTTCCAGATCTACATAGTGGGCACCTGAGAAGTAGCTTTCTCTCAAAATTGAAGCCCTTGCTTATAGAGGAAAGAGTTTGGGCTTTTGAGTCAGACACGGGTTCTGGGACTCACTGCAGTATTTACTCTCTGTAGGATATTGGGTAAGTATCTTAGCCAATTTGATTTCTAGCTTCCTCAACTAGAAAATAGGGCTAACGATATTTCATAGATGTGTTGGGCAGATTAAATAAGCTAATGTATGTATTTTACTATTTTCCCGAGTCATCGCAGTAGGTATGCAGAAAAGAAATAGCATTTCTAAATTAAAAGTTCTTTAGGCTTAACAAAACCATACCATTTAGTAACAAATTCTTCCAGTTAGGCTTACTGAGAAGCCTCAAGTTAGAATGCTAGAGACCATTTGCCCTGAAATTAAAAAGCATCTTCTATTTCCAAAAGGATGGGCAATCCCTCATTCTCAAACTTCCATTCAACTGCCCATTATCTGCCAATTAACATAGGCCCTGGGGGTCAGAGCCCATCTAATCTGCCTGGTTTTACTGCTGCTTACACCCATGATTCCCAAGGTGTGTGCTGAGGCACATTGAGATGCTACACCAAATTCCAGGGACACACTGGGACATTTTAACTTGTTAGGAAAACCAAGTGATACTCATTTCTGACAGGCACAGTGTGAATTGCTAGTTTGCTTTACATTCGCTTCAATGCTGTCATATCTTTGGGAAGCTGAGTTTTCAGCAGTTGCTGGGATAAAAATGAAACCCCATGTTTCAATGTGAAACAGGAAATGAGGAGGGCAGTGTCTGACCTCATTGCAAGCTTTGAAAAGGTGGGCAGTGCCCCACACGTGCATACCTCCCATTAGCAATCACCACTTGTGGTCATTTAAGAAAGAAGAACATCACTTTTTCTTGGAAATTATATGCATTACTTTTTCAGAGAGCTATAAGTTGTTAAGAAACAAATACTTGTTAAGTTTTTTGGATAAAACTACCTAATAAATGAAACAGTTGTGTATTTAACATGATTCTTCACATGTAATTTGTGACCTACCCACACCAAAATCTCCTGGAAAACTTATGAATACTCCTGAAACTTAATTTCTGAAATCTACTTTATAAATAAATCATCTAGTTATTCTTATATATGTTAACATTGAAAAACCACTCACCTAAATTCACATTTTTGTTCAACATTCCAGGTTATATCGTATTTACTTTTCAGCCAAAACTCTTTTCTTTGAAGTACCTGTTTGCATTTTTAGACCTCAATACCACCTACAGCTGAAGAAATACCACCCGGCCCTGTTTCACCTTTTGTCTTTAAAGCAATAGGAGCCACAGAAAAATAACCAGGAGGCTAAAGGCTGGAAGTCTAGTCCTCCCTGTTATCATTGTTTATGGGAACAGCCAGGTAGTATTGATTTGTCACCTGGTGATGTTAATTACCAGCCAAGCATTCAGATTGTTACTTTTTTCTCCGCTCTCAGCTTGATCCCTGAAGTTTCAGCATGGAGTTGGGAAACGTTTAATGGAAAGTTAATCAGCCAAATCCTCCCAGTTTAGAAGTTACTCTCTGGCCCTGGCCCATGCTTAGAACACTGGGGTGTCCATGTAAGGTGGGGAAGCAATTATTTACTGAATGCTTCCCAGAGGGCCCCAAAGGGGTAATGACCCTCAACAGGGGCCTTCTGGAGTCCCTTAGAGCCACTTATTTACCACAGAGAGAATGTCCTGACTCATTATGTTTTTAAAGATTTGTTTATTTTTGTCAAGGAGAGAAACAAATAAGCAAAGAGGTGCTTGCTTCTGAGGTGCCAACAAGGAACATTTTTGTTTGTTTTTTAAGTAGCAGCATCCTCTCTGTATTAGAAGATGTGTGTGAGAGAGACTCCGGTAATCTAGATTTGATTTGCATGTTAACTTTTCTGCTTTCAATCAATAACTGCTTAATAAAGTCTCTGGCTAAGCATCCTGAAATCGATTTTCTAAGATAATTTGCATTTAATAATTTGAAGTGCTTTGCACAACAGCCAATATTTAAGGGGAAGAAACAGAAGGTGGTGTGATTGCCATACAGAGAAGGCTCAAGCTGTGTTGTGGATAATGGTGGTCTCTGTTGGAGATGACAGAGTTCACAGGTCTGGGTCATTAGGCTACTGGGAGACGGTTTCACATGGTGAGAAGAGTTAAGCTCTGGGGGCTACCTGGTCTTGAGATCCCCCTCTGTTCTCAGACACATCAGACACATCAATTTTCCTCCATTTACCTTAGAATCTTGTATCTATAAATTAGACATAATACCCACTACACAAGGTGTTGATTCTTTTCTGAATATTCCAAAATATATCCGTATCCCCCATCCCAGATAATTTACCTTCTTTATTGTGGACCACCCTTATTTCTTACTGAGGAATCCTTTGTTTCTGGCCCTCACTTACTTCTTGCAGTTGTACCCTTCCTCAATCCATTTTCAATGCTATAACAGAATATAATTTTGGAAAATTAAAAATATATATATATATATATATATATATATATATATATATATATATATATATTTGTACTTTCCTGGCTCAAAAGCTTGTAATAGTTTTTCTGTACCTTAGGATTATGGGACTGCTGTGAGTCCAGTCCCTGCCAGCCTAATCTCTCACAGCTCCTCACGTAAGCTCTACCTTCCATCCCCACCAACATTCTGTGTCTTTCTCAGGTTTGCCAATCAAACCTCTAAGACAAGCATTCACATTAGCTGTTTTCTGTTTCTGGAAATCTCATCTACTGCTTGTCATCTGAGTATTTGCTTCTCATTATTTTGGGTTCAGAATAAAATTACTTCTTTCAAAAATTGTATCTTGTCCATGGAGATTTTAAGTGTTCTTTCACGGACTCCTATATTCTTTTACAGAGAGTTTCTCAATATAATTTCTACGTTAGACCTCCCCAGGCAGCACTGTAATTATCTTTCTTACACTCCGTGAAGTCTGGGACCAGCTCTGTGTTGTGCTTAATAAAAGACAGATTTGGTCAGAATTTTTATCTGTAAATAGGGGCTACATTTCAGTAAGATTGTTGTATGAAATAAATAAGTTACTAAATGAAACATATCTGCAACAGACACTCAATAAATTTGTTTCCCATATATACTTGCAATGTGGGTTATCAGCTTATGTTTGAGCAATTCATTCACTCATTCAACAAATGTATGAAGTGCCAGCGTATATTAGGTACTGTTTCAGGCCCTGGAGACCCAGAAACAAGAAAACACACCTTTCTTCCAAGAGAATCATATAATAGTAGAATGTGTATACACCAGGAGTTTGAGTCTTTGTGGCTGATTTTTGTCAAGTTGTATGAACTACCTTTTGGCATTGAGGAAGCTAAATTTCACAGTTAAATATGGTCCTGAAATTAAAATATCTACTTGGGAACATAGCCACATTATCAGATATGTTGAATCTTCCTGAAAACCCTTTGGACCATGTCTTACCAAATCAATGAGTACAATCAAAATTGGGCTGAGAAACATGTGCGAGTTCTGTCAGGAGAACTGGCCTATCTGTAAAGGGCCCGTGCATTCTGATTGACTCTCTTGTGTTGGGTATATGTTATGCACTGAATATTTGTGTCCCTCCGAAATTCATATATTGAAATCCTAACCCCCAATGTGCTGGTATTAGGAGGTGGGGACTTTGGGAGTTAGTTCATTAATGAAGGTGGAACACTAATGAATTAGATTAGGTCTTTATTAGAAGAGACAGGAGAAGATGCTCTTTGTCTCTGCTCGCTGCCATGTGAGGCCACAATGAGAAGATGGGCATTTGCAAACCAGGAAGCCACCCTGCAACAGACACCAGATCTGCTGGCACCTTTATCTTGGACTTCCAGCCTCCACAACTGTGAGAAATTACATTTCTGTTGTTTAAACTACCCAGTCTGTGACTATTTGTTAAAGCAGCTCAAACTAAGACACTATACATTGAGAAATAGAAGAAGGAAAAGGAAAACAGAGATGCAATTCTGTTCTTTGTAGGACCATGATCGCTTGTCTGGACCCAGAAAATATTTCCCATTTGCTACACAGATGCCGTCTCATCCTTCCAGGTGGGTAATGATCACTGATTTTCTTCCTGTGATTCACATTCAGAGAATGGAATTATCACTTAATCCACAAGGTTTAATAACTCCTGGGTACTAGTTACTGTGACAGGGGCTGGAGGTAACTGGTGAATAAGACCACGCAGGTTTTTTTCCTTCATAAAGCTTTCAGTTCAACACAAGATGCTAACATTTTAAAAGATAAGTTATATAATAACTAAAACTATAATAAATGCAGTGGCAGAAAACTGCAAGGTGCTAAGAAAAAACAAAACACACACATAATCACAATCTCACGTATTCTGTGTAAAGAAAGACTGATGTATTTATTTGAGGAACCTCATTTAAGAGGTGAAAGTAAATGTTGAAAAACATTACACTGGCAACAGAAGTGTTAGAGACTGGGAGACTATGCAGTAGAGACATTACAGTCAATGGTTCATAAACTAGAAAAAGCCGGAAGGATTTGAGAAACAAAAAAATAAGGCCAGGGTGTCATAAGGGTAGAGACAAATTAGGAAATTGGTTCAGATGAGGCCGGCAAGAAAGGCAGGAGTCAGCTCATGCTGAGCTAGGTCACGTTCATTTTTTTAGGCACTATGCTAAGTGCTTTACAGACACTACCCAATTTAATTATCATAGCACCTTGTACGTATTAATATCATTCTCTGACAGTTGAAGGAACCAAAATTGGGACAACTAATGTGACTTGTCTGAGGTCTTTCCGCTAGGAAATGAGAGACTGGAATTCAAATCAAAGCCTACCTGACTGTGAAATCTATAATAATAATAATTAATATTAAACTGTATTATACTGCCTCCATGCATATCAGACATTAATGGTTTTCACTTGTTCTCAATTTAGCTCCAAGAAGCCAAGGAAAGAACATTCTTTATCCATTCCTCTATCTCACAGACCTCTGCTTTCTCTTCCTTTACCTTATGTGGCTTATTAGAAGGGGCTGCTCTGGAAATGTACAGGAGGGGCATGTCTTCTCTGCCATGAACTTGAATGTCTAGTGCTCCTGAGCCCAAGTGTTCAGGGACAGGATGGGCATTTCACAAGGACAGCAGTCCCACCCACCCCCAGAGACATTGCCATCATTTGAGATTGCAAATTTATGTGTTACGTCTCCCAGAAATGGAATGACTTTGTGTTTTAACACCTCACTGAGGACACTCCATCTGCGTTCCTTTTATATGTTCAAACACAATTTTCTTTTTCAGAGTTCAAGACTTCAGCAGAAAAAAAAATCACCTCATTAAAGGAAAATTGTGCCTTATCCCCACTACTCGAAGATGCAACCATCTGCCTGGTCACAGCCACTTTTTTCCTTTTTTTCTGTAAGTACAGGATCCAACATTTGCACAAATTAAAAAAGCCGCATCTAGAATAATAATTTCTCTAGGCTCAGCAAGACTATTCCTCACTGCATTTGTGTTTGAAATTGCAGTCAAACAGTGAATGAACGTCCCCCTTCCCTCTGACACAGCCGCTGCAGATTGTGAATTATGGCTGAATACCAAA
Source organism: Homo sapiens (assembly GCF_000001405.40). Taxonomy (NCBI): domain Eukaryota; kingdom Metazoa; phylum Chordata; class Mammalia; order Primates; family Hominidae; genus Homo; species Homo sapiens. Next base: position 42,239,525 of record NC_000011.10, on the reverse strand, counting down.
GTGTTATTTAATGCAGCTGGGAAGGAAAGGTGTGAATGATCGCCCATTACCACTTTATACCCAGAGATCAGTCTCCAAGTTCAAGGCTTTTCTCTTAGCCATGCCAGAAAAAATTACACAGGCCGCTACTAGCTTTTATAACTCCCTTAGGCAATGCTGGAGCCATAAACATGATGAGAATGAAGTCTTGCCATGTGTATCTAACAGCGCCAAGGAGAGTGGCTACCTCAGTGCTGACTCAGCCCTTGGCTCATGTTAAAGGTTTAACACATTACCTAGTTGTCTCTTTGGGGATCTCATTCCAGGCAGGGTCAGACTGTGTGTGCATGGTTACTAGTCTCCAGATACATCCGTTATATAACCGAGCTCTCCTGCTGTCATTCTGAGAGGGAAAGAAAGCTTTGCACTAAGCTCAAATGCCAATGATGTGGGGCTCATTTCCATGGTCTCTGAGCAAGTAGGTGTCCTCCATAGGCTAAGACTTACATACCTTCCACACTCAAATTCACCTTCTATGAGGTTCCCATCTCCAATTTGTTGTGGTCTTCAATTTAATCATCTACAATCATCTATGATGCTGGCCAGTACCACATGGCCTCACCATCCATAGCTGATTGGTCCACAAATGGACACTTACCCCAAAGAAAGTCAGTCTGCAGGTCCATGGAGGTGAGCTGTAAAGAAAGCTCTGCCCAACAAGTCCAATGGACACTTGGTGGATCAATCCTCTTCCTGGAGGAATTATATCTTGAAATATATAAAGATAGTTTGGAGATTGGTAGAAGGGCCACAAGTAGATGTGCCAAGATACGTAATGAATAGCCTACTTGGGATAATGACAGAGCACCAGAGTGGGCATTGGCAAACTCTTTCTATGCAGGTAAAGAAGAGCCAGTGAGGTCAAAAGATATATATAGAATACAGACTAACCTTTCAGTTGCTAAGCTAGGTTTTTCTCTTTAACTTTTTACTATACATCCTTTCCTGTTTATTGTTTTTATAATTCTGATTATGCATCTTTTCTTGTGATTTTCTTACGATTTTGTAGGCTTATAGCTGTGTAACCATCTTCATTTTGATGTGGCCTGGAAGCACAGCTAAGGTCTTAATTATTTCTACAAGATGCCTGCAGTAATTTAGCTGTAAAGTATTTGTTACCATTCAATAAATATTCATTGCTTGGGTTACTCGAGTAACTCTTAATTTTTTGCAACCAAAACAATCTAATTAACCCCAGAAAAAATAAGTGAGAGGATGTAGCCAAACATAACATACCTAGCATAGTGCTTTCACCAAATGGTCTTTAGTATGGAATTCCCATGTGATGTTTTTTCACTTATGACCCGCTTTATTTTTCTTGTAACAGCACTCCATCGTATGTGTGTGTGGTGGGGCAGGGGATAAGGGGAATAATCTCTCTCCAGTATAAGAAGGTAAGTGACTCTACTGGCAAATAGGATTTCTCTACTCTTACATATTTCTAGTGAATCGAGGGACTGAACAAAGCCTGGCACTGGGAAAGACAAACACACAGCTATAAGAAAATCATTATGTGAAACAATACATTATAGCAGAATGATCCCTGACTTAGGAATGGAACGTGGATGATAGGGGGATTAGTAATTCTAGATCCAGCTTGGATTCCTTCTTGTCTCTGTGACTCATCTCACATGGGCAGGTCTCTGGTATAAAGGAAAAAGCTCTCTAATTAGGAGCCCTAGAAGCTCTTCTGTGAGAACACCCTGTAAAAAAAGAGAAAGTGTGAAACAAAATTATTTTCATACTATGGGGAGGGAGGAGAGCCCTGGAGGCTTAGAAGAGATATGTAGTAGCCTAAAAAAAGTCAAGGCCCTGGAGAATTTTGCAATGTATGACCATGAACTGACACCTCTAGGCAGTAGAGCAATAGAGTAATGTGGGAGGGAGGGTGTCATAGACAGAAAAATATCACCCAAAGATATCAGAACCTAATGGCTAGAAACTGGAAATGCTAATTTATATGTAAAAAGGGTATTTTTTTGAGGTTCTTCAAAAAGTTAAATGTAGAACTACCATGATGATTCAACAACCTCACTTCTAGGTATATAGCCAAAGAGATGGAATTAGTATGTCTGAGAGATATCTGCACTCTCATGTTTATTGCAGCACTATTTACAAAAGCCAACATATATAATCAACCTAAGTGTCTAACAGATCAATGGATAAAGAAAATATTGTATATATACACAATGGAATACTATTAAGCCATAAAAAAATTCTGTATTTGTGGCAACATGGATGAACTGGAGGATATTATTTTAAGTGAAATGTGCCAGGAACATAGACAAATATCACATGATCTTGCTTATATGTGAAATCAGAAGAAGCTGCTCTCATTGAAGTTGAGAGTAGAATAGTGGTTGTCAGAGACTGGGGAGGATGGGGGGAAAGAAGGAATAAGGCAAGATTGGCCAAGGAGAACAAGGTTCCAGTGAGATAGGAGGAATAAATTCTGGTATTTCACTGCAGAGTAGTATGACTGTAGTTTGTGATTATACTGTATTGTGTATTTCAAAATAGCTAGAAGAGAAGATTTTGAATGTTTTCCCAATAAAGAAATGATTAATGTATGAGGTAATAGATATCTCAAATACTCTGGTTTTTACACAATGTATTCATGTATTAAAACATCACACTATACTTTATACATATATACAGTTATTAAATGTCAAAACCAAATTTTTAAAAAGGTACATGAAAAGGTCTTTGATTAATTGGTATGCATATATGGGTTGATAGGAGAAATGAAACCTAGTGTTAGATAGATCAGTTGGATGACAATAGTTTATGGTAATGTATTATACATTTCAAAATAGGTAGAAGAGAATAATTTCAATGTTTCTAGCATAAAGACAAACATTTAAGGTAATGGATATCTCAAGTACATTGATTTGATCTTTACAGATGATATGAATGTTTTAAATTATCACATGTACCCCAAAACTATATGCATCTGTTATGCATTAACTATTTTTAAAATTTTCACTTTTATTTTTTATATTTTCTAACTTTTAACCTGAGGGGTACACGTGCAGATTTGTTACACAGGTAAACTTGTGTCATATGAGATTGTTGTACAACTAATTTCATCACCCACGTATTATGCCTAGTACCCATTACTTATTCTTCCTGATCCTCTTCCTCCTTCCATCCTCCACCCTCTGATAGGCCTCAGTGTGTTTTGTTGCCCTCTATGTGTCCATGTATTCTCATCACTTAGCTTCCACTTTTAAGTGAAAACATGCAGTCTTTGTTTTTTTTTTTTTTGTTCCTGTGTTAGTTTGCTAAGGATAATGGCCTCCAGCTCCATCCATATCCCTGCAGAGGACATGATCTCATTCTTTGTTATGGCTGCATAGTATTCCATGAGTATATGTATCATATTTTCTTCATCCAGTCTATCACTGATGAGTATTTAGGTTGATTCCATATCTTTGCTATTGTAAATAGTCTTGCAATGAACATATGCATGCATGTGTCTTTATAATAGAATGATTTTTAAAGAATGGGTCTTTGCAGATGCCATTAGGTTAAGCACCTTGAGATACGGCGATTATACTGGATTATCCAGGATGACTTTAAATGCAGTCTTCAATGTGAGAGGAAAATGCAGTGTGACCACACAGGCAGAGATTGCAGTGAAGCAGCCACTGACAAATCCACTGGCAGCCACTAGAAGCTGAAAGAGGCTAGGAAACAGCTTCTCCCCTAGCACCTCTGAAGAAGTACAGTCCTACTAATACCTTGATATGACACATTGAAACTGATTTTGGATTTCTGATGTCCAGAACTATGAAAAAATAAATTTCTGTTGTTGTAAGCCTCTAATTTTATTAGAATGTGTTACATAATTATGTAACAAGTAATTATGTAAACATAATACACAGATTACATATATCTGTTATGTATAAACATAACACAACAACTCTAGGAAACTACTAAAACGGAAGAGAACAACCAGAAAGGGAGACAGAATAGGTGGTAGGCACTAATGCTAAAGGTTCAACTTTCTGTCCATCCAGGGGACTTTATGTAGCAAAGGGACCTTGTCTTAGACAGAATGGTACAAACTTCCTAATTCTTGGTCTTTTTTGAAATTTTCTACTAGTCAAGCAAATATAGCTTTGAGCATAAATATGGGAGAGTTTCTATAAATAAGGTAACAGTTAAAGTACTTTGAGCAATAATGGAACAGTGGGCTACTATTCTTATGTCGCCTTCCTAAATTTGGGAGCCTTTTGTTTTTGTTGTTCTTGTTTTTATTTTAATGACGAGTTCATTGATATACAAAAGATTTGTTGACTAGGAAGCAGCTGAAAAAAAAAAAGTAACTTTATGGAGGCTTTCCTAGTGGTCTCTGGCATTTCCCAGGTTAGATGAATAGGATTTCTGAAGGTGAAGCCTGCTCAAATGTGCCCGGTTCTTTTATGCCCTGGCTTTTTTCCTCCATGCTGCTACTCTTGGCTCTCAAGTCTGCGGTTGGCTACTCCTACTCACTCTTTCTGACTCAGTTTAAAACTTGCCTCTTCATATTGGCCACCCAATCTAAATTAGGACTTTCTTATTCAACTCTGTCACTGAACTATGTTCTACTCCTTCAGCATTAGAACAAAGGACTGCGTGCATTTATAGATAAGACTATTTGCTTGTTGTCTGTCCTCCCTCTACTCTGCATTTTATGACTCATCCCTCTCCAGTGCATCAGTAGAAGTCATTGGTGATGGGATTTGTCTGGTGCTTTGGAATCCCAGTGATTTGTAAAGGAGAGCCAAGTTTTTCATACACTCAGAAGTAAGCCTTCACATTTTTATTTATTATCTTTCAACATAACTCATTTATAGTCTAGCTTATTATGGAAATAGAATAAGATATTTTGGAAGGCAGTGACTATAATTTCATCCACCTATTAGAACCACTCTCTTCAGCCCTCAGGCTGCTGGGTTACAGCAGACAGCTCATGGTCTTTATGACAGGAGTTCCCTATGACTTATCCTTTCAAGCCTTACCCCAAGGCAATCACCCAAAAATCTCTGTTTTGTACCCAACTTTTAATTGGAAATGCTCTGTGAAGTCATATTATCTGCAAAAATGTTCCCTGCCCACAATAAAGACTGCTTTCTACATTGCTAAGCAAGAGTCTTTAGCATTTTTGGTGCCTAAAAAAGTGGCTGGCACAGATAAGGAGATCTGTAAATGACTACGAAAAAAGAAAATCAGCTCTCACGTTTATATAGAACTTCCCAGTTTGCAAAGGACTTCTAAAATCCTTTGCTCACGTAAACCTTAGAAGAGGCTGGGCATGAGCTTTATTCCTTCCTTTGGTTTGTGAGACATTTATTCTCTTGCCCTCCTGGCACTTAAATGTGCTGTCTGGTTGCTCTCCTCCTCTTTTCCTGTAGATAACCTTGCACTCTAGCTTGTGGGATACATGTCAGTTTCATAGTCTCTTAAAGTTAGAAGGACACTTAAAATTAGGGCAACTGCTTCGTTTTACACAAAAAGAGGGTAGGTGGCTGGAGAAGAAGAGTTAGTTAATGGCAAAAACAAAACTGGAGACAGTCTTTTATCTTATGCTGCCCCTCTAAAATCTTTTTATCCCCATAACAATATCCCATAGATATTTATCAGTAAGTACTGTTGAAGACAACATGCCTTTCATCCAGCTGGGTCCCAGACTTCAAAAACCAAGTGATTCTCAAATTCAGGCCCTTTTAACCTGATCATTCCATCTCTCCAACCTATTATCTTAGATGTTTATATCTGCCTTCTTATAAACTCCTCTTCTCTTCCCAGGTAACTTCTAAAATTTTTGAGGTTGTACTCATAATTAATGATTGGTTTTCATTATTATTTCCAGAGAATGAGTCCAAAGGGATATATTAGGGGTGGTGAGGGGAAAAGAGGACACAGCCTAGCTAGTACAATCAATATAAATTGTGACAGCTACTGATATGGCCAATGTCTCAATCATATCATGCACATTCTGCTGCTGCTGGGGATGAAGACACCTAACTAAAATATATGATCTTTGTTGAAAAATACCTTCTAATTTACAAAATGAATGACTTTCCCTTGCTATTGGAATATGACCTGTTATGATATATCTGACTGAGCCACAGCTTCCCAAGCTGGAAACTGGAGAAAATTTAGCAAAGGTTTTTCTAAACCTAGAGAGTAATAAAAGGATGGTTATTGGGTTTGAGGAAGTCTACCTAAGTGTGGTTAAAGTAAACCATATTACTACTTCCTAAGGCAAAAGACTGGTCTAAAGATAAAAATTAAAATTAAATGCGAACTTTTTGTCTCCTTTTGAACCTATCAATTTATTTGACCTGTATCTCTCATTTTCTTTACCCATAAAATGCTGAATAATAACTATCTTGAAAAGCTGCTGAGAGGATTAAATGAGATGAATAAAAACATTGTAGCATGATGTACACAGTATAATGAATGATTAAGAAAAGCGGCTCAGCCTCCCTTGCCCTAGTACATTTCCTATGCTTCCTCTTTCTCCCTTCTGTGATTGTATTAAAATGGTCTGGAAAACGGTAATGTATCTGCCTGGGGAGGACTCCCAGCATGACTGCTGGGATGCAGAAAGAATCAGAATCACTAAAGCAACACACATATAGCCGAGGGAGGCAGAAGGCAAAGGCTTCTTTGCAGGCTTTAGGCTTCTGTTTAAAGTTGCAAAGACAGCCATTCCCCAGTGAACCCTCAAGCCAGGAAACTAGGGGATGCTCTGCGAAGTGATTTTCTCTCATGCCTGCTCTAATGTATTGATGCCTTCTCAATACCTAGATCACGTAGTCTCAGCAGGTGAACAGGAATTTTCATGTATTTCAACCACAGGAATAAATGGATATCCAAAACTCACTCAATGTGTAAGGAAGAGCAACACCAAAGAAAAAACACACAACAACCAGAAGTAATGTTCAAGGTAGCCTTAAATAAATGATGGAAAACTTTACCTTTAATTAAATTATTTATCCCTAGAAGGACTCAAGGCATATGAAACAATAACAGATTTCTATGAATAAGAAATAGTCGAAATATTGTAAATTAAAAATAAGGACGTCAAAGTTTAAAAGACTTTAGTGCTCTTCTTTGGTGAAGAGCACTAAAAAATGATAAATTGTTGCTGAGACCATTTGAAGAATGACTAGAACATAGAAAGCAGAAGGGATCTGGCTAATGGAGCAACAGAGATGTGCAGACAACTCACATCTTGTATCATGTCTGGGACAAGATGACTTGGAGATAAAAGCAGCTTCCCCTGGGTTCCCCTTAGAGAACCATGGAGACACTTAAGTGCAAATTTACTGCGAGAAACAAGCTTTCTACGCAGAATGTAAAGCTCTCTAGTGGGTCACACCTAGAGTTGATATTGAAACTAGAGAGACCAACTACCCAGCCTAAGGCAACCCCTGGACACTCAAAACAAAACCAGCAAAGGAAGGAAAATGGGAATTGGTCAGCTGACCCTGGACTAACTTGGTTAAGTGTCTCTAAAGTGAGAGAGTCCTGAACAACTTTGGAGTAGATTTAGGTGACGATTTCAATAACACCAGAAAATTGGCATATTAATGCATTTTAAACACCTCTCTCCTTTCCTTAAAATAATTGGGCATCAACAGGGCCACATGTAGAAACAAATACAAACAAATTACAAAATATAGTAGTTACATATGCCACATAATTTCATTGGAAGGTTATGAAAGAAAATAGCCAAAAAGTTCTGCCAATTTGACAACAAGTTGCCAGTCATTGCTGGTGGTGGTAAAAATTAGTGGTGGCCCTATTCTGAGGATCAACCAAAAAGGCACAGTATGCATGAAATCAAAGACACATACAAAGAATGTGCCTTACAGTAATATTGCAAATAGCTTATTGACTATCATTAGGGAATTGTTAAAGTGACAATAAACAAGTAAACATATGCAGCAGGGGTGGCGTTTCTAATTAGTTAAGTCCAGTTGTTTCTTGGCTATGGAACAATATTCTATATTTGCCCCCTCTTTTCCGACTCCAAGGAGTACAAGTTTGCCATCCTTCCATTTAGAGGGGCTTACAGTTGTCCAGAGTGTTGAAGACTTTTTCACAGGGGAGGATATATGAGCAATTCACAATTCATTTTCTTTCTAATCATCTGAATCTTTCCTGCTGGCTCTTGGGTCTGTGACCTCTCCAGTGTTTTTCTCAGCAGACATAAGGGGAGAAGAAAAGGGGCCTTCAAGATACCACTGAAAGATCTGAAGGAAGAAAATTACACAAAAAATGCATGGATCAATAGTTCAAAGTATAGCTTAGCCATGATATTAAATACAGATATAATATGAGAAAGTGGTAATTGTCCATTTTGTTTTTTAAGAAATTATTGCCGATATCTATAAATGCTGCTGAGACTTACGTTTGTATTCTCTAACCAGCCACTTTAATGAATTGCCATTAATAGGAAATTTCTTGGATCTCAGTGTACAAACACTTCAATCTGCAAATAGAGCTTTATCAATTTCCTTCTTTCCAATGTCTCTTAAATTGTGGCTATTCTTCTTTACCATGTAATGTAAAAATCCTACAGTTTCACAACTCAGTACAATTTTGGATTTTCACTCATAACCTCTTTTCTTTCCTGAAACCTCTCACAGACCCCTTACCCACTTGTTCTTAGCTGACGACCTTCCTTCCTGTTACTTTGAAAAAATAGAGACCATCTGACTGGTGTTCCCTTGTTTTACCTTCATCACATCTACAAATGCACCTACATCTTTATCCATATTTTCTCATTAAAATGACAGAACCCTGCTCCTCTCTACCAATAAATCCATTAGTATACTGGATCCCAGTGTATTTTCTTTGAGCAAGTAATTTGCCTCTGCAGAAAACTTATTTATTCATTTTCTCTTTTACTGTTTTATTCTCCTTGCCCTCCTCTCTCTCCATAAATTACCACCACCGACAAAACAACATGGTCTAGTATCATTCCTGTTGAAAACAAAGCAAAACCTCATTTGAGAACATATCTTGCCTTAAGTTTTGCCTTTTTTCTGCCCTTTTCTGCCTCTTTAACCCATTTCATTCTGGCTCCCTCTCCCACTATTCTGCCAAACTCATGTCACAGTCACCAATGACCTGGATGTTATCAAGACTAAGGAACAATCCTGAGTCTTAGACTTACTTAACACATCAGCATATTCAGCATGCTTTGCCTTTTTGAAACAATTTTCATTTTGGTTTTATTAACCCTGTTGTTGCAACTTTTACTTTCGTTTACTCCATCTTCCCTACTCAATCTCTTGTGTTTAGAACACCGGGGCCAAGTTTGGGATCCTCCTCCTCCCCTTTCTCTGTCATATCTATTTGGCTGTTCAAATTGTTTCCCATGGTTTTAAATACTACTTATTTTTGGCTGGGCACACTGGCTCATGCCTGTAATCCCAACACTTTGGGAGGCTGAGGTGGGTGGATCACCTGAGGTCAGGAGTTTGAGAACAACCTGGTTAACATGGCAAAACCCCATCTCTACGAAAAATACAAATAAAATTAGCTGGCCATGGTGGCATGCACCTGTAATCCTAGCTACTAGGGATGAGCTGAGATGATGCCATTGCACTTCAGCCTGGGAGACAGAGCAAGACTCTGTCTCAAAAACAAAAAAAAAATACTAATTTTTTAGTGACCCCCAAATGCCTTACCTCATGTTATGACTTCTCCCCTGAGCTTGCATATTCATGTTCATGTATGCAACTGTCTCCCTGCTGTTACTGAAACTTTGATCTGTGGCCCCTGCTTCTCCTAAAAATCACTCTCTGTCTTGCATATCACCAAACAATATCATTATTTCTCCAGTTGCTTAAGCCAATAATGTAATAGAGTCTTGATGCTTTCCTTCCACACAATTTGCAAGCTCTATCAGTTCTGTCTTCAAAATATCTCAAATCTATCCACTTTCCCCCAACTCCATCTCCACTCTCCACACCAAGGCACAACCATGTTAAGCATAAGCTACTATAGCACTGATTTCTAAATACTGATTTCTCTGCTCCTACTGTTGCCTCTGCTCAATTCCATTTGTCACACAGCAGGGGACTCTTTTAAAAATGGAAATCGTATTCTGCCATCTTCCCACTTAAACCTTAACACTGCTTTCCACTGCACTTAGAATAAAATCCAATCTCTCATCAATACTTGGTGTCTGTTTGCCCCTCTGGTCTTATTGTGCTTTGCCTTTCCTTCGCTCACACACTCAACTACTCTGTTTCCTTTGTTGTGGTTCTAAGCTCTTTTCAGCTTTAATATCTTAGCTTTCATCAATTCCCCTAATGCTTATCTCCAGGCTCTCCTTGCGGCTGGATGTTCTTTATTCCTCAGGTTTTAGCTAAAATGCCACTTTGTTAAGGCTCATTCCTTGACCACTCTATCTAAGAGCTTTCTTTCCCCTCATGTTTTTAATCATTTTGTGTATTTATTTTCTCTACTCTACAAGCACATCTAGAATGTAAGCTCCCTAAAAGTAGGGACTTCTATGTTTTCTAAAACTCGCTATATTTTGACCACACATATAGTAAATAAAATAGTACAGATATTAACATATTTGTTGAATTGGTAAACACATTTTAAAAGATTATTTTTACATGTTTAAAAAATACCCCACTATTTATTATTCTTGTATGTATCTTTTATTTAAAATAATTTTTGAGCTTTAAAAAATACCTTTCTGGAAGAAATTGAGATATGATTAAGTTCTTTAATTCTTGGCACCTACCAACCACATTATGTCTTGATAAACAGATTTCTTGATATCAAACCATCCTTCATTCTCAGCTTCTACATTATTTGTTTAGGTTGTGTTAATGTTTTAATTCTTTGTGGTGTTCTTTTGGTGATACTCTACTTAAGGTTTTCATATAGAGACAATGAGATTATTTATAGCCAATAATTTATAGCTTCTTATAGTTATCTTATCTCTAGAGCAGCAGTTCTCCACTGGGTGAAATTTTGTCTCCCAGGTGACATTTGATAATGTTTAGAAAAATTTGTATGCTGTCCTAAACTAGGGGAGAGAGGTGTTACTAGCATCCAGTAGGTAGAGGCCAGAGATGCTGCTAAACATCTCACAATGCACAGGACAAATGCCCATAATGTAAAATTATCTGGCCCTAAATGTCATTAGAGCTATGGTTGAGAAACCCTTCTCTAGATGTTATTATATCTCCAAACTTTGCCCTCTACATCTATGTGGGGTGTAAAAGCCTCCAGCCCTGGCAGACACCCAGGTTTGGCCCAAAAAGAGCTGTTCTTGACAGAAACATCAACTGGGAAATATAGCAATAAATTAAAGCCCTCCAGGCAGAGATTAATGTGACTTCAGATCTCCAGGTCTGCATTTGAGCCAACTGAATACAGTTTGTATATCTACATCCAGGATATACAGTTTCTTTTTAGTACGTCCCATGCCTGTTAAAATAACCTAGGAGAGATACTGCTGAAGGCTTTAGTTTCTGATTAGTTTCTCATCTTTTCTTCCCCAATCTTTTCTGCTTGAAAATCTTAATTTCAAGGAAAATCTTAATTTCTAGGCAATGCAGCACATAAAATACTAATATAGTTCTAGCATATTAAATCCATCCTATCCATTTGCTTTGGTTAGCTATTTATTTTATAATTAAGTTTTGTTGTAATATCTTTAAAAATATTGATTAATTTATATCAAAATCGCTCTGAAGAGATACTACCATAGTATCAATTTAACCTGTGAAGAACCTGCGACAAAAGAGCTAAGGTGATTTGCCTAAAGTCTTACAACTTAGTAGACCACCAGTGCAATGTGGTTCAAGATTTTATACTTCTCATCACTCTGCTATCTTACCATTCTAAGAAAAAAAACTAATTAAGCTAATAGAATAAAAACTAAACTTATTAACATGGGCGTTTAGGAGGAGAAATTGTTTGGTTATGATTGCTTTGTTGTTCTGTGTATTTTCCTCATATTCAAATACTCATTTGAAAAAAATGTGCCAAGTACTTAATGTTTTAGAAAGATAAAACAATCAGGGGTAAAAAATTAAAAATTTTAAAAATCTACTCATTCACTCAATGTTTAAATGTAAAACATGAATAAATATTGCTTTTTTTTTCAAAGCAGCTCAGCTGCAGAGCCACTGTTATAAGTACTCAGAAAGCCAATAAGAGCTACTATTTACCATTTGAAGATTCTGGTATCTGTCAGCTCTTATGCCTGCCAACTACACTATATGCATTCATTTAAATTGCACATGCAGTCCTAAATATTTGAGAAATCATTTTTATGTCCAGTTTAGAGACAAGGAATCTGAGACTATAAGAGGTAAATTGACTTGCCCACAGTTCTGCAGCTAACAAGTGGTCAAGCAGGATATAGTCCCGGTGTTCCCATCCCTTGCAAAGCCCCTCATGCTTTTCGTAACAGCAGCCTTTATAAAAATTTTGTATTTGAGACATGGTTTTTGGCAACTAAACTTAACACTGCTAAGGTATGAGATTTTTTCCCCCCAGGAACACTGAACACTGAACAAACAGGAAAGATACTTTGAGTAAGGGCGATTCTAATGAGGGATATTCACAAACAACAATGTAAATGAGCTTGAGTTAGGGATGAGTTTTATTAGAGGAAGACCATATTCTAAAAGCATCCTCTCCTGGAGTAATTGCAAGACCTTTATGTATTTCATTATCCATTCCTGGGATTGAATGGAGCCAGTATAAAGTCTTAATTTTATACAATTACTGGCAGTATTCATTTAGCATCCTACTAAAGGGGAGCAAAATTCATTACTGAGTGACCCCACATTTTTTTAAAGGCAAACAAGTGGTAGTACTGATCTCTAATGGTGCTTGGTATCAGTTTTGCAAGCCTAGTTTTGATTTCAGATGCTTTGATATCTGTTAATGATCATTTTTTTTTTAAAGGTAATGATTCAAAGATTTAAATGCTAAACTTCTGGGACTTCGGGACTTACTATAAAACTAGATAAGATCAACAACAACAAAAACAATGCTTTCTATTGAAATTTGTACAGTTTTGCAAGTTCATTTCTGCTCTTCGTCTGTTGAAGCATCAATAAAGTCCAAGAAAAATACTGGGAATCAGATTCATGCCCAAAGTGACCCTGTGGCAGTTGAGGATTGACTGGGCTAGAAGACCAAAGTTTAAAGCGCAAGTTAATCTGAGACAGAGAAATGAAAGAGAAGATGAGAAAGAAAAGTGGCCTCAAAATAAGAGGAACTAGGGTCCTGGCTCAGAGGCTCATGCCTGTAATTCCATCACTTTGGGAGGCCGAGGTGGGCAGATCACCCGAGGTCAGGAGTTCCAGACCAGCCTGGCCAACATGGTGAAACCCCGTATCTACTAAAAATACAAAAATTAGCTGGGCATGGGGGCGCCTTAATCCCAGCTACTTGGGAGTCAGAGACAGGAGAATCATTTGAATCTGGAGGTGGAAGTTGCAGTGAGCCAAGATCCCAGCCATTGCACTCAAGCCTGGGGGACAAGAGCAAGACTTATCTCAAAAAAAAAAAAAAAAAAGGAACTAGGACACAAGCAAGAACAGAAGTAGGATATGCAAATGCTTTCTTTGAAAGCTGGGGGCAGGTGAATGGCTTTCCTGTACTGCTATAAAGGTACAAAATGGAGGCAGGCACTCTTTAGAGAGGTTTAGTTTGAAAATAAGATTTTCAAACTTTACCCCCAATGAAGTACAACTAGCCTTAAATTCCACCCCACCCACCACCTCCACAAAAAAAGAAAAAATAAAAAGAAAATATCTATCAAAAAGCATTAGTCATGGAAAGGACTTAATCTTGAAAATGAAAGCAACAAAGTTGTTAAATGTAGACAGACACTAAGCTGCTTACAACAATATTTGCTTACATTATAGCATCTAATATAAGATGTTATTTGCTCATTGTTTATTATGTACTCCATGCTCTCACAAGAAGCTTAGCTTTGATTTTTTTCTTAATTTTGGTGGCTTAAATTTGAAAATTTAACTTTGCATTAAAGGAGGGTTTTTATTTAATTAAAGAATGTATTCTGGAGCTTGATTACAAATTAAAATCCAACATTTGCTTAACGTGGATGGGTTTACAATTATAGGAAAAACTTTTTGCACTTCATGATTTAGTGGCTGTTTAACTTTGTACTCAATATAGTAATTAATATATGTTGCTGCATTTAATTTTCTGTTTAATTTTTTAAAATAAAAAGGTAAAGGATGTTTGCTGCTTTTAAGGAGATTTACCTGCATAACTTCATTACTCTGCGTGATCGTATAATGGCCCCATCTGAGTTATCCACCAAACTGATGTTTATACCTACAATGTCATCTGTTCTCTTTCAAAACTAATTGTGTCACACCATTGGTGTTGGTTTATATTATACTTATTTGATAGGCCTAGATTTATTAAATATCTTTTATGACACTTGGGCTAAGTTATGCTTATATAGAAATGTAATATACAAAACTATTGTCCTCAAGGAGATTATCTTAAGTGGGAGAGACAGATAAGTAAAGTAAGTCTTCAAAAAACCATGTAATGTGTTACAAGAAGCCATGGGTTGTATCACAATTAGGTTTTCTCAGTTTGCATTTCTTCATGAGATTTATCAGCCTCTTTTTTTAGATTTATAACATAATTTTTCCACTATTTTTTACTTGCGTTTCCATACCAGTCCATTGTATTACAAAAGCAAAATTGGTTAGCAATTCATGTATCTGTAATTTTATCTAATAACATAATAAAATACAAAAGCATGTGGCCTATAACTAATCCAACGTATTTAAACTCAGCCTGTGGGTTCAAATGTTAAGCCAATGTCTGGATAAAGAGCAAATAGTCGTAGCAACAGATGCTGCCTGGGAAACCTCTGTGTGGCATAATCAGTTCATAAAGTGAGGAAGTCTCTGCAATGGAGAGTGTTTTATTATATACAGCATAAAAATCTGTGAGTAAGAATAAGTTTCTAAAAAATTTTGTTGGTGGGAAGAATGTCCAAAATTTATTCCTTCCTTGGCAAATTAGCACACTGATACATGTATAAACTGTATCAACTGGAATAATACCTGCCTTGTACCTTGCTTCTCACCTAGTCAAGCAATTTTCTCCCTGGAAGTCAGCCAGGAATATGGGAAAAGCTTTGTCTAAATTTCAACCTTAGAGCAGCATACAGAGCATGTAAATGGGCTCTGAACGTTTTAATCCAATACAATGTGCAGTATGTTAATAATGCATAAATCGTTGAACATTTTTCTCAAAACAACAAGAAGAAATAAAATTAAATGCTCTTTGTAGCAAAATCTAAGCCCACAAACATTTTTCACACAAAAAAAATTTTTTTGAAAAACTTAGCAAATGTGTTTTTGCCGGTGGGGTGTAAAGATAAGTATTTGAGGATAGGAATAAGTTCATAATGTTATTATGCCATGTATCAAATATGCTTGTGGTTCTGAATAAAGATATTGCTGGTTGTGCTAGTTATAATAAAAATAATGGAAAGCAGCCTCGATATCTAAAGAGGTAATACTGGCAAGATAAATTAATCAATCACTCAGTGGAATACTATACAGCAATTTTAATTGATATTTTATAGTTTACAGACACATGATAATTTAGAAATGATAAATAAAAAGGAATTAATCAATAGTGTATACATGGTATACTTGCAATCATATAAAAAAGAAAAAATACACGCCTGGCTCAGTGGTTCATGTCTGTAATCCCAGCACTTCAGGAGGCCAAGGCGGGTGGATCACAAGGTCAGCAGTTCAAGACCAGCCTGGCCAAGATGGTGAAACTCCGTATCTACTAAAAATACAAAAATTAGCCAGGTGCAGTGGCAGGCACCTATAATCCCAGCTACTCAGGAGGCTGAGGCAGGAGAATTGCTTGAAGTCGGGGGGCAGAGGTTGCAGTGAGCCAAGACCATGCCACTGCACTCCAGCCTGGGTGACAGAGTCAGATTCAGTCTCAAAATAAATAAATAAATAAATAAATAAAAAACATAAAGAAAAAATATAAAAGGAAAAGAAATAATATGTGAAAATGTAGTATAAAACAAAATATACAAAATATTAACTTGTACACTTATAATGTATTCATCATTTTATTCATTTATCCACTCATTTAGATATTTGTAAAAGGCCTGTATGCTATGGAAAATAGATATTAAAATTACAACAAAAAGAATGAGAGAAATCTTGCAGTTATGAAGCACACTATTAGCTAATTCTAATTATGAATTATAGGTGGATTTTTTTTATTTTTAATTTTCGTGTGTACATAGTATGGGTATATATTTATGGGGTATATGGGATATTTTGATACAGGCATACAATGTGTAATAATCACATCATGGTAAATGGGCAATCCATCACCTCGAGCATTTATCCTTTGTGTTACAAATACTCCAATTATACTCTTTTAGTTAAATTGTACATTTAAATTATTATTTACTGTAATCACCCTGGTGTGCTATTAAATACTAGATCTTATTAGTTTTTTCTAGCTATTATTTGTACCCATTAACAATCTCCACTTCCCCCATCTCCTCACTACCCTTTCCAGCCTCTGGTAACCATCATTCTCCTTTCTATCTCAATGATTTCAATTGTTTTAATTTTTAGCTTCCACAAATAAGTGAGAACATGCAAAGTTGGTCTTTCTGTCCCTGGTTTATTTCACTTAAATAAACCATTCAGTTCCATTTATGTTTTTTTCTAATGAAAGGATCTTCTTCCATCTTTGTGGCTGACTAGTACTCCATTGTGTATATATATCACATTTTCTTTTATTATTATTATTATTATACTTTAAGTTCTGGGATACATGTGCAGAATGTGCATGTTTGTTACATAGGTATACCTGTGCCATGGTGGTTTGCTGCACCCATCAAACCATCATCCACATTAGGTATTTCTCCTAATGCTATCCCTCCACTTGTCCCCCAGCCCCCAACGAGCCCAGGTATGTGATGTTCTCTTCCCTGTGTCCATGTATTCTCATTGTTCAACTCCCACTTATGAGTGAGAGCATGCGGTGTTTGGTTTTCTGTTCCTGTGTTAGTTTGCTGAGAATGATGGTTTCCAGCTTCATCCATGTCCCTGCAAGGACATGAACTCGTTCTTTTTTATGGCTGCGTAGTATTCCATGGTATATATGTGCCACATTTTCTTTATCCAGTCTATCCTTGATGGGCATTTGGGTTGGTTCCAAGTCTTGGTTATTGTGAATATTGCTGCAATAACCATACGTGTGCATGTGTCTTTATAGTAGAATAATTTATAATCCTTTGGGTAAATACCCAGTAATGGGATTGCTGGATCAAATTGTGTTTCTGGTTCTAGATCCTTGAGGAATCACCACACTGTCTTCCATAATGGTTGAACTAATTTACACTCCCACCAACAGTGTAAAAGTGTTCCTATTTCTCCTCATGTTCTCCAGCATATGTTGCTTCCTGACTTTTTCATAATCGCCATTCTAACTGGCGTGAGATGGCATATACCACATTTTATTTATTCATTCGACTATTGACAGACACTTAGGTTACTTCCACATCTTGGCTATTATGAATGGTGCTGCAATAAACACGAGAGGGCAGATATTCCTTTGATATATTGGTTTTCTTTCTTTTGGGTATATACCTAGCAGTGGAATTAACGGATCATTTATTAGCTCAATTTTTAGTTTTTTGAGGAACCTCCAAACGGTTCTCTAAGTGGTTGTGCTGATTTACATTTGAACATCAGTGTATGACGGTTCTTTTTTCTCCACATCCTCACTAGCATTTGTTATTTCCTGTCGTTTAGATAAACAAAAACCATTTTAACTAGGGTGGGATACTATGCCATTTTAGTTTTGATCTGCATTTCTCTAATTATCAAGGATGTGGAGCACCTTTTCATATACCTGTTTGCCATTTGTATGTTTTCATTTGAAAAATATCTATTCGTGTATTTTGCCCATTTTAAAAATCAGAGCATTAGATTTTTTCCTATAGAGTTATTTGTTCGACTTCCATATTCTGATTATTAATATTTTGTCAGAAGGATAGTTTATAAGTATTTTCTCCTATTCTGTGGGTTGTCTCTTCACTCTGTTGATTGTTTCCTTTGCTGTGCAGGCTTTTAACTGGATATGATCTCATTTGTACATTTTTACTTTGGTTGCCTGTGCCTATGGGCTATTACTCAAGAAATTTTCGTCCACTCCAATGTCCTGGATATTTTATCCAATGTTTTCTTGCAGTAGTTTTATATTAGTTGGTGTAAAAGCAATCACAGTTTTTGCAGTTACTTTTAGTGGCAAAAAAAAAAAAAACCCACGCAATTACTTTTGCACCAACTTAATAGTTTGAGGTCTTAGATGTAAGTCTTTAATCCATTTTGATTTGATTTTTATATATGGCAAGAGATAGGGTTCTAGTTTTATTCTTCTGCTTATGCGTATCCAGTTTTCCCTGCCTCATTAATTGAAAGGGACGGTCCTTTCCCCAATGTATGTTCTTGGCACCTTTGTTGAAATTGAATTCACTGTAGATCTAGGGTTTTGTTTCTGGGTTCTCTATTCTGTTCCATGGCTCTGTGTATCTGTTTTTATGCCAGTTTTTATGCTGTTTTGGTTTCTGTAGCTCTGTAGTATAATTAGAAGTCAGGTAATGTGATTCCTCCAGTTTTGTTGTTTTTGCTTAGGATAGTTTTGGCTATTCTGGATCTTTTGTGGTTCCATATAACTTTTAGAATTTTTTTTTCTGTGAAGAATGTCATTTGTATTTTGATAGGGATTTAACTTTGGGTAGTATGGGTGTTTTAACAATATTGATTATTCCAATCCATAAACATGCAGTATCTTTCCAATTTTTGTGCCCTCTTCAAATGCTTGCATCAGTGTTTTACAGTTTTCATTGTAGAGATTTTTCATTACATTGGTTAATTTAATTCTTAGGTATTTAATTTTATTTGATTCTAAAAGTTTATAAAATTCTATATGTTATATGGAACCACAAAAGATCCAGAATAGATCCAAATAGAACTCCTGACCTATTTATTTTATTTTATTTTGAGACAGAGTCTCACTGCGTCACCCAGGCTGGAATGCAGTGGCATGATCATGGCTCACTGCAGCCTCAACCTCATGGGCTCAAGGGATCCTTCAGCTTCAGCCTCCTGAGTAGCTGGGACTACTATTGTAAATTACATTACATTCTTGATTTATTTTTCAGATTATTCACTGTTGGCATGTAGAAATACTACTGCTTTTTGTATGTCAGTTTTATATCCTGCAACTTTACAGAATTTGTTCTAACAGTTCAGTTCTAGTAGTTTTTTGGTGGAGTCTTTGGTTTTTCAAAATGTAAGATTATATCATCTGCAAACAAGGATGATTTGACCTCTTCCTTTACAATTTGAATGTCTTTTATTTTTTTCTCTTGTCTGATTTCTGTAGCAAGGACTTTCAGTATTATGTTGAATAACAGTGGTGGAAGTGGGCAGCCTTATTGTGTTCCAGATCTTAGAAGAAAGACTTTTAGTTTTTCCCCATTCAGTATGATACTAGCTGTGGATCTGTCATATATGGCTTTTATTGTGTTAAGGTATGTTCCTCCTATACCCAGTTTTTGGGGAATTTATAATAATAAAATGATATTGAATTTTATCAAATGCTTTTTCAGCAACAATTGAAATAATCATATGGTTTTTGTCCTTCATTAAGTTGATATGATGTATCACCTTGGTTGATTTACATATGTCAAACCATCCTTGCATCCCTGGGATAAATCCCACTTGGTCATGATGAATGACCTTCTTAATGTGTTGTTGCATTTGTCTTGCTAGTATTATATTGAGGATTTTTGCATCAATAATCATCAGATATTGAACCGTAGTTTTTTTTTTTTTGATGTGTCTTTGTCTGGTTTTGGTATCAGGGTGGGACTTGTCTGATATAATGAGTTTGGAAGTATTCTTTCTGCCTCGTTTTTCAGAATAGTTTGAGTAGGATTTGTATTAGTTCTTCATTAAATATTTGAAAAATTCAGCAGTGAATCCTTCAGTTCCTGGTCTTTTCTTTGAGAGGAGACTTTTTATTTTGGCTTCTATTTTGTTACATGTTATTGGTCTTTTCAGATTTTGGATTTCTTCATGATTCAATATTGGTAGGTTGTATGTGTCTAGGAATTTATCCACTCCTTCTAGATTTTCCAACTTATTGGCATATAGGTGCTCATAATAATCTCTAATGATCCTTTGTACATATGTAGTATCAGTTGTAATGTTTTATTTCATGTCTGATTTTATTTATTTGGGTCTTCTGGCTTCTTTTTTTAGGTAGTCTGGCTTTATTTATCTTTTCAAAAGACCAGCTTTTTGATTCCTTGATCATTTGTATTGTTTCCTTCATTTCAATTTCACTTATTTCTCTTCTGGTCTTTATTATTTCTTTTCTACTAACTTTGTGTTTGCTATACTCCCACTTTTCCAGTTATTTATGAGGCATTGTTAGGTTGTTTATTTGAAGTTTTTCTTCTTGTTTGAAGTAGGCACTTATAGCTATAAACTTCTTTCTTGGTACCCTTTTCATTGTATTCCATAGGTTTTGGTATGTTGTGTTTCCATTAACATTGGTTTCAATAAATTTTAAAGTTTTCTTCTTAATTTCTTCATTGATCCTCTGGTCATTCTGGACCATACTGGTTAATTTCCAAGTGTTTGTATAGTTTCTAAAATTCCTCTTATTGATTTCTAGTTTTATTCCATTGTCATTAGAGAAGACACTTGATGATTTTTTTTTTTTTTGAGACAGAGTCTTGCTCTGTTGCCCAGGCTGGAGTGCAGTGACATGATCTCAGCTCACTGCAACCTCTGCCTCTGGGGTGCAAGCAATTCTCCTGTCTCAGCCTCCTGAATATCTGGGGCTACGCCACCATGCCCAGCTAATTTTTGTATTTTTAGTAGAGACGAGGTTTCACTATATCGATCAGGCTGGTCTTGAACTCCTGACCTATTTATTTTATTTTATTTTGAGACAGAGTCTCACTGTGTCACCCAGGCTGGAATGCAGTGGCATGATCATGGCTCACTGCAGCCTCAACCTCATGGGCTCAAGGGATCCTTCAGCTCCAGCCTCCTAAGTAGCTGGGACTACAGGCATTCACCAGTATGCCCAGCTAACCTTTTTATTTTTAGTAGAGAGGAGGTCTCACTATATTGCCCAGGCTGGTTTCAAACTCCTGGGCTCACGCAATCTTTTGTCAATTTTAATCTAGAGGAAAGTCTATGGCAACATCTAATAACATGAAATGGATACAAGGTGATTGCAAATCTTTAGATTATGTCTTATGGAATACATATTAGAAATTAAAAATCCAAAGTGATAATAGATATTTATCCATACATACCATTCTGGTTGACACATATTTTGTTTAAATGATGCCAAACCCACTGTAAAAGGCACTAGCCATCAGCCAATGTTAAAATACAGTTTCATCAATTTTTTTCTGGTGAATCCACATTTTTTTTTAATCATATGTTGAACAGTAGGGTTTTTTTTTGTGTTTTTTTGTTTCTGTTTTTGTTTTTTTACCATTTCATGATCCTGTATCTTAGTCCACTTCTATCCCCCATTCTAGTCATGTATAAAGAATTCTGGGGCACCTGCTAATGACTATGACACCTGATTATGCACCTTTACTGTAAATACCTTCAGCCTAGGAACACTGGACCCCCTCTGAGAGAACAGCCACAGGCTTTACCTCATTTGCAGGGAAGTTTGAAAATCATCTTTATTTACTTTCCAGGCAAAAATGACGAACGTTTTAAAGCGCCATCAGGATCCCCAATTACCTTCCTGCCACCTTCCTTTCCTTGTGTCCAGGAACCTAACATTTATTTCCTCTTACCCTCATGTTTCCCAAGTTTAAACCTCAGTTTTCCAGACACTAGTTCTTAGGCTACAATTCTAGGACCCAAATCGTAACACTTGTTCCTCATAAAATATGAGCTATAGGAGTATCTCAGGGCTCCACTTTCTGTCTTCACCTAGAACTTCTCTGCATATCACTTCTTCTTTTTCTGGGCCGTCTTGCGTGCTCAAATTCCCATTCTGGTAAGCTCTTCTGAAGTCTACATTGCATATGTTAAGAGGCTAACTGCACAGCTCAAAGACAATTTAAAAAAATTTAAAAACAGGATTCTTTCCCTTTCCACCATGCTAACTCTATGTTCTACAATGTGGCTAGTCCAGTCCTACATTCTGTCTAGTTTATTCCCTTCTACATTCAGAGAGGGATATTTGATAGCCTTTGACAGCATGAGAATGGCAAAAGTGAAGTAATTTCTGTGGCAACAAGGAGATTCAGCTAAATAAAGGTGGGCACCTTTATTTTTGTTTTGCTATGCTATTTTTGGCTAGTAACAACAAACTACTGGGAGGAGGGAAGGCTTCAGTGCCTTAAGTGTCTTGGCTCATTGGTTTCCTTAGGTACCCAGAAACCTAGGAGAAGTGTGCTCTGACTTCACAGTGTCAGCCCTCTACTTTTCTGGACAGACAGTGGTTTCATGGGACCTGTTTTCCTCTTCAATTCTTTTTTTTTTTTTTTTAATTTTTTTTTTTTATTATACTCTAAGTTTTAGGGTACATGTGCACATTGTGCAGGTTAGTTACATATGTATACATGTGCCATGCTGGTGCGCTGCACCCACTAACTCGTCATCTAGCATTAGGTATATCTCCCAATGCTATCCCTCCCCCCTCCCCTGACCCCACCACAGTCCCCAGAGTGTGATATTCCCCTTCCTGTGTCCATGTGATCTCATTGTTCAATTCCCACCTATGAGTGAGAATATGCGGTGTTTGGTTTTTTGTTCTTGCGATAGTTTACTGAGAATGATGGTTTCCAATTTCATCCATGTCCCTACAAAGGACATGAACTCATCATTTTTTATGGCTGCATAGTATTCCATTGTGTATATGTGCCACATTTTCTTAATCCAGTCTATCATTGTTG
The DNA here is from genome assembly GCF_000001405.40 of Homo sapiens. Lineage (NCBI taxonomy): Eukaryota > Metazoa > Chordata > Mammalia > Primates > Hominidae > Homo > Homo sapiens. The sequence continues at coordinate 42,216,445 of NC_000011.10, read as the reverse complement.
GACATTTGGGTTGGTTCCAAGTCTTTGCTATTGTGAATAGTGCCGCAATAAACATACGTGTGCATGTGTCTTTATAACAGCATGATTTATGGTCCTTTGGGTATATACCCAGTAATGGGATGGCTGGGTCAAATGGTATTTCTAGTTCTAGATCCCTGAGGAATCGCCACACTGACTTCCACAATGGTTGAACTAGTTTACAGTCCCACCAACAGTGTAAAAGTGTTCCTATTTCTCCACATCCTCTCCAGCACCTGTTGTTTCCTGACTTTTTAATGATTGCCATTCTAACTGGTGTGAGATGGTATCTCATTGTGGTTTTGATTTGCATTCTCTGATGGCCAGTGATGATGAGCATTTTTTCATGTGTTTTTTGAACTAGTTTTCAGTCCCATCAACAGTGTAAAAGTGTTCCTATTTCTCCACATCCTCTCCAGCACCTGTTGTTTCCTGACTTTTTAATGATTGCCATTCTAACTGGTGTGAGATGATATCTCATTGTGGTTTTGATTTGCATTTCCCTGATGGCCAGTGATGATGAGCATTTCTTCATGTGTTTTTTGGCTGCATAAATGTCTTCTTTTGAGAAGTGTCTGTTCATGTCCTTCGCCCACTTTTTGATGGGGTTGTTTGTTTTTTTCTTGTAAATTTGTTTGAGTTCATTGTAGATTCTGGATATTAGCCCTTTGTCAGATGAGTACGTTGCGAAAATTTTCTCCCATGTTGTAGGTTGCCTGTTCACTCTGATGGTAGTTTCTTTTGCTGTGCAGAAGCTCTTTAGTTTAATTAGATCCCATTTGTCAATTTTGGCTTTTGTTGCCATTGCTTTTGGTGTTTTGGACATGAAGTCCTTGCCCACGCCTATGTCCTGAATGGTAATGCCTAGGTTTTCTTCTAGGGTTTTTATGGTTTTAGGTCTAACGTTTAAATCTTTAATCCATCTTGAATTGATTTTTGTATAAGGTGTAAGGAAGGGATCCAGTTTCAGCTTTCTACATATGGCTAGCCAGTTTTCCCAGCACCATTTGTTAAATAGGGAATCCTTTCCCCATTGCTTGTTTTTGTCAGGTTTGTCAAAGATCAGATAGTTGTAGATATGCGGCATTATTTCTGAGGGCTCTGTTCTGTTCCATTGATCTATATCTCTGTTTTGGTACCAGTACCATGCTGTTTTGGTTACTGTAGCCTTGTAGTATAGTTTGAAGTCAGGTAGTGTGATGCCTCCAGCTTTGTTCTTTTGGCTTAGGATTGACTTGGCGATGCGGGCTCTTTTTTGGTTCCATATGAACTTTAAAGTAGTTTTTTCCAATTCTGTGAAGAAAGTCATTGGTAGCTTGATGGGGATGGCATTGAATCTGTAAATTACCTTGGGCAGTATGGCCATTTTCACGATATTGATTCTTCCTACCCATGAGCATGGAATGTTCTTCCATTTGTTTGTATCCTCTTTTATTTTCAGGGATCAAGAAGCAACAGGACTGCGGGATGGGATAGAAAATAATTTTCATCTTAGCAATATTGAGTATTCCAGTACATGAGTATTGTATGTTTCTCAATTCACTTAGATCCTTAATTTCCCTTAGTCATGTTTTGTGATTTTCAGTATACAAATCTTGTACTCTGTATTAAACCATTCTTGCATTGCTGTAAAGAAATATCTGAGACTGAGTAATTTATAAAGAAAAGAGGTTTAATTGGATCACAATTCTGTAGATTTCACAGGAAGAATGGTGCTGGCATCTGCTCAGCTTCTAGGGAGCCTCAGGAAGCTTAAAATTAGGCAGAAAGGAAAGGGGGTGCAGGCCTGTCACATGGTGAAAGCAGGGGCAAGTGAGAGAGGGTGAGGAGGGGGAGTTGCCACACACTTTTAAGCAACCAGATCTCATGTGAACTCAGAGAGAGAGCGAGAGCTCACAAATTACCAAGGGGATGGGCCAAGCCATTCATGAACAATGAATCCCATGATTCAAACACCTCCCGCCTGATCTCACCCCCAACACTGGGGATTACATTTTAACATCAGATTTGGGCCAGGTGCAGTGACTCATGCCTGTAATCCCAGTACTTTGGGAGGCTAAGGCAGGCAGATCACCAGAAGTCTGGAGTTTGAGACCAGCCTGGCCAACATGGTGAAACCCTGTTTTTACTAAAAATACAAAAAATTAGCTAGGTGTGGTGGTGCATGCCTATAATCCCAGCTACTCAGAAGGCTGAGGCAGGAGAATCATTTGAACCTGGGAGGTGGAGGTTGCAGTGAGCCAAGATCATGCCATTGCACCCCAGCTTGGGTGACAGAGCAAGACTCTGTCTCAAAAAAAAAGAGAGAGAGAGAGAAGAATGCTATTAGGGCAGGGACAAATATTCAAGCTATATCATTCTGAACACCCCCTCACCCCCTGTCCCAGCATCTCATATTCTCACATGGCAAAATACAATCACACCTTCCCAATAGTCCCTGAAAGTGTTAACTCATTCCAGAATTACCTCAAAGTTTTTAACTAAATAAAATTTAATTAAAAGTCCAAAGCCCAGTTTCTCATTTGAAATGAGTTTCTTTCACTTACAAGCCTGTAAAACAAAAACAAGATACAACAGGGAGGTATAGGCATTGGGTAAGCATTCTCATTCCAAAAGTGAAAAATTGCCCAAGAGAAAGGGGCTATAGTACCCATGAAAGTTCAAAACCCAGCAGGGCAACCATTAAATATTAAAGATCCAAAATAATCTTTGACTCCATCTTGTTCATCCAAGGTGCACTGCTACATGGGGTGGACTCCCACAGACTTGGGTTGCTCCACCTCTGTGTCTTTGTAGGTTTCAGCTCCTGTGACTACTCTCACAGATTGTTGAGTGCTTGTGGCTTTTCCAGGCAGAGGGTGCAAGCTGCCAGTGGATCTACCGTTCTGGGGTCTAGAGGACAGTGGCCCCTTCCCACAGCTCCACTAGACAGTACCTTACTGGGACTCTGTGTGGAAGCTCCAACCCTACATTTCCCCTTGGCACTGGCCTAGTAGAGGTTCTCTGTGAGGGTTCCAACCTGCAGCAGGCTTCTGCCTGGGCACCCAGGATTTCTCATACATCTTTGGAGACCTGATTGGGAGCTGCCAAGCCTTTTTCCTGTTGCATTCTGTGTGCTCACAGGCTTAACACGTGTGGAAACCATCAAGCCTCACAGTTTGCCCCCTCTGGAGCTGGAGTAGCCACTCAAATTGTAGCTGGACCCCTTTGAGCCACAGGTGGAGTTGGGATGGCCAGGATGCAGCAACCAGTGTCCCAAGACTGTGCAGAACAGTGGTACCTTGAGTGGTACCTGTCTTCCTAGGCCTCAGGGCCTGTAATAGGAGGGGCTGCCTTTTAGATCTCTGTAATGACTTTGAGGCCTTTTACCTATTTTCTCAGCTATTAGCACTTGGCTCTCTTTTAGTTAGGCAAATATCTTTAGCAAGTGTTTGCTCCATAGCCTGCTTGAATTCCTCTCCTGAGAAAGCTTTTTCTGTCTCTGCCACATGGCCAGGCTGCAAATTTCCAAACCTGTACATTCTGCTTCTCTTTTAAATATACATTCCAACTTTAAGTCATTTATTTGCTTCCACATTTGAGGCTAGGCTCTTAAAAGCAAACACACCACATGTTGAATGCTTTGTTTCTTAGAAATTTCTTCCACCAGATATCCTAAATCAACACTCTGAAGTTCAAGCTTCCACAGATCCCTAGGGCATGAACAGAATACAGCCCAGCTCTTTGCTAAGACATAATACATGTGACCTTTGCTCCAGTTGCCAATAAATTTCTCATTTCCATCTGAGACTTCAGCAGCCTGGACTTCACTGTCCATATCACTGTTAGAATTTTGAATTTTGGTCACAGCCATATTATCAGTCTCTAGGAAGTTCCAAACTGTCCCACATCTCTCTGACTTCTGAGCCCTCCAAACTTTTTCAACCTCTGCCCATTACCAAGTTCCAACTTTCCTTCCCCATCTTCAGGTATATTTATAACAATATCCTTCTTCTGGTACCAATTTTCTGTATTAGGCTGTTCTTTGACTGCTATAAAGAAATACCTAAGACTGGATAATTCATGAAGAAAATACATTTAATTGGCTTACAGTTCTTCAGGAACTTACAGGAAGTATGGTGCAGGCATTTACTTGGCTTCCAGGGAAGGCCTCAGGAAGCTTACTATCATGGCAGAAGGTGAAGGGGAAGGAACAGGCATGTCACATGGTGAAAGCAGGAGCAAGTGAGAGATAGTAAGAATGGGTGCCACATACTTTTAAATGATCAGATCTCACGTGAACCCAGAGCAAGAGCTCAGTCATTACCAAGGAGATGACCCGAGGCATTTATGAGGAATTTGACCCTAAATACAAATACTTCTCTCTAGGCCACATGTCCAACATTGGGAGTTACTCCTGTTTCAAAGACTTACCATGGTGTTACAGAGTGGGGCATGGGAGTCAACCAGGTTAAAATGACACAAATCTCCACTCTTCTTACTGAAATTAGGCAGTTTTCTTAGATAAATGCTCCTTGGATTGTTGAAATTCTTTGGTTAATTTCCAGAGTTCTAAAAAAGTTGATTTGAACAACTTTGCCAGTTTTCTTTTTGCTTCTATAGAGTAAAACGTATAGAGGTTCTCACTCTGCTCTTCCCAAAGTCCCTCCTTCCAGTAATAACAACTTTCTAGCTTCTGAAAACAAACAAACAAACAAAAACTTGAGCTGAGAATTTAAACCTGTGTTCATCATTTTTTTTTCTATATGCATAAGCACACTTGTAAATTAATCAACCAATCAACCAGCTTCATAAGTTGTATACTTTTCATTTCTACTGAATTGTTTTATAGTCTGACAAAGCTTTGTCTTTTATACACATCTGATTCCAGATAACTACAGGTGAATAATTTAAATGACAGTTCTTCCATTGCATGCTATGAACTACCATCACTCCATTTATTACTGGCAAACATGTTATTAGTGTCTTTAACTCTAGCCCATCAGAGAACCAACTGTGGATTTCCATTCTTAAGATTATGTTCTTTGGAACCACTTTCAGGATCAGTATAATTATCCTTCAGAGAAACAGAAGTACTGTAAATGTTATGGTATAAGATATATATATATATATATATATATATTTATTTATATATATATATAAAATACCTTAAGTTCTGGGATACATATGCAGAACATGCAGGCTTGTTACATAGGTATACATGTGCCATGGTGGTTTGCTGCACCCATCAACTAGTCATCTACATTAGTTATTTCTCTTAATGCTGTCCCTCAGTGTGTCCTCCACCCCCTCGACAGGCCCCACTGTGTGATGTTCTCCTCCCTATGTCCATGTGTTCTCATTGTTCAACTCCTACTTATGAGTGAGAACATGCGGTGTTTGGTTTTCTGTTCCTGTGCTAGTTTGCTGAGAATGATGGTTCACAGCTTCATCCATGTCCCTGCAAAGGACATGAACTTATTCTTCTTTATGGCTGCACAGTATTCCATGGTGTATATGGGCCACATTTTCTTAATCCAGTCTATCATTGATGACCATTTGGGTTGGTTCCAAGTCTTTGCTACTGTGAACAATGCTGCAATAAACATACATGTGCATGTGTCTTTGTAGTAGCATGATTTATAATCCTTTGGGTATATACCCAGTAATGGGATTGCTGGGTCAAATGGTATTTCTAATTCTAGATCCTTGAGGAGTTGCCACACTGTCTTCCACAATGCTTGAGCTAATTTACACTCCCACCAACAGTGTAAAAGCATTCCTATTTCTCCACATCCTCTCCAGCACCTGTTGTTTCCTGACTTTTTAATGATTGCCATTCTAATTGGCGTGAGATGGTATCTCATTGTGGTTTTGATTTGCTTTTCTCTAATGGCCAGTGATGATAAGCATTGTTTCATGTTTGTTGGCCGCATAAATGTCTTCTTTTGAAAAGTGTCTGTTTATATCCTTTGTCGGCTTTTTGATGGGGTTGTTTTTTCTCGTAAATTTATTTAAGTTCCTTGTAGATTCTCGGTATTAGCCCTTTGTCAAATGGATAGATTGCAAAAATTTTCTCCCATTTTGCAGGTTGCCTGTTGACTCTAGTGATAGTTTCTTTTGCTGGGCAGAAGCTCTTTAGTTTAATTAGATCACATTTGTCAGTTTTGGCTTTTGTTGCCATTGCTTTTGGTGTTTTATTCATGAAGTCTTTGCCCATGTCTATGTTCTGAATGGTATGGCCTAGGTTTTCTTCTAGGGTTTTTATGGTTTTAGGTCTTACATCTAAATCTTTAATCCATCTTGAGTTAATATTTGTATAAGGTGTAAGGAAGGGGTCCAGTTTCAGTTTTCTGCATATGGCTGGCCAGTTTTCCTAACACCTTTTATTAAATAAGGAATGCTTTCTCCACTGCTTGCTTTTGTTAGGTTTGTCAAATATCAGAAGGTCGTAGATGCATGGTGTTATTTCAGAGACCTCTGTACTGAATCTATAAATTACTTTGGGCAGTATGGCCATTTTCATGATACTGATTCTTTCTATCCATGAGCATGGAATGTTTTTCTATTTGTTTGTGTCCTCTCTTATTTCCTTGAGCAGTGGTTTGTAGTTCTCCTTGAAGAGGTCCTTCACATCCCTTGTAAGTTGTATTCCTAGGTATTTTGTTCTCTTTGAAGCAATTGTGAATGGTAGTTTACCATGATTTGGCTCTCTGTTTGTCTCTTATGGGTGTATAGGAATGCTCGTGATTTTTGCACATTGAGTTTGTATCCTGAGACTTTGCCGAAGTTGCTTATTAGCTTAAGGAGTTTTTGGGCTGAGATGATGGGGTTTTCTAAATATACAATCACGTTATCTGCAAACAGAGATAATGTGACTTCCTCTCTTCTTATTTGAATATGCTTTATTTCTTTCTCTTGCCTGATTGCCCTGGCCAGAACTTCCAATACTATGTTGAATAGGATTGGTGAGAAAGGGCATCTCTTTCTTGTGCCGGTTTTCAAAGTGAATGCTTCCAGCTTTTGCCCATTTAGTATGATATTGGCTGTGGCTTTGTCATAAATAGCTCTTATTATTTTGAGTTGCCTTCCATCAATACCTAGTTTATTGAGTGTTTTTAGCCTGAAGAGGTACTGATTTTATCAAAGGCCTTTTCTGCATCTATTGAGATAATCATGTGGTTTTTGTCACTGGTTCTGTTTATGTGATGGATTTTGCTGATTGATTTGTATATGTTGAACCAGACTTGCATCTCAGGGATAAAGCCGACTAGATTGTGGTGGATAAGCTTCTTAATGTGCTGCTGGATTCAGTTTGTCAGTATTTTATTGAGGATTTTTGGATCAATGTTCATCAGGTATATTGGCCTGAAATTTTCTTTTTTTGTTGTGTCTCTGCCATGTTTTGATATCAGGATGATGCTGGCCTCTTAAAATGAATTAGGGAGGAGTCCCTTTTTTCAATTGTTTGGAATAGTTTTAGAAGGAATGGTACCAGCTCCTCTTTGTACCTCTGGTAGAATTTGGCTGTGAATCCATCTGGTCCTGGGCTTCTTTTTTTTGGTAGGCTATTAATTACTGCCTCAATTTCAGAACTTGTTATTGTTCTATTCAGGGATTTGACTTCTTCCTGGGTTAGTCTTAGGAGGGTGTATGTGTCCAGGAATTTATCCAGTTCTTCTAGATTTTCTAGCTTATTTGCTAGAGGTGTTTTTAGTATTATCTGATGGTAGTTTGTATTTCTGTGGGGTCAGTGGTGATATCCTCTTTATCATATTTTATTGTGTCTATTTGATTCTTCTCTCTTTTCTTCTTTATTAGTCTGGCTAGCAGTCTATCTATTTTGTTAATATTTTCAAAAAACCAGCTGCTGGTTTCATTGGTTTCTGAAGGATTTTTCATGTCTCTATCTCTTTCAGTTCTGCTCTGATCTTAGTTATTTCTTGTCTTCTGCTAGCTTTTGAATGTGTTTGCTCTTGCTTCTCTAGTTCTTTTAATTGTGATGTTAGGGTGTCAATTTTAGATCTTTCCCACTTTCTCCTGTGGGCATTTACTGCTATAAATTTCCCTCTAAACACTGCTTTAGCTGTGTCCCAGAGATTCTCCTACATTATGTCTTTGTTTTCATTGATTTCAAAGAACTTATTTATTTCTGCCTTAATTTCATCATTTAGCCAGTAGTCAGTCATTCAGGAGCAGGTTGTTCAGTTTCCATGTAGTTGTGCGGTTGTGAGTGAGTTTCTTAATCCTGAGTTCTAATTTGATTGCACTGTGGTTTGAGAGGCTGTTTGTTATTATTTCCATGTTTTGCATTTGTTGAAAAGTGTTTTACTTCCGATTATGTGGTCAATTTTAGAATAAATGCTATGTGGTGCTGAGAAGAATGTATATTCTGATGCTGAGAAGAATGTATATTCTGTTGATTTGGGGTTGAGAGTTCCGTAAATGTCTGCTAGGTCTGCTTGGTCCAGAGCTGAGTTCTAATCCTGAATATCCTTGTTAATTTTCTTTCTCATTGATTTGTCTAATACTGAGAGTGGGGTGTTAAAGTCACCCACTATTATTGTGTGGGAGTCTAAATCTCTTTGTAGGTCTCTAAGAACTTGCTTTACGAATCTGGGTGCTCTAGTATTGGGTGCATATATATTAGAATAGTTAACTCTTCTAGTTGCATTCATCCCTTTACCATTATATAATGTCTTTCTTTGTCTTTTTCGATCTTTGTTGGTTTAAAGTCTGTTCATCAGAGACTAGGATTGCAACTCCTGCTTTTTTTTTTTTTTTTTTTTTTTTTGCTTTCCATTTGCTTGGTAAATATTCCTCCATCCCTTTATTTTGAGCCTATATGTGTCTTTGCATGTGAGATGGGTCTCCTGAATACAGCACAGCGATGGGTCTTGACTTTTTATCCAATTTGCCAGTCTGTGTCTTTAACTGGGGCATTTAGCCCATTTACATTTAAGGTGAATATGGTTATGTTTGAATTTGAGCCCGTCATTATGATGCTAGCTGGTTATTTTGCCCATTAGTTGATGCAGTTTCTTCATATTGTCAATGGTCTTCATATTTTGGTATGTTTTTGCAGTGGCTGGTACTGGTTTTTCCTTTCCACATTTAGTGCTTCCTACAGGAGCTCTTGTAAGGCAGGCCTGGTGGTAACAAAATCCCTCAGCATTTGCTTGTCTGTAATGGATTTTATTTCTCCTTCACTTATGAAGCTTAGTTTGGCTGGATATGAAATTCTCGGTGAAAATTCTTTTACAAATGTTGAATGTTAACCTTCACTGTCTTCTGGCTTATAGGGTTTCTGCCAAGAGATCCACTGTTAGTCTGATGGGCTTCCCTTTGTGGGTAACCCAACCTTTCTCTCTGGCTGCCCTTAACATTTTTTCCTTCATTTCAACCTTGGTGAATCTGACAATTATGTGTCTTGGGGTTGCTCTTCTCAAGGAGTATCTTTGTGACGTTTTCTGTATTTCCTGAATTTGAATGTTGGTCTGTCTTACTAGGTTGGGGAAGTTCTCCTGGATAATATCCTGAAGAGTGTTTTCCAACTTGGTTCCATTCTCCCCATCACTTTCAGGTACACCAATCAAATGTAGGTTTGGTCTTTTCACATAGTCCCATATTTCATGAAGGCTTTGTTCATTCCTTTTCATTCTTTTTTCTTTAATCTTGTCTTCATGCTTTATTTCATTAAGTTGATCTTCAATCTCTCATATCCTTTCTTCTACTTGATCGATTCGGCTATTGATACTTGTGTATGCTTCATGAAGTTCTCGTGCTGTGTTTTTCAGCTCCATCAGGTCATTTATGTTTCTCTCTAAACTGGTTATTCTAGTTAGCAGTTCCTGTAACCTTTTATCAAGGTTCTCAGCTTGCTTGTATTGGGTTAGAACATGCTCTTTTAGCTTGGAGGAGTTTGTTATTACCCACCTTCTGAAGCCTACTTCTGTCAATTTGTCAAACTCATTCTCCATCCAGTTTTGTTCCCTTGCTGGCAAGGAGTTCTGATCCTTTGGAGGAGAAGAGGCATTCTGGTTTTGGGAATTTTCAGACTTTTTGCGCTGGTTTTTCCTCATCTTTGTGAATTTATCTACCTTTGGTCTTTGATGTTGATGATCTTCGGATGGGGTTTTTGCGTGGTCATCCTTTTTGTTGATGTTGATGCTATTGCTTTCTCTTTGTTAGTTTACCTTCTAACAGTCAGGCCCCTCTGTTGCAGGTCTGCTGGTGTTTGCTGGAGGTCCATTCCAGACCCTGTTTGCCTGGGTATCACCAGCAGAGGCTGCAGAACAGCAAAGATTGCTGCCTGTTCCTTCCTCTGGCACCTGCCAGATGCCAGCCAGAGCTCTCCTGTATGAGGTGTCTGTTGACCCCTGCTTGGAAGTATCTCCCCTGATAGAAGGCACAGGGGTCAGGAACCCACTTGAGGCAATCTGTCCCTTAGCAGAGCTTGAGCACTGTGCTAGGAGATCCATTGCTCTCTTCAGAGCTGGCAGGTAGGAACGTTTAAGTCTGCTGAAGCTGCACCCACAGCCACCCCTTCCCCCAGGTGCTCTGTCCCAGGGAGGTGGGAGTTTTATTTATAAGCCTCTGACTGGGGCTGCTGCCTTTCTTTCAGAGATGCCCTGCCTATAGAGGAGGAATCTAGAGAGACAGTTTGGCTACAGTGGCTTTGTGGCCCTGCAGTGGACTCTGCCCAGTCCAAACTTCCTGGCAGCTTTGTTTACACAGTGAGAGAAAACCGCCTACTCAGGCCTCAGTAATGGTAAACAACCCCTCCCCTCACCAAGCTCAAGCATCTCAGGTTGACTTCAGACTGCTGTGATGGCAGCAAGAATTTCAAGCCAGTGGATCTTAGCTTGTTGGGCTTTGTGGGGTGGGATCTGCTGAGCAAGACTGCCTCCCTGGCTTCAGCCCCTTTTTCAGGGGAGTGAATGGTTCTGTCTTGCTGGTATTCCAGGTGCCACTGGGGTATGAAAAAAAACTCTGCAGGTAGCTGGGTGTCTGCCGAAATGGCTGCCCAGTTTTGTGCTTGAAACCCAGGGCCCTGGTGGTATAGTCACTCGAGGGAATCTCCTGGTCTGCAGGTTGTGAAGGCAGTGGGAAAAGCGTAGTATCTGGGCTGGATAGCACCATCCCTCACTGATGGTTTCCCTTGGCTAGGGGAGGGAGTTCCCTGACCTCTTGCACTTTCCGGGTGAGGTGACACCCCACCCTGCTTCTGCTCTCTTTCCTTGGGCTGCACCCACTGTCTAACCAGTCCCAATGAGATGAGCCAGCTACCTCAGTTGGAAATGTGGAAATCACCCACCTTCTGTACTGGTCTTGTTGGGAGCTGCAGACCAGAACTCTTCCTATTCGACCTTCTTGCCCGGGAATGGTATAAGATATTTTTAAAAGGAGTTAGAAAGTACAGAATTGTGGGAGAAATAGGAAGACTCATGTCTAGAAAAGAAGTAGGAAGACAATTTAAAAATGCCCCTGAGTATTTCTCTTAAAACACATGGTTGAATACATTAGAACTTGTAGGGAAGTCTAAGACATCAAGCACATCCAACTGCCAGGTGGGATCACCAAGGGGAAGCCCATGGAGCTATCTCTGGAAAGCTTCTTCCTAACTGTACAATAGTCTGGGGATGTTGTTGTTACCCAAGGTCAACAATCAGGAAAGACAGTGGGACTTGGTGAGGGAAGAGGCAGAGAAGACATTTTATCTATTCTTTACATTCTATCTAAGACCTTCAGAATGTAAGTGTTTGCTTTAATAATAACTCAGAGTCATACAAGAAAAGACTTTTAGGAAATGAAAGTCCTAAATGAACCCAGTTGACAGTACAAAATGTAAGCACAGGTCTCTATTACAGAGGTACACACTTTGAGCTGGGGTGGGGCTATAGACTTGAGAAGAGCCATACCTAGTTTCCGGGTTAAAGTTTGTTTTTGCTATGTCTTCAGTAAATATTTTAGTAAAATATGAATCTCAACTCTCATATTCTTGTAGTATTCTTTCAGGGTCACCCAATCAATGAGAATATTCATACCCACCCCAGACACTGTGTATCCAATTAATTTACCTGTATTTTTTCATAGAACTATAAAAGTAGATTTAATTATTGATTTGTTTGCTTTTTATTTCTTTAGTTTGCCTCTCCAAATGGAATGTAAGTTCCTCAGGGCAAATAACCTGTTTCATTTATGGTTGTATCCATGGCATTTTAAATACTACATAGCACTTAGTGTGTACACTGAAAATGTCTGTTATATGAATTAGATAAAATCAGAATTAATTATGGTAAGAAAAATAATTTAATATGATTATAAAATAATTATTCACTAATAAAAGAACTACAACTGTCGATTCTTAACAAATATGTGTTGAAATAATGAATAAATGGATGTTTTTACTGATTTGTGACCTAAAATAAAGTGAGTTCTGAGTTTATGTTTGGTGCCAAGTAGTTAAGTGTGCTATTACTACAAAATAGAAGCAGCATTAATTTAGGGGTAGATAATAACCTGCAAGTATTGGAAGCAAAGCAAGCATTGTCAAGGGAAGTGTGAACCCCAGCAGTCTGGGAATTGGAGATGCTCTCGTGGAAATTCAGGCTGTGGTCTGAATTCCAAAGGGAGGTGACATTGAAGTGGTATCATTCATCTGGGTAACACATGAGGATTGTTGCCTCATGCCAAGGAAATCAAGGATGTGGACACACAAGGAGTGAGGTTAAGAGCAGAGGTTTAATAGGAAAAAGAAAGAGAGAAGGTCTTTTTCCTGCAGAGAGAGAGGGGCTCCCGAGTGGGTCTTCTGATTCTGTGGTGAAATGCACAGGGCTTTATAGACGAGCTTGATGAGGTGGTGTCTGATTTACATAGGGCACAAAGGATTGGTTGCACAGGGTGTGCCATTTACTCTGCACGCAAAGAAGCTGGCCAATCCACCCTAATCTTTTACTATGCAGATAGGTTCTCCACCTGGCTGGTGCCATGTTGCCTGCTTCTTTAATGCACATGTGCTTGACAAAGAAAAGGAAAGATGGAGCCTCCATGTTGAATATGCCTGGCCCCAGGTAGCCTTTTTCTACTGGCACAGCTGCCGGCATTTACCTATGCAAGTGTCCAGCTTGCTTATCTATGTCTGCAGCTTGATTTTTCAGGCTGATCATTGTTAGAAAAGAAATGATTTGGGGGCTGCTTTTTATTACAGGGAAAGTCTTACTGAGGACTCTTTTACCCTCAATAACTGCCTAAGTAATTTCTTTCTAGCTCCTGTATCAACATGGAACAAAAACACAGTTGACTCTTGAACAATGCAGTGGGTATGGGTGCTGACCCACACATAGTTGAAAATCTATGGATCAATTTTAACTCCCCTGTTGACCAGAAGCCTATAATATAAACAGTCAATTAACACATATATTGTATGCTATGTATACTATATACTGTATTCTTACAATAAAGTAAGCTAGAGAAAAGAAAATGATATTTAACAAGTCATAAGGAAGAGAAAATATATTTACTATTTATTAGGTGGAAGCAAATCATTATAAAGATCATTCATCCTCGTTGTCTTTATGTTGAGTAGGCTTAAAAGGAGGAAGAAAAGGATGTCTCAGGGGTGGCAGAGGCAAAAGGAAATCCACATATAGAAGTGGACCCATGAAGTTCAAACCTGTGTTGTTCAAGGGTCAATTGTATTCAAATTTACCCCCTCTTAAAATGTTTACAAGATTTGACAGAATCTAGATTGTTGAAAGGTATATACTGCAATTATGTCTATGCAGATATCATACACCAGAAGACATTGGGCTACAAAGTGAAATATTTTTTTCCTCCCAAAATTCAAATGTTGACATCTAATCCCAATATGATAGTATTAGGAGGTGGGGTCTTTTACAGGTAATTAGGTAATAAGGGCGACCCCATCGTAAATGAGATTAGTGTGTGGCCCTTTACAGGGGGTCCCAGAGAGCCTTCTTTCTGCTATGCGAGGATACAAGAGGAATTCAACAATCTGCAATCTGGAAGATAACCCTCCCAGAACCCAATCATGCTGGCACCCTGATTTTGAACTTTCAGCCTCCAGAACTGTGAGACATCAATGTATTTTGTGTAAGTCCCCTAGGCTATAGCATTTTGTTACAGCAGCCTGAACCAACTAAGATAGTTATTGGACATTTGCCTCCATTCAAATATGATCTCCTGGAGGCTAATTAGGGTTGATATTATATTCAGCTTCATTACAGCATGAAAATTTAGCATACAGTAGCATTTCCGTAGATATTTACTAAATAACTGCCTACGTTTGGTACACAGCTTATGTCTTATAATGTCAGAGACAATCTAATCACCTACAAGGCAGTGATCCTTCACAGAATCTTAGGTCTTCTGGCTCCAAATATTTTGAGACCTTCTCTTCCTGAGCCACACATTGCAAGGCTAGTAGTGAAGGCCGTTATCCTGTTGGGTCATGTCAATTCCACTTTACGTGACACTCCAGAGCTAACCCATCTTGCTTGGACTTTAATTAAATAACCTTCAAAGATGAAGTATCACAGGGGGCAAGGTCACGGGGATACTTACAATTATTTCCTGCAGCTATTGATTTTACACTAATGATCTTAAATGATGCATAGCTCTGGATCTAGCAGTCTCACTCAGAATTGCAGGTGGGGGCGTGAACTTCAGTTCCCACAAGGGACCAGAGCAATTTGGTTTGATTTAAACTTGTTGATGCTATTTTCTAAGTGTGAAGGAGGATGAAAGTCTGAAACCTGGAGGGTATATGAATGTATAATAAAAAGACAAGAGGTTTTGGAGCCGGAAATAATTGAGTTCCAATCATAATTTTTCCATAATTGGTTGTGGATCTTAAGCAAGTAGTTCAACCGCTCTGAGCCTTGATTTCTTTGTCTGTAAAAGGAATGTGTATACTGGGGTTTTTGAAAAAGTAAAGGAGATGGCAACCTTAAATCACTAGGCAATAGTTGCTGCTTCTTTTCTGCTTTTACATCATTAGACACATATTCCCTTCTTAGGAATATTCGTCTTTTATTTCTTAGAGCACCAAGACCTGTAAGTACCAAATAAATATGTCTCTAATGTTGGTATTAGAGACAATATGGTAAGATTCTTACTTCAGCTATGGTAATATAAAGGGGACGCAGGGTAGAATTCAAACAACTGGGTTTGGGAGCAGATTCTACCTAACTGTGTGACTTTAAGCAACTCTGTGGCCTCTCTGAGTCTCCTGTAATTTACGTGAAAAATATTGACTCCAATATATCCCACCCTGGACTATTTTAATGATAAAAGGGATTAAAAATGTAAAAGCATTTGATTTAAAGATAAGTGATATGAAATGCCATTTAAAATATCCAGTAAAGGCCAGGTGCGGTGGCTCACGCCTGTAATCCCAGCACTTTGGGAGGCCATGGCGGGTGGATTACGAGGTCAGGAGATGGAGACCATCCTGGGTAACACAGTGAAACCCCACCTCTACTGAAAATACAAAAAATTAGCTGAACGTGGTGGTGGGCGCCTGTAGTCCCAGCTACTCGGGAGGCTGAGGCAGGAGAATGACGTCAACCCGGGAGGCGGAGCTTGCAGTGAGCCGAGACTTTGCCACTGCACTCCAGCCTGGACGATAGAGAGAGACTCCATCTAAAAAAAAAAAAAAAAAAAAAAAAATCCAGGAAATAAACGATTAGAATACCTGAAGAACCAGGAATGAAGGCATTTTAACAGCTTTGCCAAGAATACTGATTTAAAATTGCTGCTTATAGGTTGTGCAACAGTGTACACATGCATGGAGGTTCTTGTTTTTTCTTCTTTTCTTTGAAGTCTGAAGACAAAAGAGACCAATAACCAAGGGGTAGTAGAAATCAAACCTCAAAATTAGAAGATAACACTAAGAAACGCAGTTAGGGAAACAACCGTGAGTCATAGACAGCTCCGCGCCTCTCCCGCAGGCTTCTGCTAGTGCAGGTGCACTCCTGGGCACTTTATGCAGAACATTTCATGACGAAAAAAGCTCCTATGTCAAATTGGTATTTTCTCTTTTCATAATTTGTTTTAATTTTGTTTTTTATAGTTTTGCAAAGTTTGTATTTTGTTTTATAATTATGTAACTATTTAGTTCAAGTTGAATCTATCAAAACAAGATATATTCAGAGAAATTTAGCTTCTGTTTCTGTCTCAACCCTGTTTTTTTTCTGTTATTGGTAACGTTACAATTTTTAATTTTTTAACATAAGCCACTATAAATTATATAATTTTTCTTTTTTTAACTTTTGTTTTAAGTTAGGGGTACAAGTGCAGGTTTGCTATATAGATAAACTTGTGTCGTGGGGGTTTGCTATACAGATTATTTCATCACCCAAGTCTTAAGCCTAGTATACATTAGTTATTTTTCCTGATCCTCCCCCTCCTCCCAACCTCCAACCTCTGACAGGCCCCAGAATATGTTCTTCCCCTCTATGTGTCCGCGTGTTCTCACCATTAAGTTCCTTCTTATAAGTAAGAACATGAGGTATTGGATTTAGCTTTTAATTTTTCCGATTGTTTCTCAGATTTTTAGATTGACGTACTTGCATTGTCGTTTTAATTTACTATCTCTGAAATTCATGCATTCATTTACTTGTCTGTTTGTTTTCAACAAAGATGCATCTGGTATTTACTATATGTACCTCATATGTGCTAGATATAAGAAGACCCATTAAATACTTTCAAGTTGGTTCCATTTATAAGGGTAGTCAGATGCATGAAGAAAGAATGACTAATGGCCAATAGTGAGCACAGAGTAAGAAACTTGGACAATACCAGGTTGTCCTGGAAAGCATTCAGAAGAAAGTGATCCCTAAGTTGAGAACACAGAAGTAGTAGGTCAGGATGGTAATGCTGGAGGTTGTTAAAAAAAATGCTTTCATGTCGTGTTTGAGGATCTGTAAATAATTTTACATAGGTAAAACAGTGTCGAGGTAGGGAGAAGAAGGGGAAGATAAATAGCAGGACAGAATGTGATTAATCATAAGCTTCTTTGGTGTGGATACTGTGATGTGTGACCCAGGCCTCCCTCCAGTGACTTCTTTTCCCAGTGTTGAGAGTGCTGTTGGCCAATAGCCTTCACTGTCAGTTCCTTCAAGGATTGAATCACTTATAGAGCCACCTTGCCCAAAGTCCTGGAGTAGCCCAAGTGGCCACCCAACTCGGGACTACTCTGAAGGGCCATTCTAGCTCCAGAGCTTCTAATGGAGTTGGCTGAGACTTCTCTGCATTCTACGTTAGGCTCAACTACTCCCTCTGCCCACTGTTACTCCTTTTCCGTCACTTTCAAAGGTTTGACCCCAAGGGCACTCAGCATGTTATAAGCATTGTTCAATTTATGGGATTTAGCTCATGTGGTCCAGCAACCCTCATTTTACAGATAGAAAATAGAGGCCGAGAAAGAAAATCTAAGTTTTGAAATAACTTTGAAAAAATTTTGAAATTCAGCTATTGGCTGAACAGGTTTTAGAATCTAGGTATTGGCCGGGCACAGTGGCTCATGCCTGTAATCCCAGCACTTTGGGACGCCAAGGCGGGTGGAACACCTGAGGTCAGGAGTTCGAGACCAGCCTGACCAACATGGTGAAACACCATCTCTACTAAAAGAAAAAATACACAAATTGACTGGGCATGTTGGCGGGTGCCTGTAATCCCAGCTACTCTGGAGGCTGAGGCAGGAGAATCGCTTGAACCTGGGAGGCAGAGATTGTGGTGAGCTGAGATCCTGCCATTGCACTCCAGCCTGGGAGACAAGAGTGAAAAACTCCATCTCAAAAATAAATAAATAAATAAAATAAAAATAGAATTGAGGTACCTTGGCCCCCAGTTCAGTCTCTTGCTTATAATGCGAATATGTCAATTTGTTTGCAACTTCTATGATTTAAAACTAGAAAACTTTGCAAGTTGATGATATCTCACCTCGCCACTCTCATCTCTTATCACTTTTCCCCATACCTTCTGTGTTTTAGCCACAATAAACTCTTTTCAGTTATGTTTAAGTGTGGGTTATGAGTTTTTTCAGCTACAATTGTATATGTATAATTCTTTAGCTCAAAGTCTCATTCTTCTGCCCATTGGCTGCCTGGGTATACATCTGAAGTAAGATTTTATCCATGGAGGTTTTTTGTCTCCTTTGGGCAAAATTATATAAAGTTGCTAGCTTTATTGTATCCTCATAACGTACATAACTCTTGCAGAACATATTCTACCCTTTTATTTTCTTGCATATTTCCTTTTTAGGTTAAAAGCTTCAGAAAACCTTCGAAGTTTTTCCTCATCTCTATTTGAACCACTTAGAACAAAAAATAAGGGGAAAAAGCTAATGAAAGAAATAATACATTTCCAAAGGCTTCTAGGCATATAAGCTCCCTCAAAATAATTAATGATTGTGTTGATAGTAGTAGTAGAAATTACAGTAATAATGAATATCTGGAAAAGCATAACAACATTAAAGAACTTTGACAAATATTTTGTACTGTTAAGAAATATTATCTAAAATGTGGAAAAATGCACTAAAGGATGACTCTATGTCTTTTCAAAATTTTACTGGAGTATTGTCTAACTGGTCTGCTTAAGGATTACTTAGTTCTGTAGCTTAATGCACTTTTGATTGACATACTATTTTCTATTGATTAGAACCATGGCTCTGTAAAATTATATGTTTTGAGATGCATTTTTCTGGTAGGCATGCAAATTACTTCTGTTCAGTAGAAATGATAACTGTAAAAGTTATGGATTTATTCTCCCTGTAGTATTTTTTTTCCATCTTTAATTTTAGGTTCAGTAGGTACATGTGCAGGTTTGTTAAATGGGTAAATCCACGTTGTTGGAGTTTGGTGTACAAATGACTTTGTCACCCAGGTGGTGAGCATAGTATCCAGTAGGTAGTTTTTCAACCCTTACCCTCCTTCCATCCTCCCCCTCAAGTAAGCTCTGGTGTTTATTGTTCACATCTTTGTGTCCTTGTGTACTGCTCCCACTTATAAGTGAGAATGTATGGTATTTGGTTTTCTGTTTCTGCATTAACTCACTTAGGATAATGGCCTCCAGCTGTATCCATGTTGCTACAAAGGACGTAATTTTATTTTTAATGGCTGCATAGTATTCCATGGTGTATATGTACCACATTTTATTTATCCACTTCACTGTCAGTGGGCATCTAGGATGATTCCATGTCTTTGCTATTGTGAATAGTGCTGTGATGAAAATTGAATGTGTATGTCTTTTTGGTAGAATGATTTATATTCCTTTGGGTACATACCCAGTAATGGGAGTGCTGCTTTGAGTGATAGTTCTGTTTTAAGTTCTTTGAGAAATCTCCAAACTGCCTTCCACAGGGGCTGAACTACTTTACATTCCTACCAGCTCTATATAAGCATTCCCTTTTTTTTCCCACAATCTAACCAACATCTGTTATTTTTGACTTTTTTTTTTCAACTTTTATTTTAAGGTCTGGCATGCATGTGTATGTTCATTGCAGCAATACTTACAATAACAAAGACATGGAATCAACCCAAATGCCCATCAATGATAAACTGGATGAAGAAAATGTGATACATATACACAGTAGAATACTATGCAGCCATAAAAAGGAATGAGATCATGTCCTTTGCATGGACGTGGATGGAGCTGGAAGCCATTATCCTTAGCAAACTAACACAGGAACAGAAAACCAAACTCCACATTTTCTCACTTATAAGTGCAAGCTGAACGGTGAGAACATGTGGATGCATGGTGGGGTGGGGAAGCAACACACACTGGGGCCTGTTCGGGGGGAGGCAGGGAGAGTATCAGGAAGAGTAGCTAATGCATCCTGGGTTTAATAACTAGGGGATGGGTTGATCTGTGCAGCAAACGACCATGGCACTCGTTTCCTATGTAACAAACTTGCGCATCATGCACATGTAATCTCTGCAGTAATCTTACTTCAGCAATGTTTTTCAGTGTCTGTATTTCCTTATTTTCTCTAAGTCTCCTTCGAGCAAGCTTTACAATATTCTGCTACTTACCCTATTTATGAGTTAAATAAACCTTTGACATGTGCTCACTATATGTTTGTATAAAAGCCATGTTTTTCATTTCTTTCAAGTCCAAGTTTCTTGACCTCAGAACTTGTGCTGTGAACAAGAGAATCTTAGCTCTGACGGGGAATGTGTCAAATGGTGAGAAGGAAGTTCTCAGAAGGGAGGTGTAAGAGTGTTGAAAAATACATGTTGCGGAGTGTGTAGTTTTGCCAGTCATTGGTCCTGATAAATAACCTAAGAAATGTTTCAGAGTTACTTTCTCTCCATTGTCTGTAAATTTTAAGTCTTCCACCACTACCTTGGTGCTGAAACTTACCAATTTTCTATACCCATTCTAACAAGGAATCTTGGCAAGTATGAGTGTTAACAGGAATGTAAGAAAAGAGAGGGAGAAAAAGAAAGAGAAAGGAAGGCCTATGGTCTGACCCCCTAATAATGTTGTATTTCTATTGCTCTTACAGTTTTTCCCTATGGGATATTTCTGTGAATGACATAGAAAACAAGTTAGTGTTTTGTAAGAGAGATTTGTTGATGATGTGCTGGGGTAGCACTGACAGAGATCCTAAATCAATTCAGCGTCTTTTTTTTTTTTCTTTTGAGAAATGATGCCTTTATGATATTAGCTCTGTTACTTGAGAAAAACAGATCTGTGTGATTTATTTTATTAGACGTTTGATCTGACTGCAGAGATTTATGTTTGTTAAACTTATTCCCTGGGGATGAAGGTTAGACTACAAAAGAAGTCTAAGATGTTTATGTAATTAATATTAGATAAGTGTTACATGCCTTTAGAAATATGGAAATAACTTTTCTTTCCAAGTAACCCAACATAATTTCACATCATTTCACATGCATTTCATTAGTATCCACTATGTAGAAGGTGCTACAGAGAGCATCAACTTCATGCCTTGTGCCTCATGAGCCTTATGAGGTATTTTAAAGATGGCATTTCACTTAATCTGGAGAGCAATATCATGAAATAGTGGGGAGCAATTCCAGTTGAGCAATGATGGAACTAAGACTCGGAGTGTTTAAATACCATACACAGGATTATAAAACTGGGAAGTGATTACACTGACATGCATGTATCTGCTATCAAGCCTGGTAAGGCTCACATCTCCCTCTTCTGGGAACTAAGAATTGGGAGGAAAGCCCGTGGAGAGGAGAATGAAGGGGAATGTGTCATCCTAACATATCATATTAGCTGAAATTAACTAATGAAAAAACATGGTGAAAGGTTGTATTCTCACATCCTGATCTGTCTCCAAACAAAACTAGGTTCCTTCTGTGTATTAATAGATACTTACATAATGATCATCTATTTTCTATTTTCTCTCTCATTGTGCATAGCTGAAATGTCCAATATGTGCCAGCCAATGTGAAATAATGGAAGTTATGTAGAAGTTCAGAGAAAGAATAAGGAAGTAATTTGGTAGAACATATGAAAACAATATAACCCAAATGCATTGGAAATAAAGGGTAGAGAGGAATATGCCAGCAAAATTATAACCCAAACAAATATGCTATAGCAATATTAATAATAGATACAATAAAACTAAAAGGAAATGTGTCTGCACAAGGAACAATATTTTATACTGACAAAAGGAATGCCTAGTTTATCGTCAAAATGATCTGAAACTTAATATAAGATCAAATAAACCTAAAGAAACAAATACAGGACACATGAAGATAAATTAACAGATACAGTGAGGGACTAAACACACACTCCCTGGGAACCTGATCAAGCAGAAAACAATATCACTAAACAGATATGTAATTTCAATTTCATAATTAGTAGTATGATATAAAAGATGTAGAAACTACTCCCTAATACCCTCCACCCCCAAATGCTGACATATGTGAATGAAATCAGTGTAGTGCTGATACAATAATAGACTCCATTTGGAACAAAGTAGAGAACTGAGAACCAACATGTATCAGGAAACTTGCTATATAATGGCAGCAATCCAACAGTTTAAAGGGGAACAGGTATATTTAAATACTGGTGCTAGGAAATTTGGCTTTCAATTTTGGAAAAATAATTAAATTGGTACTTACTTTACATATGAGAAAAATACATATATTTTAGATGGGTTAAAAATCAGAGCATGGAAAATGAGACAAACAAAAAAGCCAGAACCTTATAAACTTTTAGAAAGATTTGGAACAGAACTTATGTTTGACTTCAGATATGAAAGCATTCATTGAATAACAAGCAGAAAGCATAGAGCATGAAAGAAAGGATTTACAAATTCGATTACTCAATTTTGGATAACACATTTGCAAACCTTTAACAGGCAAAACATTAGTATTTAGAACTTGTAGTGCAAATAAATAATAGCAAACAGCTCAATAGAAAAGCACAAGTTATTTAAACAAGAAATACACAGAAGGGCTAAAAAATAGTTCAATAAATGTATGAAAAATATTCAAACTTACTGGAAATAAGATAAAAATATGAGAGGCTGTTTTTCATCTAGTTTATCAAAAATATACATTTCTGATTATTTGGGTATTGAGGAGGATGTTGAGAAACAGCAACTCACACTACAGGTAAAGTGCAAACCACGGAGACAGCAAATGAAGTACAGTATATGTGGTGCAGTAGGCTGAAGAATTGTCCACCAAACAATATCCACATTCTATTTTCAAGAACCTAGGAATGTTACCTTACATGGCATAAGGGACTTGGATGTGATTACTTTAAAAATTTTGATGTGGAAACATTCTTCTGGATCATCTGAGTAAGGCTGATACAATCACAGGAGTCTTTTAATCCTATACATTTCCCTAGATATCTATGGGAATTATATAGAAAATCCTGTAAAATTGTTTATTTTAACAAACTCATTTTCTTAAAGTTCTAGAGCCCAAAAGTTTAAAATCAGTTTCTCTGAACTAAGAACAAAGTGTTGGTAGGGCTGGTTCCTTGTGGAGGCTCTCGGGGAAAATCTGTTTCCATGCCTTTTTCAGCTTCTATAGGGCCACCTGCCTTGCTGGCTCATGACCTCTGCTTCACACCATTCCAACCCCCTGCCTCCATTGTTACCTCTCCTACTTTCTTCTTTGACTTCTTGCCTCTTTCTTTTTGCTAAGCAGATCAAAGAGACTGTCACAGTTTGTTCAGCCTGCTATAACAAAATACCTTAGACTAGGCAATTTGTAAACAATAGCAATTTAATGCTCAATTAATAGCAGTTCTGGAGGCTGAGAACTCCGAGATCAAGGATCTAGAGGTTGAGGGGCTGGTGAGGGCCCATTCCTTGTAGATAGATGGTCTCTTCTTGTGTCTTCACATGGTTGGGGGTGGTGGCCACGCTCCCGCTGGTCTCTTTTATAAGGGCATTAATCCTATTTGCCAGGTCTTTACCCTCATGACCTAGTCACCTTTTGAAGGCCCCAGCTCTGAATACCAACACATTGTGGATTAGATTTTAACACATGAATTTTGGAAGTATACAACATTCAGACCATAACAGGGATAGTGTATGTACATGTAACTATCCATGACTGGCTTATAGTAGAAAATTTAAAAATGTTGCCATTAGTGTTTCTGTATTATCTCTACATTTCCCCTATGATAAAGGAGGGAAGAAAAACAGTTCATTCACACAACAAATAAGGATAGAAATGAAGGGTATGGAATGGAAAAGTACCATATCTAGAGTGAATAAACTTTATATATATAGGACTGGTATATGTGTGTGTGTGTGTAGACATGTGTATATATATACATATATATATATATATACAGACACACACACATCTAGTATATATACATAACACACAATCTCTGTCACTCTCTCTATATAGTTGTACATATGGACTAAGCAAACTTGTAAAGGAATTAAAATTTTAGAAGAATTTAAAATTTTAGGTGTACATTGGAATAGGCCAAGGGGATAGAGATTCTTGAGCATTCTTCTGTCTCCTTTGCAGCTATTTCTAATAAAAAGAAAATAAAATCTAGGCAAATCTTTGACACATGTATTGACCAGAAGGGTGGTTGTCTATGTTAAAATTAAAATCTTCTGGCTCATTTTCCTTTTCCATGCATGTGTCCTGGGTAATAAGATGATCTATAAATTTGGTCTTTATCATCTAAACCAAGACACCTTTAAAAGGAAAAGAAGCACTATTAAAAATTATAGTGAGCAACAGTTGAAACTGGGATTATCTCAGGTATATCCGAATATATAGTCACCATATCTATGTGAAGATATTTGTATTTTTTTGCATGTGCCCAACTTATACCTGTCTTTCACAAAGGCTACCTGTCCAGCTTTCTTTTTTTCTTCTGATGTCCATTTATTCCCCTTGATTGTTGTAATGTATTGATATTTGTGTATATACCCAGAAGAAAGGATAGAACCTCTAGACCTGGACTCTATCCTGGCTTACCAAAATGTTCTTCATAGGACAACCTAGATAATGATAGAGTGCTTCTATTGCCCTCAACCCTATATATTCCTATTTTGAGAACACCATAGGGACACAGATAATTTATTCTGTACTGCATAGAATAAATGCAAATATCTCTTGCTCTCCTGACCTCAAATGGCATCTGAATACCATGGAAACCATTCATTTCAACCTATCAGAATAGGCGCTAAGCTTTCCCACTAAATATTAGAACATGTAACTTAAGTCTAAATATTGCTCCATGTCTCTCCTTTATTTTATATGTGTGTATACTATACATAATTATATTTGTAAACACATATATAATATGTATATGCATGCATGTATACATGCATGTGTGTATGTATGGGGATGGATCATCTTCCTGTTCATTGCAATATTTTTTTTATTTTTCCTGCTTGAATTATTCTCAATGGTTCATTTATCCATCTATCCACCCGTACATCCATTTATGGTATGAACAAATTTTATCTTCTTTTCTTTCACTCTGGCAAAGATCATATTTTTAACATCAGTTTTACTTCTCCACAGACATTTTCATTTAGAAAGATATTGCTAGCAATTACTTTAGAAAGATGGTGTGACAGAAACAACAAAGTCGAGACAGTTACTACTTAAGATATGTGACTGAATTCCTGAGGTGCTAGAATCTGATTCTCAGTATCTGATTCCCTTTCTAAAATGGTAAGAGGAATTTTGTTGTTTTCTTGTTTTTGGCTGTCTGTTTTTGAAAGGGAAAGAATATCTCACATCATCCTGTTCTGATCAATAACATAATAAAATCACATTTCTGAAAACTTCAAAGGTTGTATTAAATACTTCTTTCCAGCAGATTCCTATGTGTTTTTAATTCTTCCAGAATACTTACTGAATGCTTTATATAGACCAGCAGGTTCTTCAGCACTGTAGTAACAACAGGAACTGAATAGATTCCACCTGTGCCCTCAAGGAACCAGGAGTTCAGTGGAGATGAGAGAAAAATCAATAGAAAATAGTAACTTAGATGTGGGCTAGAGAAGAAGTACCTAACCAAAGATGGGTTAGGGAATGCAGAGGTTAGAGAAAGATTTCTTGAGAATTTCCTGCCTTTGTTTTTGAAGGAAAGGTCTCAGTCTTAGTGGACAGTAAACAAGAAAGCAAGCAAGCAAACCAACCTTCCATGGTCATAGTATGTGTTAGTCTGTACTCACAAAGGGTTAGAAAACCAGCTCAGATAGTATGTGTTTCCTCCCACTAAATATTTTTTTGCTTAGATACAAATTACTCTTTCAAATCTGAGGTTGGATTATAGGTCCCTGCATCATGCTCTTTGTCAAAGAAGCCCCAGAGACACAGCTGTAGCCCTGCAGATCTCCCTAGTCCATTGATTGCCCTTTCAGCACCAGCACACTCTGGAAGGGATGAGAAGTTACATTATTCTATGGTAATTAGTCAGTTTTCCTTAGGGCAGGTGGGGGTGGGAGGGTCTTTGATTCCTATTTTCAGATGTATTCAGGACTGTAAACTCTAAGGGACAATATGCGATTGGATTTTCCTACTCAGGTTTGGCCTCTTGAGCTTGGCTTCATCCAAGGCTACTTTAGGATAATGTTTCCTACTTATGTGAAGAGCCATATGTCCCTGACAGGATTAAAACTTATTAGTATGGGCTGGGTGCAGTGGCTTGCACCTGTGATCTCAGCACTTTGGGAGGCCGAGGTGGGTGGATCACCAGAAGTCAGGAGTTTGAGACCAGCCTGGTCAACATGGCGAAACCTGCTCTCTATTAAAAATACGAAAAATAGCCGGGTGTGGTGATGGGCACCTGTAATCACAGCTATTTGGGAGGCTAAGGCAGGAGAATCGCTTGAACCCTGGAGGCGGAGGTTGCAGTGAGCCGAGATCATGTCATTGCACTCCAGTCTGGGTGACAGAGACTCCATCTCAAAAAAACACAAACAAACAAACAAACAAAAAACCACCTTACTAGTATAAGCTCTAGAAAACAAACACAATGTGAAACTATTTTTTCAAGCAGCAGAGGGGCTCCAAATCCCCACTGGTCTTCTGCACAGATTTGTTTTTTATTAAATATATATTACTGTAAAATATACAATAATAACCAATATTTTGCACTCTAATTTGCAATATTCACAGAGCTTCCATCTCAGTGATTTCATGTGACATTTCATAGAACCCTGGGAATAAGTATTTCCTACCACATTTTCCAACTGAGGAGACTGGAGCTCATAGAAAACAACAAACAACCAAACAGCTCAATTCCCATAGCAATTTTGTGGTCAACATCTTGAATCTTGGACCCAGGTTCTTTTGAGTCTGCATCCCTCTTCAGTTAGCTATGTCTTTGGTGTAATCCATAATAAGCTAAATAGTAATGATAATTTTATTAGATTATTTTAGTTTATCCTTGAAAGATATTCAAATAAATTTCAGAAAATTTATAATTCTTTTCTTCTCATGATCTTCATTGTGTAAATGTGGCCACTGATAACATATCGTTTTCAGTATTTTCAAAGCTCTTTGGAAGGCATAATCTGCTTTTCTTTATTATTTTAGCATATCTTGTCCCAGCACCAAAGCTCCTGTGCAGTTTGTATATACACATATAGACAGTGATGTTATTGTTTCTGTGGCAATAGGATTCTCAATGAGAGAGGAAATTAAAAAGCAACAGGTGATGAAAACAAAATGATTACATCTTCTCTGGGCATAAACACTGGCAACACCTGATAATCTTGAAAGACATTTAGTTCTGTCCAATAAATATTTGTAACTGTCCAATCAAACCATTTTTCGTTATTGCTGAAGTAGACGTGACCAGATTTTACATGTAAGTAAATTTGATGCTTGTTAAGAAAATGAATTAGGAAGGTCTGGAAAGGTTACAGAAAGCTATTCTAATTGGCTTTGTTTGGGTTCCTCTTAAAGCTGTAGGACACCCTTTTGCAGCTTCCTTCTGAAAATGTGGCCTCTGGAACTCTCAAAAGCTGCTTCATTATAGCCCAAAGGGGAAACCAGCCACTCAGCTTGGCATTTTTATTTGAAAACAGAAAAAATCATTACTACGGAAAGCTAACAGACTAGAACCTGGGCTCTCTGATTCTCAAAAGCAAACAAACATTCAGGTTCCTTATGAAGTATGCTCCTATTAAGCAACCTCTCTGAACTGGCAGGGAGTCTAGTCTCAGCACCAAATGTTGGCATAACATTTGTAGTTTATTGCTTTGCCTTCTGATATCATAATTCTCCAATGGTTGTAATGAATTAATATCTCACTGTTTCTATGGTTTGTCAGCAGGAGATAGAAGTTCATGAAGCAGAAGCACAACAGGTGGTGGTTTGTCCTTTAAGCAAGTACTCAATAATTAAGGCTGATCTCTTTGACTCTTCACTGGGAGCAGAAAAAGAAGTACTCTGTTGCATGTTCTTTCTGTATCCTATTTTATTTTACTAGTCATAGCAAAGTTTAATAGTGGTTTTTAGTATTCTTGTTTTAGAGATGAAGACACTGAGGTTCGGAGAGTGTCACTGAGGTTTAGGTTATATAACTAATGTCACCCAGCCAAAGAAAAGGCTGAACGTTGAACTCTAGTCTTTGTCATTCTTAGGTCCGTGTGTCTTCTTAGTGCAGGAAATAACTGTAATAAACCTAATTCTTACATCAGGTTCTGTTCAGTGACTCCTTCTGGCACTTATATACTTTATTGCAGTTAAAATAGGCAACATATGTGTCCTTCTATCAGTTATTTGTGTTTAGGAGGATGTTAAATATAATGTTCAACTGTTTGAATGGAATGAAATTGATTAGTTCACTCAAGTAGCCAGGAAAACCAAGACTTTTTCAGTAGAGAAAAGAAAGAGGGGCTGGGCGCGGTGGCTCATGCCTCTAATCCCAGCACTTTGGGAGGCCGAGGCAGGTGGAACACCTGAGGTCAGGAGTTCAATATCAGCCTGAACAACATGGTGAAACCCCGTCTCTACTAAAAATACAAAAAGCAGCCGGGCATGGTGGTGTGCCCCTATAATCCCAGCTACTCAGGAGGCTGAGGCAGGAGAAACACTTGAACCTGGGAGGCAGAGGTTGCAGTGAGTTGAGATGGCGCCACTGCACTCCAGCCTGGGCAACAGAGCAAATATTTTTTCAGCAAATATTTATTGAGAACTTTTATATTCCAGAGAGAGATGCTGAAGATGGAAGAATGGACACAATAGAATTTGCTATCCCTTCGTATGTCTTGAGATCTAGTACAAAGATTCTGGGACAAGAATATTCGTGCTTTGTTTAGGGAACAGCAAGAGAAGTCACAGTTACTGGAGCAGAGTGACAGATAAAGGGAGAGGTAAGAAAACAGGTATAAAGGGAGTGAGAGACCAGCCCATGGTAAGGATTTTTTTTTTTCTCTTTCAGTACTTACCATTTTATTCTTCCTGTTTATCTTCAACTTCATACCCTTGACCAATATCTTCCCATTCACTCCAACCCCAAGTCTTTGGTAAAAGTTCAAAATTTAATTCTAACTGATGGAGGGAAGCAATGGATATTTTGTGCAGAAAATGGATGCAAACTCTCTGGCTGCTGAACAGAAAATAAAATGTCAGAATGAAAGAGTAGAATCAGAAAGACAATATATGGAATTTGCTATTGTCCAGGTGGAAAATGATGGTAGTGTGATTGGGTGGAGATGAAGGTGTTGAGAAGTCGTTGTATCAAGGAAATCTTTTGAGGTTAGATCCTACAGGATTTTTGATTCTATCCCAGAAATAATGATTAAGCTTTTTGGCAATAACAAGTAGGTGAATTGTGGTCTTATTTGCCAATATTGGGGAACAAAAATTTGGGGAAAATCATTTTTTTAAGTTGACATTTGTATTAGATATCCAGGTAGTAATGTCCATGTGCCATCTGGAATTCAGGGGGAAATTGAGGGTTGCAGTTATACATGGGAGTTGTCAGAATATATCTGATCTTCCACCTTGAGGACTATCTTCCACCTTGAGTGCAAAAGTATGTAAAAACATATATTCCTTGTATATTTTTACCCTGTATCTTATCTACTTAGCTCTTTTTTATTATTCAGGTATTTGCTTAACTGTCATCTTTTTAGAAAGGTCTTCCTTGGCTGCACTATACAAAGTGGCCTTCTTTATCCACTGTGTCATATAACCCTGTTTGAGTTTATCTATCCAGCTGTCTAGCTAGCTATCTCCCTATTTTCTATTATCTAACATTTTATATTTATTTATCATTGTTATTTTATTTTATTTATTTATTTATTTTTTGAGACCGAGTCTCGCTCTGTCCCCCAGGCTACAGTGCAGTGGCGCAATCTCGGCTCACTGCAAGCTCCGCCTCCCGAGTTCACGCCATTCTCCTGCCTCAGCCTCCCGAGTAGCTGGGACTACAGGCGCCCGCCAACACACCTGGCTGATTTTTTGTATTTTTAGTAGAGATGGGGTTTCACCATGTTAGCCAGGATGGTCTTGATCTCCTGACCTCGTGGTCCACCCGTCTCGGCCTCCCAAAGTGCTGGGATTACAGGCATGAGCCACTGTTGTGAACTTCTCTGCAAAGCACTACGTACCACAAATTTTGTTTTGATAATTTGCTTTCTGGTTGGTTATCTAAACTCCCACAAAAATGAGTTCTATGAAGCCATAGACCATGCCTATCTTATTTAGTGTTGCATTGCCGGTGCCTAGCATAGGTCCTACAATAGTAAATGCACACTCAATATATGTTTACTAATTGAGCATTGTTGAGCTCTGCTGATGGTTCACGCTTCAAGTCCTTGACTCCAGACACTCGCTATGCCAGTTCAGAAAAGCGGGTACTGCATAAGTGGCTTGAAGTTTACCTGCTACCAAAGTATAGAATGGTCCATTTAATTTGAGGCTGGTATCTTTTGAGGCTTTCCTGGGACAAGGGGACCTCTGTGAAAATCCTCCCACCTCTTTTTAAGGCTAACAACAACCACCTCATTTGCCTAGGCTTACTTCACGGTGTCTGCGGTCTGTCTGTAAGATAGTGATGTAAATAGACAGTAACAATAGAATGTGATAATGGCTACCATAGTGGCTTTCACTCAGTATTTTTGGAAGGTGGAGAAGAGAACATTCCTACCTGTAACTGGGGTTTCTACTATGACTCACAGGGCAAGTAATGCTTTAGCTAAGCCTTGAATGTTGAGAAGTTTAGCAGGTGAAATTGATCTAACATAGTTCAAAACGTGAATTCTGCGCCAAAAGCATATAAATTCAAATCTCAGATCTTCTATGTATAATGTGTAGTCTAGTTCGAGTCACCTGAATTCTCTGGGTCTCTTTTCTCATCCATAACAAGGGAATAAAAATACCTACTTTGTAGTGTTTGAGTAAACATTTCAGATGTTAGACAGATAGGCTCTAACACTTTGGCTGGTGCATAAAACCTAAATACAGTAGCAATGTGGTTGTCATCAATGAAAAAAATATCAAAGAATAGTTACTTCTGTATAAGCCTTAATTACCTAATACAATAGTACATTCCTCAATGCAGAGAGATGCTTCCTTCTTCTGTTTAGCACATAGAAGATTTATCTAATATACTTTGCTTTGAATTCCCAGCCTGCTCTCTTAAATTTATTTCACTGTGGAAATAGCAAATATTTTGAAGTCATAATGAACTATATGCAAACAAAGTATTTCCATCACTTCTTATCTGTGGGATCTTGAACAAGATGCTAAACTTTCTAAACTTCAGATTTCTTATTTGTTAGCTGGAAATAATAATAGTTCATGGCCTTGTTTTGTGAAATTAGATATTCTATAAAATTTGCTAACATAGTACTTAGCACATAATACTTGCTTGCTATATGGTATATGAGTAGTATAGCAGCTTTAGTAATAATAGTAGTAACAGTTGCATTGCGATGGAACGTTTAACATCAGTCATTCTATATCCTTATCTGTCCAGCAAGAAGTATGTACAGATTCATTGTGGTATAGACTTATAGTGCTTACTCAAATCTTATGCTTTTTCCTTCTGCACTTCTGAAGTAGTATTACAGTTTCCCACACCCTTGCAATTAGGCAGGGAAAAGTGCTAGCTTTTGTGAGTAAACTGTGCACAGAATCTATGTGTTTCATATATAGGCAAGAGGACAAAAGAGCCAGTAGGTGGCCCTCCAATTCTCTCTTCCCCTGCTGTTGTGACCACTAAAGTCTTTTTGCAGATACAGTAACTACAAAAATATGGAAGCATTATCAGCTTAGATTCTGAGTAGAAAAGAACTCTAGCCAATCTGTGAGGTTTATTTGAGAAAGAAACACATTTTCAGTGTACGAAATTTAGGGATGTTTGTCACTGCTGCTTTTCCATTTATCTATTATAAGCTGACTAATACACCCAAGTAGTAGTAAATATGGATTCTCAGAAGAAGAAGAATTTTAATTATTTTTTCTCCTAGGAAAGTTTTATGGACAATAATTTCCTGATGACTAACAGAAAAGTATGCTACTTACTTTAATAGCAATAAAAATAAAATATTTCTTGCTCTGTGAACCTGATAAGCATGAGTGTGACAATACAATTTTAAGAAGTGATAAAGAGTTTAGGTATTTTGAAAAAATTATTATGGAGTAAATTCAGTTCAGATAATTTCTGATCTTGTTTAAAAAGACTAGGCATTTTGATTTAGAGTAATTTTTTTTATTTGGTGCCTGAGTATTAATGCAGATATTTAGTTGGACTTTCTGAATGGTGATCTGATATTTAGAAACTCTTCAAGAAGTTTGAAATTCAAATTGCTTTCTCTGTAAGAAGTACTTAAATACAAATTAGGGGGTGTGTGATGTGGTGATGCCGTATTGCTCTGAATCTGATATACTTTCATCTAGCTCTTCATTTGTCACAAGTGTTGATGATTATTACCCTTAGGCAAGTCCTCTACATTAAAAGGCAGTGTGCCTTACTGGCTAAATACTTGGCTCTTAAAGCCAGACTGTCCAAATCAGATTTCCATCTCTGCTGCTTATTAGCCATGTGACCTGGGGTAATTGACTTGAAAACTCTGTTACTCAGTTTCTTTACTGGTAAAATGAAAATGCTAACAGTAAATATGCTGTAGACTTATTGTGATTAAAATATTTAAAGTACTTCAAAAAGTATGAGATATGTGCACAGTAGCTTTCAAAACTACTATTTATATCTCTCTTGGCTTTGGTTTTATTATCTGCACAATAAAATGTTTGGCTAGATGATCTCTTAAAATCCTGTTATCTGCTTTTCTCTTCTTCCAAGAATCAAAGTTCTATAAATTTGGGATTCATAACTGTATTATTTGTCCTATTAGATTACCATAACCAAATGAATTCCAAGATAAAAGACATTAAATAATTTTTTTAATATATGTGTTAGTGGCTTTCTAACAATAGCTACCACATGTCAAGGATTTAAACATGCCACAAACTGTTCTAGTGGTATTATCTTAAATTATCTTAATGAACCAATAAATGCAATTATTACCTCATATCACAGATGAAATGATGTAAAAGATGTTAGATAACTATTTCTTTTTTTTTTACAGTTTTGCAGTTTTTTATGAAGTTGAACATACACATATCCTAAGAGCCAGTTATTTCGATCTTCTTTATCAAAGGGAAATAAAAACATATTTCTTCAAAAAGACTTGTATATGAATAATCATAGCAACTTTATTCATTTATACCCTCAATTTAAACAATCTGAATACTCATAAATAAGAAAATGCATACATAAATAATTCTGCATTCATAGAATACTAGCCAGCAATGAAAAATAATGAACTACTAATTTATAAAAACAATAAGAATATCTAAAAAACTGTGTTAAGCAAAAGAAGCTAAAGTTGCACATTGCATATTATTTCATTTATGTTATAAAGTTCAAAATTAGATAAAACTAAGATGTTAGATAACTATTTCAAGTTCATGCAATTTAATGAGTGGAGAGCAGGAAAAGAAAAGGACTTGGATTTAGATGTTTGGCTTCTAAGTTCTTAAATCATTTTTAAAGTATTCTTATAAAGACAATTTATGATATAACTGTGAACTTCATATAGAAAGCTGAAATCAACTCTTAAAATACTGCTTTCATTATCTATAGCTCCACAAAATGGCAGTCATCCTTGTACTTGTCCATGCTGGTCATTAAGGAATGTCTTTTTTTCAGAATTAGGACTATGTTTCTCTTAACACAATGCCTGTCACATAACAAGTACTCAGTATATGTTGATGGATGAATAAATGAATAGCAATTAGAAATCTGGTGGTTGATGAGGGAGGCTTTGTGGGTTATGTTTCAGAGATTGTTTTCTATCAAACTGTCAGTATCATATTGACTTTGAGTCTGTATCTGGTGTCTTTCATGTTTTTATTCTCAATCATCAAAAAACATACAATGTGGAAACAACTGACTTAATTTTACCAATGAAAGTATATTGAGAAAATAGCTTACCCAAGTTTTGAGCAATAATGGTAAATTATTCAAATTCTAACTCCCACTATTATTTTTACCATATCAGGTTTGCTTGCAAAGTTGAGTGAAAGAGAGACAAAGAAAAGAGAAAGTGAGAGAAGTTACAGTGTGGTTGTGGGTTTCCCCATTATTACCACTGTCTAGGAATTTGTACACCTCTCAGAGAGGTGAAGCATAGTAGGGAGTTGCAATACAATGACAACGATCAACATATAAGCTTTATATTATTTTTATTGTACAAGTTTCAGATCAACAATTTTTGGAAAAAAAAATTGTTCCTCTCTGATTTGAAGTGAACATTCAGATAAGTCTCAATTTACAAACCTCTTGGAGCCTAACATCTTCTGGGAGGCAAAGCATTTTCATGCCTTCCATAGAGTTGTTGGCCCTGAATATCTGTGGTGCTATACTGTATAACCATGTGAAGCCTGTGCACTAGTGAAGAGATTTGAGATGTCTTGCAAAAGGCATTCAGGGTTATCCATCTGGCAGGTGAAGTGGCATTTATGTGCCTAGTATCTGTGGTGCCTTCCATATCTATGCCTCAGCATTTCAGCTCAGTATGGGAACAATAAGTAAGAGTTCAATATCTCACTGCTGCTCTTATAGATATGTTGCTCTAAAATGAATGAATAGCTGCTTTGATTAAAGGCTTAAGATGCAAGCCATTCAGGATGGTCAAAATGTTTGGTCCTATTGACATTCTCCTGTAAACCACTCAACCATTTGGTCAACAGAAGAGACTTCTGGGTTAGAGAATAATTGTGGTTGGCCAATTGGTAAAGAGCTTTCTCAACCTTCTCCCAGGGAGTTTGTTGAACTATTTTAAAGAAGCACAATTGGAAAGCTTCACACAAGTGCTTCACAGAATCATTCTTGGAGTGTGTAAAAATTTGGCTTAACATCTAACAGAAATGGCACGTTAATGTGGAACCACTTGCCTGGAACTGAATGCATTTTGCTGGCAAAAAATGGCAAACTTATTTTGAGAAAAGATTCACAGACCTATGGATGAATGATGAGAGCTGTTGTCCTTTTCTTTTCAAATAATACACTGAGTAATTAAAAAAGAATATACATTTTGAATTGCATTTTCAAGTAAGTTCTCTGTACTGCTCCTTTTCTTACAACCTTTTGAAAGGAAATGACATATCTACTCCTAAAGATGATATGTATTTAAACAAATCACAAAGCCAGTATTACTCGGTTTATGTATAAAATTGACAAATGCCAGACCCAGGTCCCATTG